>NC_000015.10:27519298-27822328 GCF_000001405.40 Homo sapiens | reverse complement strand
TAATATTGAGTGAAAGAAGCCAGACACAAAAAAGTGCATATATGATTTTAATTACATAAAGTACAAATATAGGAAAACTGATCTGTGCTGTTAGAAAATAGGATAGTGATTCCTCTTGGGGAGTGTGAGAATTAGGGGACTCATGAGGGGACTCTGGGTTCTAGTGATATTATATTTTATGACACACGTGCTCAGCTTGTAGTAATCCATTGATGTACAGGTATGATAGGTGCATTTTTTCTCTTTTTGTATTTATTCTCTATTCAGGGATTGACTGCCTATGGGCTGCTCACTTGTTTCTGTGACTGAAGTTTTATTGGAACACAGATATGCTTATTAAGTGATGTATTATCCATAGCTACTTTCATGCTATAACAGAGAGTTAAGTTGCCAGATCCATGGTACTTCAAAATATGCAAAAAGATTTTGTTAAGACACAGACAAGGAGGTAGAGTACTGCAAATGTAAAAGTGTGTGTGCATATGCGAGCATGTGTATTGGGTGTGTATGTGCCTATGTGCCTGTGTATGTGTGTAGTGTGCATGGGTGCATATAGACAAATGTGCCTGTATGTATGCGAGCTTATATGTATGCATGTATGAGTGTGCCTGCATGTGTATTATGTGTGTATGTGTGCATGTGTGGGTGAATACACGTATGCATGTGAGCCTGTGTCTGTGTGCACACTTGTGTGCAAGTGTGCACACATGTATGTGTACTAGTGTGGATGCACACACGTGTGGCCCATGTCTGCATGATTGTGTGTGTGTGAATGTGTGCATGTATGTGTGCATGTGTGAATTATGATTTGGTGTGTACACATGTATACCTGTGTGGGTGTGCGTGCATATGCATAGTTGTGCCTGCATGTGTGCATCCATGTGTTTTCATGTTCACACGTGTATATGTTCATGTATGTGCCCATGTGGGTGTAAATGTAATATGTGTGTGTGTTTTATGTGTGTGTTGTTCCAACTGAAGATTGTCAGTGAAATTTCTCTTTTGTCTTATACAAGTACTTGCCTGAATTAACATTTCAGGGGTAGCAGCAGAATTACCAGAAAATGAATTAATTAGTCTTACTCACTGTGGGTAAAATAACCATCTTAAGAGTGTGCATAACCTCTCTAATACAAAACAAACAAATGGAAACTGGTGCTTTTCTCGTGTTGTTATGGGCTTTGGAAATCATAGCCTCTGAAAGGAATTTAGCATTTTAAAAATAATAATTTACAGAATATCTAAGACATTGAGGCATCAATGTCTCAATGTCTCACTTGAGACATTGTTTTGGAATATTGTTTTCTTTCTGGTAGAGGGAGGGCGCCTGCACCTCCCTCCAAGGAGAACAGTGTGTATCTCTCTCTTGTGCTGCCCGACCTGGCAACCCAGGACAGAATACTCACATGCCATCTTGATGACAAATATTATAGCCCTTGAAATGTTTAGTAGGTGGTTAATCCCAAAGGCAAATTGCCACTTACAGTCTGTAACCAGGAAGAATAGTAGAATACTGAGAAATTATTCTTCTGCGTTATTATTTACACATCTAAGCCATTTACTTTTTCAGCTCATAGGCCCTACTTGAGGCCGTTTTTGAATAAAAATAAAGTGTTGACCGCTTTTCTAATTAACTAAGGTGCACACTTTATTTAGATTTCCTTAATTCTTCCTTGATATCCTTTTCTGTTCCAGGACCCCATCGGGGACCCCACTTCCCATTTTGTCATCATATCTCCCAAGTCCCTTCTTAGCTGTGACAGTTTCTCAGTCTTTCCTTGTTTTTGATGACCTTGACAGTTTTGAGGTCTATCGGTCATGTGTCTTGTAGGATGGCACTAAAGTGAGATTTGTCTGACATTTTTCTCACGATTTGACCAGGGTTGTGGATCTGGGGGAGAATGAGTGCAGAGCTGAAGTGTCATTTTCATCATACCCTGTGGAGAGTGCGTGCTGTCAGCATGACTCATCATGGGCTGAAGTAGTGTTTGTCGGGTGTCTTTACTGCAGAGTTCCTCTCCCCACTTCTGTACTGTGCTGGTGGGAGGGAAGTTGCCACGAGCAAGCAACACTTAACGGGTAGGGAGCTTTGCTCCCCGCTCGAGGAGGAAGTATCTTTAGAAGATAGTTGGGATTCTTGTACATACATGTGTTTATGCTTCTCCAATCATTTACTTATTCAGTCATTCATTTATATCAGTTTGGACTCTCATATATTTATTTTGTGCTTTGAGTTATAATCCAATATTGCTTTATTTCTTACTCAACTTCTTCCCAGTTGTGGCCATTGGGAGCGCTCTCCATTGGTGCCTGTGTCCCATTGATGTGTGCCGCTAACATCGTGCTTGTTTTTCTTTCCGTGAGCCCTTCCTTATTTTAGAGCACTGCGATATGTTCCACGCTCATCTTATATACTTCCTGCTCCAGTCCTAGAATACAACGTTTCTCCAAGAAGCCTTGTTCTCTTTTACTGGAGACTGGTATTATAAGCCAAGATCTGGGATCTAGGTGTGCTCATTGATACTGAATGTCATTCATTCTACATGCTCTCAGCTGATTGATAGAGCACAGAAATATATGTGTATATACTAGTTTGTATACACACACACACATTTATATACATTGGTCTATGAATAGTTCTAATTAAACCATCTATTTCTAGGTTAAGCCAAGTCCATATCATTACCACATGGATAATTCTAGCCTCCACCCCTTGCACATGTGTAATCTCCCTCTCCAACAGGGAGAAACCTAATTCCCATCATCCACCATCTGTTTACTTAATCATTCACTTCCAGTACTATGTATATCAGTTTCAGAATTCTTAATTGGCATTCTCGTGGGAAATGCCTTCAGCGTCCACAGTATAGTGAGCTTGTACAGTTACTTCTCCCTTGGAGATGGATGAGGCAGTGGGGGACCTTGACTACTGTAACCCTGCTCTGAAGTTGTCCCCTGCCTCCTGTGACATGTTATGTGACTGCTCCCTTCTCCTAGACATCGTTGTTTGACATCTGTCTCTGTATGATATTTTCTGCTTACTGCGCAGGCCATTGCCTTCCTTCTGCTTCTATTTCTGCTGCTTTGACTTGTTGAATGGTGACTGGCTGGTTCACAGAGGATTGAGCACCTTCTCTTGGGTGTATGTTCCTTAGTTGGTCCTCACAGCAGCCTTATAAAGTAGGTATTATTAACCATATTGAACAGCTGAGGAAACAGAATGATTCTCATTTTATTTTACAAAAGTATTTCAGTAGTCTCTGTCAGGAGTTTTACCCTATTTGTAAGCTAGTAAGTGGCAAAGTGTCATGGATGCTGACAAGAGACATGAGCCTCAGGACTTTGTTCCCCAGGCCACAGTAGGCAGCATGAGCCGAAGCCTACCTGGGTCTGGCGACACCTGCACATGCAGTAATTTGTGTCAGGAGAGGAATTTGGCACTTAGGAAACACAAATCCATTTTACAGGACAAAAAGCATCCCTGCCTTTTGCTACAGAGGGACATATCTCTGTATTTCAAGGCTGATGGGCTGTGCATGCATCTTGGAAAAGATAGTCTGGAACAAAGACAATCAGTTCTTCTGCTTAGAAGATGTTCAGAAATGCAAGAGCTCAGTAGAGTGTTTTCTCCCAACAGCCTCCTCCATGGTCTCTCAGAGACTTTCCATTCAGTTTTGCCCAGCTGCATCCTCACACCTGATTCACCTTCCTGGAGCACCAGGCAGGTGCTCCTGCTTAAACATCTGCTTCTGTTAATCCCATGTTCAGAAGCCTCTCAAGACTCTCCAGGGTTTGTTAATTTCTATGGCATGACAACTCTTTTGTGGCATTCATCACATTTTGCCTTCTTTTATGTCTTCTGTTTCCTATACTATTAGACTGTAAAATTCTTGAGGATAGAGATGATATTTAATGTAATTTATTAATTTATTTATTTTTGGAGATGGAGTCTCACTCTGTTACCCAGGCTGGAGTGCGGTGGTGTGATCCCGGCTCACTGCAACCTCCACCTCCCGGGTTCAAGCGATTCTCCTGCCTCAGCCTCCCGAGTAACTGGGATTACAGGCATGCGCCACCATGCCCAGCTAATTTTGTATACTTAGTAGAGATGGGGTTTCACCATGTTAGCCGGGCTGATCTCAAACTCCTGACCTCAGGTGATCTACCCGCCTCAGTCTCCCAGAGTGCTGGGATTACAGGTGTGAGCCACCATGCCAGCCAGAGATGATATTTTAAAAAGTATTCTAGTACCTGATAATGTTTAGTATAATAGCTGTAGGTTTTCCAATAAATGTTAAATTGAATGGATGTTTTCAGTCTTCCTGAAGAAAATAAGAAGTACATTTCTTAGGGCTTAAAATTTTGACTTCTGAATCACCTTTCCTAATGTATCATTTTATTAGAAGTTAGATTACTAGAAATGATCAGAGTCCACTGTCAATTACACATACACATGCACAGACACCTACATCTCACTCAAGTATGTAAAAGCGTGGGCCCTTCTTATAAGGATCCCCAAAGTTTATATGCAAACCCTTCTGTTTAGGACCAGCAGGTTTGTATGCCCCCTGTGCAGTAACAGATCCACTCCACTGAGACAGCAGGTTTTGCAGCAGAGAAACAGTTTAATGATCACAGGGCGCCAAATGAGGAGCTGGGAGGAGACCCGCAAATCCATCTCCTGGGGTTCTGGGCCGGAGTTTCTAAGAGGATCATGGAGGGTGAGGGGCTGGAAAGTTGGAGTGGTCGATTGGTTGGGGCAAGGAGGATGAAATCATCAGGATGTGGAAACTTCATTTCCTGGTGAGTGAGCTCCTATGGGACCCTTCAGACCAGCTGAGCCAGTAGTTTCATCAGTATGCAGGAACTGAAGGAATATCTCAAAGGGAAAACTCAACATTTCATAATGTTCAAGTTGTTATTTGTAGAGCAGTTAAGGGAAACTGTAATCTTGTAACAGGGTCTGCCGGATTCTGGGGCAACAGGCAGCAGATGGCTCTGAGGAAGCAGGTCAGAGAGCAGCTGATCTAGTGATCAATGCTGAGTGTGCTGCAAGCTGGGTTTATTGTTGCTTTTCTTCTTCCCTGATTAATTTAATAAAGCTTATAGGGATGGTTTAACTTCCTTCATGAGGCTTCCATTCTAGACTAGGAGACTGGTCATCTACATAAATAAAGAAGGCGAAAAATACAGACAGGATAGCGTGGGTTCCAGGTAAATAGGAGAGTAAGGATGCCAGGAGCGCAGAGCCTAGAGGGACGGCCATGGCCTGGGTTGCTGGCCTTGGCTTTGTGATCAGGTCAAGTAAGTGGTGAGAACAGAGAAAGGCTTTCCTAGGAAGCGCCTGACCTGAGCGGAGACATAGGGGAAGGGAGGCCTGAACTCTGCTGGGTGTGATCAGCCCATCTTATCAATCACTGCAGTGGGTGGCTCCGGAGGGCAGTGAGGGGTGGTGGGGTGCCATTGCCTTTGGTGTCACTCAGAGGCTGTCACTGGAAGTCTTTGAGCAGAGAAGCCTCCTGCTCCTATAGGCCACGTCCAAGCAGGAAACAGAGGGTGGCTCCAGTGGGAAATTTCTGATTACGGGGAATATTTATAAGGATGTGGGCAAGGGAAAATTCAGTAGCTGTAGGGTATCGTCATCCTGGGCATGAAGGGATATGAGAGGGAGGAGTTACGGGAACCGAGAGAAAGGGTCAGGAGAAAGCCCTGTGGACAGTAGAGCCATGGGGCACCTTCCCTGCGAAGTCACGCAGCTTTATTGTTTCCCAGTGGCTGGGAGGAGGTTCTTCACTGTCGGGGAGCTGGGGCGCTGAGAAATCCACCCATACTTACGAATGGGACATGGTGTCTGGTCTTTCTTGAACAAATGAAGTAAGGCGCCTGGTGGCTACTTTATATCTGAAGAGCAGGTATCTGAAAACACAACTTGTAATTGTAGTGATATAACATTTTACCTGGGTAAGAGTGGATTGCTCAGGGCTGCTGGAGAAAGACGTAGCCTTACACTTCCCGATGATTCTGCGTGAACATTCTGAGTTTCTGTGTTGGTTCATGTTTTTAAAAAGATTTTTTTCTTTCTTCTTCTGTCCCTCCCTCCCCTCCTTCTTCTAATGTAAGTTCCCTTTCAGGGATAATTAGCATTGATAGTTTATAATGAATATAATTATTTTCTTATTTTGTTTTTGTTTTTTGAGATGGAGTTGTGCTCTTGTTGCCCAGGCTGGAGTGCAATGGTGAAATCTCGGTTCCCCGCAACCTCCGCCTCCCAGGTTCAAGTGATTCCCCTGCCTCAGCCTCCTGAGTAGCTGGGACTACAGGCACCCACCACCATGCCTGGCTAATTTTTTTGTATTTTTAGTAGAGACGGGGTTTCTCCATGTTGGTCAGGCTGGTCTCGAACTCCTGACCTCAGGTGATCTACCCGCCTCAGCCTCCCAAAGTGCTGGGATTATAGGCGTGAGCCACCCACCCAGCCAGAATATGATTATTTTCTTTGTAAAACATAAACACGGGGGTCACTGTGTGTGCTATTCTGCACCTTGTTTTTGTTTTGTTTTGTCTTAGACCTAACAATAAAGCCTGAAGGCAGTGCGTGTCAGCATTCACCTGACTCTCCCACTCACTCGTGGTCACATGTGTTCCATCCTATGAGGGGTCATTGTTTATTTCACGCGATCTGTTGGTGGGCATGTAAGTGTTGTCTAGACTCTTGCTAGCCTTTGGGATTAGAAGTGGAATTGCTAGTGTAGGGGTTCTTGGCTATTTAATTGGCTAGATATTGCCAAATTGCCCTTTCAATAAGTTGCAGTGATTCACCTTGCCCCAGGAGGTATGAATACAGACGCCTATTCTCTAAACCCTCACCAACATGTTATGCCATCTTTTCCTCATTGCTAGTTTGGTGGGTAAAAAACAGTACCTCATTGTATAATTGTTGGTTTAAACTACTTTTGAGGGGCTTATTTCTGACTGCCCAGCCCTGCTGCAGATGCACCGTCTGGGCACAGGCACCAAGAGGGCTTTCCCAGAGCCCCTTCCCTCTGTTCCTGACTGTGCAACACGAACAGCGGGGTTGGCCCAGTCTCTTCTGCTGTGACGCACCACAGAGTTCACCTGGGCAGAGGCATTGCGGCGAATGGGAAGCTTCTCCCCGTCCATTTAGTTAAAATCATGTCCTCCAATAATTTCTTATCTTACTTTCTGTTATCTTACTGGACTGATGGTTGGCCTTTAGTTTTCCCTGCCCTTCCCACAGCCCTCCAGGAAGCCCTGCTCTCCCTCGGGGTGCTGCTTTTGTGATGGCCACACCATCTCCTTATTTTCCTTGGGGTAAATTACATGTTCCTAGCATAAAGAAGATATATATATATATATCTCTGTATCTATCTATCTATCTATCTATCTATCTATCTATCTATCTATCTATCTATCTATCTATCTATAGAGAGAGAATCTCACCCTGTTGCCCAGGCTGGAGTGTAGCGGCACAATCTTGGCTCACTGCAACCTCTGGCCTCCCAGGTTCAAGCAATTCTTGTGCCTCAGCCAGCCACCTGAGTAGCTGAGATTACAGGTGGCCATCACCACACCCAGCTAATTTTTGTATTCTTGGTAGAGATGGGGTTTTGCCATGTTGGCCAGGCTGGTCTCGAGCTCCTGACCTCAAGGGATCTGCCTGCCTCGGCCTCCCAATGTGTTGGGATTTCAGGCGTGAGCCACGGTGCCTGGCCTATATTTTTATTTTAATATGAACACACCTATGCTTAGAATGATGATACAATAATCTTAAAGATTGACTGAACCAAACTTACCTTTTAAGTACCTCATACTTTAGTAGTTTCAAGTTTCCCATGACTATTCAGTGGATGATTGAAAGCTGTTTTGTAATTTTGTTACTGTTCTAAATATGTCAAGTGTTCTGTGCCAGCTTCCTCAGTCTTTTGTCAATGGACATCATTGTATGTCTTAAATATATCTCCATTATCTTTCGTTTACTGTTATACATTTTATGCACTTCAGTCTTCTATCTTATTCAATATTTTTCATGCTTCTGTATTATCACATTCTTCTCCTTCTACTTATAAAATTCTGTGTTTTTTCTTGTTTTTTTTAATTAAAAAAATAAACTGTGGATTGAAGAGAGGTTGGTTAGTGGGTACAAATACATAGTTAAATAGAAATCAGACCTCATTTCTCATTGATCAGGAGGGTGACTGTAGTTAACATTGATTGATTGTATGTTTCAAAGAATAATTGTATATTTCAGAGAATAATTCGAATATTCCTAGCATAAAGAAAAGATAGATATTTAAGGTGATGGGTATTCCAATTACCCTGTTTGATCTTTACACATTACATGAATGTGTCAAATTACCACATATACTCTGAAAATATGTACATCTATTATGTATCAATAAAATAGTAATTAAAAAAGAAAAAATGTAATTTTCTCCTGTCTTCATCTTTTCTCTATAGATTTTATAAGATGCAGGACAGGGTGATTGTTTTCCTCTTGGCTCTAGTTTTAAGAGGTTTCTTTAGATCAGTGCTTTCTGAAGATGCATTGGATTTGCTATTTCCAGCCTTTTGAGTGTGAAATATGTGTGAGAAGCCTCTTTCATCTAAATCATGAATTTCAGAGTCCCACTAGGCGCCACTGTAATTATGAACTGAGTGATCCGATGGATACTTCCTCCTAGTGGAAAAGCCTTGAATGGAGATGAAAGGTCCCTTTTAATGAGCTTTAATGTCTCATGGCTTTTATTCCTTTTTACTCTGCTTTGAAAGTAAAGGTTTGTGGGGACCTAGAAGACTATGAACATTTCCTCCCATTTCTATGTCACTTGAGCTGGCTAAGGCCA
This sequence comes from Homo sapiens, assembly GCF_000001405.40. Taxonomy (NCBI): domain Eukaryota; kingdom Metazoa; phylum Chordata; class Mammalia; order Primates; family Hominidae; genus Homo; species Homo sapiens. The sequence goes on along the minus strand of NC_000015.10, from coordinate 27,813,464 downwards.
CTCTTCCCTCATAGGCTGTGAGTGTGTATCTGTGTGTGTGTGTGTATGTGTGAATGTGGATGCATATGTGTGCCTGTGTATATGGGGGGTGCCAGTGAAGAAGTGGATGGAAGTGGGTCAGCCCCTCCTGCTGGGGTCAGGAGGGTGGAGGGGAGAGAGGCCCTCTGGGCCAGTTGGAGGCCCTTCCCACTAGGCTGGGACCCCGGAGAGCCTGCACCCCATTTCTCATCCTGATGTGGAGTAGCTGGGTGACGGTGGTCCAGGAGCTGTGGTGGACTCTGCCCTTTGCTCTCACACTCCTGAGGCAATGCCACCCCCAGAGACCTGCAGCACCTGCCCCTTTCTCCTTGTTCCTCTGCCCAGAGAAGCACCGAGTTCTCAGCAGTGACCCCTCCTGACCCTTGACACCTGTGCTGCTCTCTTGCCCTCTCTATGTGAGTGCGGTAGGACACTGGTGCAGGAGCCTCCTGGGGAGGGGGCAGAAGGGAGTCTCTGGGGCATCTGTAGTGGGCATGTGGGGAAGTGGGGAGGAGGAGGAAAGGAGGTCTGTGATGGAGGAGGGGCATCTTAGGCATGAAGCAGCTGCTGGGCTGGCTGGGGTGAGGGCCATGGCACAGCCTTAGTATTTTACTTCTAGTCAATGAAACAATAGCAGCTGAAGTCGCAGTAAGAGACAGATCCTGTTAATGTGCATGGTATGCACCCAGGGAATCCTCACATCACATGTTTCTCCCTTTAAGCAAAAGGGGGCTCTCTTTTGTTTCCTTTTGCAATTGGATATTACTGGGAACTTTAAAAAAGGAAAGCAACTTAAGTGTTTTATATTCTGAACTTGGAATGAATAATAACTAAAATGACAGTCCCATGGGACAAGGTGGAATTTATCATTTCACAATGCAGCTTAACGTACAATTGGCTTTAATTAATCTTTTTTTAATGAAAGATATATTTTTTAAAAGTTTTGTTTCTCTGTATGTCAATATAAAAACCTATCATGAACTTTTTCCCTGGAGAAACTGCCACCCCTGTCATTGCCTGTGCATGAGATCGGTGAGGGAGGCCAGCACCTTCCCTGCGTCTGCACCTGTCAGGGATGCCAGTCCCCTCCCTGTGCTCCTGACTTGCCCAGAGAAAATATTTTCTCTCAAAGATTTTTCTTTTGGAAACCACTTACAATCTTAGAATCAAATACTTAGAGGTATTCTTCTTTATTTTGTTGTTAAAAGGAGTTTGGGTAGTTTTATGGGCAGAAGGTCGTGGTGGCTTTTGATAAATATAAGCTGTCCTGCTGGAAGCCGCTGACTGATGAGGGGTCTTCGCTCCAGCATTTATCCCATGGTTGCATCATCAACTTCATTATCGGTACAGAGTCAGCTAACAAATATACTCCACTTTTTTGTGGACGTTATTTATGGACTTATTTTATGGAATGCACAAATCCAACTTCAAGATCATTTTTTAAAAAGTGGTTTGAAATAAAAATAAAGTGATTCTGTCCCTGTTTAATCACCATTAAGCCCTTGAGCCACAAGGTTGGTGCAGGGGAGGGGCTCCTGTTTGCTGAGGTGCTGGGCTTGCGAACAGGGGCCCTTCTTATGATGTCCTTCTTATGAAGTTCCACCGACACTTAGATATCCAGTGACCTGGTCTTATTAGCCTCATTTTAGAGGTCAGGAAGCTGAGGCCCATATGGCTTATGTAGCTTGGCCATGTTGCCAAAGCCAGACCGAGGTACAGGGGCAAACGCACATGGACACTGCCAACCCCAGACACGCCACGGCCCTGTGTCCCTACAGAGAGGGCAAAAAGGTAAGCCTTTATCACACTCTGAAACAGCAGTAAGCCATTTTCTTTTCTTGATTGACTTACAAATTGAAAAAAGAAATCAATAGACCTGCATTTTCTAAGCTTTAAAAGCTGGTAGCTGTTTTTTCGTTTAATTTTTTTTTATTTCAATAGCTTTTGGGAGTACAAGTGATTTTGGGTACATGGATGAATTATATAGTGGTGGATTCTGAGATTTCAGTGCACCTGACACCTGAGGAGTGTACATTGTACCCAATATGTAATTTTTTATGTCACACCTCCCTCTCACCCTTCCCATTCTGAATCTCCAAAATCCATTATATCACTCTGTATGCCCTTGCATACTCAAGCTTAGCTCCCACTTACAACTGAAAACCTGTGGTATTTAGTTTTCCATTCCTGAGTTACTTCACTTAGAATAATGGCCTCCAGCTCCATCCAAGTAGCTGCAAAAGACATTTTTTTTTTACGGCTAAGTAGTATTCCATGGTGTATATATAGCACATTTTCTTTATCCACTCAGTGGTCAGTAGGCACTTAGGTTGGTTCCATATCTTTGCAGTTGTGAATTGCGCTGCCATAAACATGCATGTACGGTGTCTTTTTCATATAATGACTTCTTTGCCTTTGGGTAGATACTCAGTACTGGGATTGCTGGATCAAATGGTAGATCTACTTTTAGTTCTCTAAGGAATCCCTATATAGTTTTCCATAGAGGTTGTACTAATTTACATTCCCACCACAGGGTAAAAGCATTCCTTTTTCATGACATCCACATCAACATCTATTGTTTTTTGACTTTTTGATAATGGCCATTTTTGCAAGAGTAAGATGGCATCTCATTGTGGTTTTGATTTGCATTTCCTTCATAATTAGTGATGTTGGCATTTTTTCGTATGTTTGTTGGCCATTTGTATATCTTATTCGGAGAATTCTCTATTCATGTCCTTTGCCCACTTTCTGATGGGATTATTTGTTTTTTTCTTGCAGATTTGTTTTTTCCCTATGGATTCTGGATACTAGTCCTTTGTCGGATGCATAGTTTGCAAATATTTTCTCCCACTCTGTGGGTTGTCTGTTTGATGATTTTTATTAATACTCTGATGATTACTTCTTTTGCTGTACAGAAGTTTTTTAACTTAATTAGGTCCCATTTATTTACTTTCATTTTTGTCACATTTGCTTTTGGGGTCTTAGTCATGAATTCTTTGCCCAGGCCAATGTCCAGAAGAGCTTTCCCAAGGTTATCTTCTAGAATGTTTATGATTTCACATCTTAGATTTAAGTCTTTGATCCATCTTGAGTTGATTTTTGTACAAGGTGAGAGATAGAGATACAGTTTCATTCTTCTTCATTTGGCTAGCCAATTTTCCCAATGCCATTTAGTAAATAGGGTGTCCTTTTCCACTTTATGTTTCTGTTTGCTTTGTCAAAGATCAATTGGCTGTAAGTATTTGGCTTTATTTCTGACTTTCATTGGTCTATGTGCCTACTTTTATACCAGTACCATGCTGTGTTGGTAACTATAGCCTTGTAGCATGACTTGAAGTCCAATAATGTGATGTCTCAAGATTTGTTATTTTTTGCTTAAGTTTGCTTTGTCTGTTCAGGCCCTTTTTTTTGGTAGCACATGAAGTTTAGGATTTTAAAAAAATTCTGTAAAAAATAGTGTTCGCATTTTGATGGGAATTTCATTGAATCTGTAGATTGCTGTAGGCAGTGTGGTCATTTTCACAATATTGATTCTTCCCATCCATGAGCATGGGATGTATTTCCATTTGTTTGTGCCATCTATGATTTCTTTCAGCAGTGTTTTGTAGTTTTCCTTATAGAGGTCTTCGACCTCCTTGGTTAAATATATTCCTAGGTATTTTATTTTATGTTTTGCAGCTATTGTAAAAGGGATTGAGTTCTTGATTTGATTCTTAGCTTGGTCGTTATTGGTGTATAGCAGCTACTGATTTGTATACATTGACTTTGTAACCTGAGACTTTATTGAAAGTTTGTCAAATCTGGGAGTCTTTTGGAGGAGTCTTTAGGGTTTTCTAGGTATACTATCATATCTTCAGCAAACAGTGATAGTTTGACTTTCTCTTTTCTGATTTGGATACCCTTCTTTCTTTCTCTTGCCTGATTGCTCTGGCTATTACTTCCAATACTGTTGAATAGGAGTGTTGAGAGAGAGCATCCTTGTCTTGCTCCAGTTCTCAGGAGGAATGCTTTCAATTCTTCCCCATTCAGTATGATGTTGGCTATGGGTTGGTCATATATCGCTTTTATTAATTTAAGTCCCTTCTATGCCTAGTTTGTTGAGGGTTTTTATCATAAACGGATGCTGGATTTTATCAGATGAGAAGCTGATAACTTTTAAAATTAGAATAGTTCCTCTAAAATGGGAAGCAATAAAAGAGAGAGGAAAGAATGCCAGTGTTCCCAAAGTCAGTGAAACATCCCCAAACGGTAAGCTTCAGCATTGTCCAAAATGGAGGTAACTCCAGAAAGTGAAGGAATCTGGGAAACAAGCACACAGGAAGAAGCCCACAAGGGCAAGAGGAAGTTCTTTGAGGCAGGAGAGGGGACTGAGGGGAAGGAGTTGCAAGGTTGGGGAGCCTTTGGGGGCTGCAGTGAGCTAATGGTGTGGAGGACACTGGCTGGATGCCTCTGAAGGTCATGTCAAAGGACAGAAGGAAGACAACAGGGAAGTGAAGAGGAAGGAGAATGATGGCATACCCCACGATCCCATCTGTTCAGTCATGGGGAGAACATCTAGAAGAGACGGGAGCAGGACAGCCGTTGTCCTGGGATGTGGCCAACACATAGGCCAGCCTAAGCTTGTGACAATTCCATAGGGATCCCCATGAGAAGCTCCTCCTCGCTGTTCCTCACCCAGCCCAGTTCCAGCTTCTTCCTTGATGCCCAGCCTGCATTTCTCAGACCCCGGCTCCCAGCTGCCCTTGTGTCAAGTGCGCAGTGCTCCCTACCCATCCTTCATAGCCTGCCCTCCCCTTTTCTGTCAATTCAGTCACGTTTTTCTAAATATCCAGGCTGGAAACCTCCGAGTCATAGAATGTCAGTGCAGCGCTAAAGTGTAGAGATTGTTCCCCCACCTTCCCTCCACACCATGCATGGTTTTAGAATTTCTGCCATGTGGTTCCAGCTTCTATGAAAGCCCATTCCATCTTGAGACAGTTGTACGGTTGGACGGTTTCTCTTTATAAGAAAGTGAATCCTGCCTCCCAGCGGTCCTTGCTGCCTCTGCTCCCCAACCCAGCATCTAGGTCCCAGTTCATTACTTTCAGCTGAAGGGAAGGAGGTTGCGACATCTGCCCCATGGCCAGCTCAGGCTCCCCGAGCATCACTTCCCCAGCTTAACATCCTCCGGCTGTTCTGGGCATTCATGCCTTTGCCCAGCCCTGCTGCACACGTGGGAGTTCTTCCACTTCCTCCCACAAATGTGGGCTTGCCGGAGCAGAAGGAAACGTTTCTCCCTGTTTTACACTCTGTTCCCTTATTCCTGAAGCCTAACTCTGCATTTGCCCCCATGTAGAATAGAGACTGGGATGCCCTCTGGGGCCACTATCTCCATGACTTACCTTCCTCAATAGTATTCATCACCACCTGTAAAGGCACCTGTGTCTGCAACACATGCATGCACACACTTGCACACACACAGGCACGTGTGAAGTCGTGGAGCAAGGAGTGCTGTCAGTAAATGTACAGGGGAGTAGACTCCTCTAGCCCTGCCCTCGTGGAGCTGACGGTTCAGCCTCCTGTGGACAGCAGGTGCCTCTGGGTCCAGGGAGAACCTTGCTTTATGTCTTAATGCCCAGGTTATGTAACCAGATTAAAGAAACGTTTGAAAACTTTTGCTCTAGAGAGCTTTTCAGTAAGTTGGATGGCATGAGTGATTTTCCTTCCTGAGAATTTCTTCTTTTTTTATGGGAGAGGAGATTATTTTTAAAGTCCATTTTCTTCCGAAGAGTGAAAAAGGCCAAGCAATAAATCCACAGCTGTGCAACCTACCTCAGTGCAAGTCTCCAGGCCATAATTTGTTAGCCTCCATCAAGCAAAGGAGCATGTGACACTTCCATCTGCCCAAGTGAAGGCAGCACGGGTTGTCTGAGGAGGGGACGAAGGTGCCTTCCCTGACGTGTGTGGATGACACCAACGCAAAGGCACTCATTATTCTTCGTGCCTGTCTTGGCTTAGCTCTGAAGACATGGGGAAGCTGGGGACACACTGGGCAAAGGGAGAAGTCACATAGCACCAGTGACTGGTCACAGCACCACAGCACCGGCATCAGGAGTGGTCAGCAAAGACTCCCCCAGCTGCCCTGTGGTCTGAGAGAAGTGAGGGAAGTCAGGAGAGTGGGGGTGAGGCTGGAGGAGCCCTGGGGAAAGACCCTATGGCTTGAGTGGGGAGACCAGTGAGAAGTTTGGAGTTTCCTTGGTGTTACAGGAAGCCCTCAGAAGGGCTTAGAGGGTGTGAGGTAGTCTGTTCTCCCTGGTAAGCATCACCCAGGCTGCCCGTGGATGGGTAGAGGGCTTCCCCAGAGGTGGGCGGGCCGGGGGTGACTAGGTCAAGAATGCTGGCGGGTAGACAGGGGAGGCAGGGCCGGTCGGTCCAGAGCACGTGTTTTTCGTGGAGTTGAGGGGATTTGCTAATGTGGGTCTGAGGTGGGCAGGACCCTGGGACAGTGTCCAGGTCTGGCTCAGGCCATGCCATGCAGAATGTGGGCAGGAGCCCGGGCTAGAATGTGAGAGTGAAGAGACTGAGGGGCTGACCCAGTGAGGCTCGGCCATGCAGCTGCTTCCCACCTGGGCCTCCCTTGCCATCTGCCAGCTGTTATTAAGGTGGCCACGGTCCTCTCCGCAGTCTGGGCCATCAGTGAAGTTCAGCCGGCTTCTTTTTTATTTCTGTAGAAAATATCCTCTTCCCACAGGGCAGCCTTTTTGACACCTCTTCTTTATTGAGAATCATGCTAAGCATGTGTGCCAGGTAGACTCATCAGTGCCGGGAGGGACAGGCCGAGGCGCAGGAGAGCGCACAGCGGACGGCGGGAAGCCAAGGGCACGGGTGGAGCGGGGCCGCTAGGGAAGGGCCCTCCTCCTGTCGCCCTTCTGAGCTCCGGGGTCTTCTACCCCGACCCTTCTCCACTGAGAAATTAGCCCAGGGAGCGGAGCCGGGGTGCCACCTATGCTCACGTCTGAATTCCCTTGCTTACTCCCCAAGCTCGCCCACGCATCTCACAGTACGTTCCTTTCCGGTAGGAAGGCCAGTTTTTCATCTTGTGCACTTTACACATCTGTGAACCATGGCGCAAACCTGCCTCTCAGGCTCCGTAACAGTTGGAAATCTTAAAGCACAATGAAAAACAACTATTTTCTCTCTAGAAAGTTCTGCTTCTTTTTAGTGTAAGCCTAGGATTGTACACAACTTACTTTGGAAACAAGCTGGAAGTCAGCCCTCTGCTCCCAGCTGGTCTTCCCCACCCGCGGAGGGCGGAGCATCAGAGCCCTCGCCTTCCCAACAGCCAGCATGCGGCTGGTGCCATTAGCCAGGCACTGGCATCTTCTAAAGTTCATCTTTTTAGAAAGTATTATTTACTTTCTAAATAGTCACAAACCTGCACTGTAACTATTTACTTTCTAAATAGTTTGTCACGGCCTGACAAACCTGCACTGTAACTCCGCAGTGGTGTCCGGGCTCGGCCATTCGGCCTGGAGGCGGGCGGAGGCCAGGGTGCTCTTGGCTCTGGAGAGCCAGGCTCCCCTGCCCTGTGGCCTTTGAATCCCACGCCCCGGGCGTGTGAGGGTCTCGCTCTGGCTGTTCCCGCCGCCTGGGTCTCCTGGACACTCCCGAAGCCTCCATTACCACCTGGATGTGGGGGGCGCGGAGGGTCTTCTCCAGGCAGCGCTCACTGTGCACCTCTGGCACTCGGCACCTCCATGGCACGTCCAGGGCTCCCCTGCCACCCTCATTTCTGCTCTGGTCCCAGCCCAGAGCATCTGCCAGCGGCCCGCTCCAGCCCCACCGCTCGCAGGCGGACCCTGGACGTGCCATAGGTCCTCCTCCCCTCCCGCCAACACCCGGGCAGCTGCCACATCCTGGGCGAGCGGCTCCATGCGCTCCCAGGGCCTCGTGCTGGGGTTAGTGCCATGCTGTCGCCGCCTGGAGATTCGGGGTTGGTTTCCGTTTTACACCGGGTCCCCGCGGTGTGCAGCCATCTGCCTGCTCAGGCCCAGCGAAGCATCTGGAACACCCAGCCGCTTTTCCTGTCGCTGCCTCGCAGCCCAGCCCAGGCCTCCTTCGCGGTTCCCTGCCTGCGGGAGCAGCCCCTAAGGCTTATCGCCTCCGATTTACTGCCCGCGCTGTGTTTTCAACATGAAAATGTAAAGACGGCGGCTCTGCATTGCATCACATGGAGTCTCCCATCAAACCTTTCACCTGCTCCAGGCCAGCGTGGACGCAGCTCCTGCGCTGGGCGCTCTGCGCGGTGGGGCCGCCACCTCAGCCAGGCCCACTCTCCCCGGCTCCCACACAGCGTCCAGCCGTCTCCTCTCAGCCTGACCACTCGCTCCAGGGCAGGGCCTCCCTTGCAGGGGCTTCTTGGTGGCATTGATGACAGGCACAATTAAATAACTCACCACGCAGCTCGGTGGTTAGTGGCTGTGTGTCTCGCTAGAGTGCACGTCCAGCGGGGGTCTGCCATAGTGGGAGGAGAACGGAGCCCAGAGCTTGTGTCTGCCCGGTGCTGAGAAAATACGGACGACTGACAGAATGCATAAATGAGTGAACACCTCTCCTAAGGAACAGGCCTGCCTGGCGCCGAGGACTGGGGCCGTAGGCTGCAGGACGCTGGTGGTTCCCAAGGCGCTGGGTAGCTGTCTGGTCTTTCCTGGCCAAGGGGAGGAGGGGCGCCCCAGCCCTCTTTTCAGCCTCTTTCCCAGGCGCCTCCCATTCTCTGGGCTCTAGTTTACTCACCTAGAAAAGAAGAGAAACCAGATGGTTTCTGAAGTCCGTTGTGGTGCTAGCATTTTATGTTTTTATTTTTGTCAGAGCCCCTTAGGAAATAAAACTACAGTGTAAATAATGAAAACAAAAAAGAACATTCTACGTGCAAGTGCTTCGGGCAATTCCCTTTTTATATTCCTAAGAAATGATTCTATTTCCATCCACGCGAAATAGGGCCATTCTGTCTTTCTACTTCACAAACTGGGCAACTTTTTTCCTTTGAGTTTCAAGAAGACAATTTAAGTGCAAAGAACCCAACACTCAAAACATGGTTAATTGTGCCTTCCTTGTGTGTAAATGTTGCTTAGGGGCCATTGTGTTAGAATTCACAATCAATGAGCAAAATATCAACGTTCATTTTTCAAGGCACTTCATAGTAGACAAGGGTAGAACGCCGCAGTTTGCTGTTCTTCTCACAATTCCTGGGTGAAAATTGTACTTGTGGTTTGTTAGCGATTTTTTCAGAATGAACCCATAAATTCCTTTTGGTGTGGTTTTTCTCACTTTACTATATTCTGCCATAGTCTCTTTTTATTTTTTTAAACAGTCTTGTTGAGATATAATTGACATACAATAAATTACAAATACTTAAAATGTAAAATTTGATAAGTTTTCACATATGTACCCCTGTGAAACCGTCACCACAATCCAATAGCTGACATACCCATCACGCTTCTACCCAGTGGAATGAGTGGATGAAATGGTGTGTATTTAAATTTTAAAGAAATTGCCCAACTGTTTCCCACATGGTTATGGCATTTTTCATTCCCACCAGCAGTGTATGAGAACTCTCATTTCTCTACGTCTTTGTCAACATGTGTTATTGTGTCTTATTTGTTGTACTCATTATAGTGAGTGTGAATGCTATCTCACTGTTTTTTAATTGTGGTAAAATACATATAATATAAGGTTTACCATTTAAACCATTTTACACGTTCAGTTCAGTGGCATTAAGTACATTCATATTATTGTGCAACCATCGCCACCATCCATCTTCAAAACTCTTTTCATCTTGCAAAACTGAAAGCCTGTACCCCTTAAACACGAACTCCCTACTTAGCCCTTGTGCTAGATCCTGATAACCACTATTCTGTTCTGTCCCTATGAACTTGACTACTAGGTATCTCATATTAGCGGAATCATATAGTATTTGTCATTTCGTGATGGGCTTATTTCAGTCAGCCTTATGTCGCCAGTGTCCTCAAGGCCCATCCACGTTGTAGCATGTGTGAGAATTTTCTTTCTTTTTAAGGATGAATAATATTCCATTGTGTAGATATACCACAATTTATCTATTTATCTGTCAACGGATACTGGGTTGCTTCCACCTTTTGGCTATTTTGAATCATGCTGCTATGAAGATGAGTGTACAAATAACTCTTCAAGACCTGTTTTTAATTCTTTGGGTATATATGCCGAAGTGGGGTTGCTGGATTATTTTGTCTCGTCGTGGTTTAAACTTAGGGTTTCCTGCTAAGTAGTGATGTTGGGCATCTTTTTATGTGCATATTTTTCATTTGTATTTCTCCTTTGATAAAGTGTCTTGTTCAAATATCTTCTCAATTTTTGAGTTTTGTTTATTATTGAATTTTCAGAGTCCTTTATATGCTCTAGATGCAAATCCTTTATAAGATAGATACTTTGCAAATATATTCTCCCAGTCTGTGGCTTGTCTGTTCATTCTTTTTAACAGTGTCTTTTGAGGAGGAGAGGTATTTAACTTTGATGAAGTCCATTTAATCCACTTGTTTTTCATGTATTGTGTTTTTTAGTGTTGTACCTAAGCAACCTGGGGTCAAAAAGATTTTCTTCTGTGTTTTCTTTTATACATTTTAGAGTTCTAGGTTTTACATTGAGGTCTGTGATCCCTCCTGAGTTAACTTTTGTATATGCTGTGAAGTATGGATTCAAGTTTATTTTGGGTGTGGGAGGGGTATTTGGGTGTCCAGTTGTTCCAGAAGCATTTGTAGAAAATGATTATTTTTGCTTTTTGCATCTTTGTAAAAGAATTAGTTATGTATGTGAGTTTATTTCTAAACTCTTATTGGCCTATATTTACACTGTTTCATTACTGTAGCTTTATAATGATTATTAAAAGCAGGTAGTATCATTTCTTTATATTTGTTCTTTCAGGTTTTTTTGGTGTTGTTTTGGCTATTCTGGGGTCCCTGCATTTCCATATGAATTTTAAAATCAGTATGTCAACCTGTACAAATAGCTTGCTGTGATTTTATTGGGATTTCTTTGAATCTATAGAACAAATAGAGAGAGGGGGAGAATTAGCTGCTTGACACTAGTAAGTCTTCCTGCCATGAACAAGGTATGTTTCTCCATTTTTTTAACCTTCTTTTATTTCTTTCAGCAATATTGTGTTGTTTTCAGTGTACAAGTCTTTCACATATTTTGTCAACTTTGTTTCTAAGTACTTTATATTTTTGATGGTATTATAAAAGTTATTTTTAAAAATTCTAATTCCTGATCTTCATTGCTATTATATAGAAATATAATAGATGTATACGTATGGATCTTATATCCTGCAGCCTTACTACACTTACTAGGTCTAGTAGTCTTTTTGTAGATTACATCAAATTTACTATATAGCTAAATAGAGATTTCTTTCATCCTTTCTAATCTATATGTCACTACTTTTTTTCTTGCCTAATTGCATTGGTTATACTTTCCAGTAAAATGCATTGGCTATTTACACCCAATAAAATGTTTAATAGAAATGTTGAGAGTGGATCTCTTGTCTTATTCCTGATGGTAGCCAGGAAGCACAAATACTTTCACCATTAAATATGATGTAACTGTGTAAAGAATAAATTATTCTAAAGAATAATTTAGATATTCTTTTCCAAGTTAAGAAATTGCTTGTTTATTCCTGGTATGCAGAGACTTTTTATTATGAATGGGTGTTGAGTTTTTCAAATGCCTTCTATGTGTCTATTAAAAATATATATTTTTTTAGTTTGTTAATGTAGTGAATTACATTGCTTGCCTGTCAGATGTTAAATCATCCTTGCATTTCTGGATAAACTTCACTTGATCATGATGTATTGTTATCCTTCTTTTTTTTTTTTTTTTTTTTTTTTTTGAGACCGAGTCTCACTCTGTCGCCAGGCTGAAGTGCAGTGGCATGATCTTGGCTCACTGTAACCTCCGCCTCCTGGCTTCAAGCGAATCTCCTGCCTCAGCCTCCCAAGTAGCTGGGACTATAGGCGTGTGCCGCCACACTCAGCTAATTTTTGTATTTTTAGTAGAGATGGGGTTTCACCATGTTGGCCAGGATGGTCTTGATCTCTTGACCTCGTGATCTGCCCACCTTGGCCTCCCAAAGTGTTGGTGAACCACCACGTCTGGCATATTGCTATTCTTCTAATATATTCTTGGATTAGATTTGCTAAAGTTTTAAAAATATATTTTACAACTATGTTTATAAGAGATTGTTCTGTAGTTTCCTTTTCTTGTAATGTCTTTGGTTTTCATAGTAGGGTAATTATGGCCTCATTTAATGAGTTGGGAAGGATTCTCTTTTATTCAGTTTTCAGGAAGAGTTTGTGTAAAATTACTATAATTTCAACCTTATATGTTTGGTACAATTCACCAGTCAAACCCTGAGGTCTGGGGTTTTCCTTGTGGGAAGGTTTTGCATTATGATTTCAAAAAAAATTGTTTTTCGAGGTAGGGTCTCACTCTGTTGCCTAGGCTGGAGTACAGTGATGCAGTCTTGGTTCCTGCAGCCTGGACCTCCCAGCCTCAAGCAATCTTCCCACTTCAGCCTCCTGAGTAACTGAGACTACAGGCATGTACCACCACACCTGGCTAATTTTTTTTTTTTTTTTGGTAGAGATAGGGTTTTACCATGTTGCCCAGGCTGGTCTTGAACTCTTGGGTTCAAGCAATCTGTCCACCTCGGCCTCCCAAAGTGCTGAGATTACAGATATGAGCCACCATGCCTGGCCTCAACTTCTTAAATAGTAACAGGGCTATTCCTGTTATCTCTTTATTCTTGGGTGAACTTTGATAACTTGTATCTTCAAGGAATTTGTTCATTGTATGTGTTGTCACATTTGTTCACATGAAATAGTTCATATTATTTACTTATTATCCTTTTAATATCTGTATAATCTGTAGTACTGCCACCTCTGTCATTCCTGATGTTGATAATTTGTGTCTTCTGTATTTTTTTCTGATCATTCTTGATAGAAGTTTATCAATTTTATTCATTTTCTGAAAACAAAAACAAATGCCTTCGATTTCATTCTGTGTTTTTTTAAATTTCATTGATTTCTCCTTTGATCTTGTTATTTTCTTTTTTCTGCTTACTTACTTTTTTTCTTCTCCTTTTTTCCAGTTTTTTCAGATGGAAGCTGAAGTCATTGATATGACACTTTTTCAATATAGATGTTTAGTGTTACTGATTTCTACCTCGGCAACGCTTTAGTACAATCGTACAAATTCTGATAAGTTGTGTTTTCATTTTCATTTAGTTCAGAAAACAAAATTTCTAGTTTCCTTTTGGCTTCATTTTTGATCTACAGGTTATTTAGAAATGCATTATTTACTTTCCAAATATTTGGGCATTGTCCAGGGATTTTTCTGCTATTAATATCTAATTTAACTCCATGTGGCTGGGTAAGATACCTTGTATGACCCAAATCCTTACAGCAGTCTGTGAGGTTTCATGTGCTCTGGCCCCTTCCTGCCTGATCTCATCTCCTATAATTCTCCTCTTCATCACTCCAGCCTTTTTACCACTTTTTGAGCCCACTACTGGTGTGGGGTCTTCGTTGGCTGTTACCCCTCTCTGGAACTCTTGCCCATGATGAAGGGACGTGGCTGGCTGCTCACTTTTCTCAGATTTCTGTTCAATTTTTGCTAAAGTTTTTTTTTTTTTTTTTAGACGGAGTCTTGCTCTGTCACTCAGGCTGGAGTGCAGTGGCACCATCTCGGCTCACTGCAGCCTCCGCCTCCCAGGTTCAAGCAATTCTCCTGTCTCTGCCTCCTGAGTAGCTGGAATTACAGGCATGCACCACCACGCCCAGCTAATTTTTGTATTTTTAGTAGAGATGGGATTTCACGATGTTGGCCAGGTTGGTCTCGAGCTCCTGACCTCAGGTTATCCACTTGCCTTGGCCTCCCAAAGTGCTTAAAAGATATTTTATGTCTATGTTTGTAAGGGACATTGCCTTTTTCAGACAGGCAATTTTGACCACTCGAATTGTAGTAGGACTCTTGCACTCCTTTCCTCCCTATTTTTCTCTATACTGCTTTCTACCTCATATAGTGTATATGCATTTGTTCATTGTCAGTCTGTCTCAACTAGGGTTAAGGCTCCTGAGCACAGAGACCTCTACGTGTTCACTGCTGTGTGCCCAGGGCTAGAACAGTGCCTGCCTGCAGTAGGTGTTTAGTGTACTTTGAGTGAATGAGTGGATAATGTCCGTGGGGCAGCTTGGTCCATCTTTGCAAATGCAGAAGCGATCGTCTCCCCTGTTCCTCTGGAGTTTGCCTGACGATTGCAAAGAAAGTGGCTTCCATTCTGTTGAATAATGAGAATAATCATGTTTTTAAAAGCTACTTATTAAGAGCTCTCTTGTTTAATGAAAAACATTGTTTGGCTTTCTTAAGATCCAATTGTGATGCAGATCTCTCAACCTGCAGCTGGTCTCTCTCTTTATGTAACAGCCCATCTGGGTTGTGCTCAAGGAAACCATATTCTAAATGGAATTCTTTAAGGCCTTTTCAAATCAAGCTATTACATGGCTACATTGTGTCTCTGTACTTACTAGCCTAACTTTGTTAAATGCTTTGTAAATCCAAAAACCCGGAACATTTCTAAAGAAGGGCACAAAATGTAGTTACCTTGCGTGTTATTTTGAATGTTGGAATCAGCATCCAAACCCCACACCCACTGTTTGTGTAATAATTAATTAACGGGCATCTTCAATGGGCCTGGTGTTTTCTGTGTATTTGTTTAATGACAGAAAGTTTTTTTTTTTTCAAATTAATAAGAAAAGTTCAGGAAGACTTCCATAACTTTAGACAAATCCTGATCATCAGGGTCAGAGCGAGGAAGCAGGAGAATAATTTCATAACCCCTTCTTCCTTCACGGAGGATGTCTCAGTCTTCTGAAGTTATTTTCTCTGGGTCATGACCTCCTGCAAATGAAGACTTTTTCATATATAAACAATTATAAGTCATTATACAAAAAATGTTAAAATAGAAAACAAAATTGAAAGTAAAATTATATTACCTTTTTCAAAAACTCCTCTCCTACGGTAGAATTTGTTGGTACCTTTGGGGAAAAAGTATCACCAAAAAATTGGATGTTTGTTATTCCCACCTCTCTTAGGCAGAACCGAGCTCACAAGAGCTCCGGTCAGCCTCCTGTGAGCCAAGAAGAGGAAGCAAGACGATTGGTCATAGCCTGGCCCTTCCTCTTCCTCCAAGCTCTCCCCTCTGACCCCACCTCCCATCTTAAAAGACATTTTCATCTTCTTTTCTTAACCTGACTAATAAATAATTTAAATCAAAATGTTTGCTCTTTGCTTATCAGTGCTTGCCTAGCGACGGCATGTCACACGTAACCCTCTTGCCCACCCTGCACACCCTGGTGCCTGCACACCTGCTGCTCACATGCCCTCCCTGTCCTGGCGCCAGGCTGCTGTCTCAGGTCAGCTCCCGGGTAGAGTGCTTCCTGGCTGGCTTCCCAGCAGAGCCATTGCAGGCAGGCCAGGGCCAGGACTCAGGAAAGACTCTAGCGTGGCCAACATGGGAGCCCTCTCCAGCTTCTCCAGGCCCTTCAGGAAACATGGAGCCCCCAGGGTGCTCCTGTGTTTCCCGTTACTCCTCGCCCTCCAGTCTCTCTGCAGCTCATCCTCCTTGGGTGCATCTTAGTGAACCTGGTTCTGTCTGCTGCTGATAGACGTTTTCATCCAGCTTCAGAGTAATCTTATTCTAAACACTACCTGTCCACAGGCTAAACGTAACAAATTAAACTTATACTATTCATTTTTGTCCTAGACACTTAAGCTGCAATGCCATCATCCAGAGTGTTTCTGTGAGACCCCTGCCACAACAGCAATAATAGTCTCCGTTAATGTGAATGGAGCCTCTGCCTGCTGTGTTTCTGAACACGCCTGCCGCCCATGAACTGGAACAGAGCTGGGTCTGTTCTTCCCATAAACCGTTTCACAGACCTTGGTTTTCCTTCCCTTAAGGTCAAGGTCTAGCACAGCCAACATCAATTCTAAATTTCTTCTCTGTGTCTGGAGGGTACGGTTTGTGCTCTATAAAATCAGCCCCCTTTGCCTCCAGGGATTGCCATACACACAGGTAACTAGCAAGAAGATGGGGCATTGCAGGGGATTCTTGAGGACTCTGATGTCCAGCATCTGAGGCCCAATTCCTGTTGACCCACATTTTACTTCTGCAAAGGCTGAAATTCCATCTTTCAGAGCCAGCCCTTTAGATCAAAGCCTTTCCGCTCACCAGCAGCTGCTCCTCAAAGGAGGCGGGGGTGCCACGCTTCACCAGGGAGGTGAAGAGGTGAAGGGAGGCAGCAGCGCAGGGGACCCCAGTGAGGCTGTGTTCTGTGACTCCAGGAAATGCTCATGACTGACAGTGACTGTACCTGCGTGTGAAGTGGGTGATCCCCTGGTTCCTTCCTGTGAGGTTGGGAGAATCCTCTCCATCTGCTGGACAAAAACACTCTACCCTCACAGAGGGTTGCCAGAGAGCTCCAGGGCCCAGGGCTTGTGATTGGAGGGACACGGAGTGGGTAGGCGGGGCTGGAGAAACCTTGGATGAGGAAAAGGGGGAGCATGGGAGGCAGGTCTGTGCTTGCTACAGATTTTTCCGTATAGTTTTTCATGCAAGTTGCTGCTGATGGTGTTTGCTTCCAACCTGGGGCCAGGAAATGCCCGGCGGAGTTGGGAAGGGCAGTGCTCTGGACGATGATAGGCTATGCTCTGGCAGGACTCCGTGCTTAGCCCTGTTACACCTGCTGGAGGAAACCAGCACTCGCTGAGCACCTGCCCTGCCCTGACTCCGTGCTTAGACCTGTTACACCTGTTGGGGGACACCAGCACACACTGAGCACCTGCCCTGCCCAGACTCTCTGCTTAGCCCCATTACACTCTCTGGCGGACACCAGCACTCGCTGAGTACCTGCCCTGCCTGGCATGATGCTGAGTGCCCAGCACGTGCTGTTTCCTGCAGGTCTCCTGGGCATCCTGTTGACCATTGCCAGGTAAGGGTGCTGGTGTCCACGTGGGACAGGGGCTTGCTCATGCCCCTCAGGTGGCGAGAGGCCAGACTGGGGTCGTCACTGCTCTCTCTGCCCATGTCTAAGCCTTTCCCATCATACTGTGCTTTCTCTCATAGAAGTCTTAGAAACACATGTCTTAGTTGAAAATAAATTAGCATGGATGTCCAGGACTTGGTGTTGTTCCAACAAATAAAACAGCAAGTGCTGCCTGTTCCTCCAGTCAGAGAGTAGATGTGTGAATCAGCAGAACCTGAGGTCCTGCTAGAACCGTGGATGGCTGGAGCATCTTCTTTTCCCTTCTGGGAGTACGTAACCAGGCTGGTAGTGGTGCACAAGCATTAAAAACAAACTCAATTATGATGCTGCTGAAAGCACAAAAACAATGTGCTTGAGAACAACTATTGATTTTTTTCTTAAATAGGCAAATTCAAGTGACTTAAGTACATTCTGCTAAGTTATAAATTTACAAGTGAAACATGCCTGCATAATATAACCCTGTAACTTGTGGAGCTTTCTCCTCCCATACAATCAGCGATGTGGATGGAGACATACCGCTAAGAGTGGCTGTGAGAGAAGGCAGCTCTGGACCCATGTGGGGAGTAGAGCAGTGTGTGTTGGGGGAGTCTCTCCCTAATGGGGTTAAGCTGCCAGGCAGGGTGCCACCCCTTGGAGCTCTGCTTCTGACAGCCTACCCTGCTCTCAGGTCTTGGAAACTTGAACTGATAATTGTTTCAAAAAGATCCTTAATGATATGGAGAACTAGAGAGATGGTTGTTGAAGAGCTGATGCTGGTCTGTGGCGGAGCATCAGCTGAGAGAGAGGGTGAGAGTGGGGGGCCCGTTTGGTTGTAGTGCCAACTTGCCTGCTGAGGATCAGTGAGTTGGGCAAGGGAGGGGAAGGGAGAGAGCATTCAAGGAGACTCCTGAGCTTGTGGGTGGAGAAACTGGGTCAACAGCGGTGCCATTTATTGTGACAGAGAAGCTCTTGGTGGGAGGAGGAATGGAAGGAGCTTTCGATGGCTGAAAAATTCAGCCAAAGAGAAAGACACAAAAACATGTCCAAAATAGTTACTGTGAAAAGGCCAGGCCAACTCTGAACAATGACAGTGTCTGTGTAAAGTATGTAAAATACTCTATTAAATAAGGGTTCAGTACGGGTTGGAGCACAGACGCTACGGAAATGTGCTTATTTAAACTCTTTTCACCCAGATTGAAGGTTTTCCTGGGCACCAGTATTCCAAGGGAAGGTGACAGAGTCTTGTAGCAAGGTTAGGGTACAATCACTCCTGGAATGGAACGAACGTAAGCCACTCGGTGATTAACAAATTGGAAATCAGCCCCCTGTACAATATCTCCCACCTGCTTCCCATGCTATAGTGAGGGTCTGCCCTGCTGTCTTTTTAAATCTGACATCTGAACTACTAGAATAGATTGTTTTCTGTTAGTAGTTACATATTCTGAAAAGAACCAGAGATTGAAAATTCAAAAGTATAAATTATGCTTTGCCTTTGTGCTGAGGAAAAAAAATGCATTTGTTTTCATAGATCCTCCAAAACATGACCTTTTACATGGAACTTCTGCATAAAAATTGGCAATTGAGAAGGATGTAGGCATTCCAACGAGAATGCACCTGAACAGCATGTCATTTTTAAAGGCCTTCTCTACACCATCATTTGGGAGTGAGGATGTCTATTTCATGCATGTATATACTTTTCTTTTAAATTCCTGGCTCTACAACACACTTCCTTTTATCTAACGTACAGTGATCCAGGTACCTCTTGCACTATTCAGCATCTGCACACGTGTATTTACTGGAGACTTATGCAGTCATGGCCCGTTAGGTTTCAGCCCACTAGCAGTAATTAATGCCAAAGATATGCATGGCTACAGTCCTGCTTATGTATTGATATACTCCCGACTCATTTGAAGTTGTTTCCTGACAGAGTGGGGGAGGCCACATGTAAAAATCTGCCTCAAAATTTCCAGTTCCACGGCCCGTTCTTCCTGGAATGGGTGCAGCAAGTCCTCCTGAGCGCACTCTTCCATGCATGTTGTCCCTTGCTTGTGGGACAATGAGCCACATCCTGTAGCCATCTGCGCTTAGCCACGACCCACACCAGGGCCCCTGTGGTCCAGCTCAGGACTCAAAGCAGCTGCTGGCCACGCCTCTCAAAGATGAGGGGCGCTGAGTTGTCCGCAGTTTTCGGAGGGTTCCTGATGCAGAGGTGCTGATCCAGGAACACACACATTCTTGGAGCTTTTGGCACACCTTATCTTCTCCTCCTGTTTGCAGGATCTTTGAATGTGACTTACTAAGAAAAGATCTTCTCTAGAGAGAATTTTCTGTAGGAAGCCTGCAGAACCCTGACATCTCCCCAGCCCCCAGTGACACACAGTCCCACCAAGTGCCGGCTAGTGGGATGGGGGCCTCCTCATTGTAGCAGTGGAGCTGTGGCCATGTGTCATCTGCCCTGAGCCTGTGGTGGGCACGTCCATTCACGCAGCCCAGGAGGGCCATCTCCCAGCCCCCTGGCAACACAAGCCAGCATTGTGAATAAGGAAAAGGCTCTGTCATTGGGTGAGGAAGAAGAACTGCAGCTACACAAAGTCGCCCCAGGCAGGCCCTTGCACACCGCAGAATGGTCCTAGAGACCCTGTTATCTCTGTTCTTAACCCTGTAGACTTCAGGGTCCTGAGGTTGAGTGAAACTCATGGAATAAATAAATGTGCACGTGAGCGGGATGGAGGGCTGAAGGCTACGGTGCCGGAGGCAATTTCAGCTCTCAAATCCTAGGATTCCACCCACAGAAGATTAAAGCAAGGACTCTGAACACAGCTTTGTATTATTTTAGTAATAAATACAGCACCTGAAGAATCACCATTTTTCTTTTTAAAACCAAATCCTGAAATCCTGATAGGAGAAAAGGTCCAGCTAAGAGTCATCTGAAATAATTTTTTTTTTTTTTAATGGTGGAAGTCCTGCTCATTGTTTTACCAGGTGGGCATGTTAAAAATCCCGGAAGAGTATAGACATCATTCTTTTCAGATTCTAGTAATAGTTTCGCAAACACTCATAAGATTGCAAAAGGTGGCACAAACCTAGCTTGCTATCAGCTTTATAGCTCTGAAACCTAGCTGAGCTACATACGTGATACTTTTCTGGTCCAATTGGAAAAAGCATCCTGTAATAGATGATGCCGGCTTTGAGTAGCCAAGCCCCATTGATCTGTGGCTGCATTGGTCACTCAATTACTTCCATTGCAGTTCTTCTTCTTTCAAAGCTGGTTGGATAAAGATAAATGAGCCTTGTCAGCAATTACAAACATGAGATTTCCAGTTTTGTAAACAGCCCGGGAGCTGTTGGACCTGCAGGCACCAGATGGCCAAGTGCCCTGGCCGCCCCTCCTCTGAAGTTGTGCTGGACGCCAGCACTCGGCCACAAGCCCATCTGGGACCTCTGGGCAAGGTGGGCCACACAGGGCGCTGCTTTTCCCCTCTGCTCTCCTGTTTAGCCTCACTTATGGTCCTCAGTGCAGACTCTCCTTGTCTCAAGTCGACGGAACTCAGCTAAGTTTTATTGGGCCATGGGACTCAGAGACGAATTAGGCCCTTCTTTGGCCTACAGTAGCTTACGCCCTAACAGGGAGACAAGCAACAGCTGTGACCACAGTCCAGAGTGCTAGGTGGTGTGGTTGAGGTACACCCGGGAATGCTGGGGTGCAGAGGAGTGAGAAGCCACAGATGCTAACTCGGCTGTGGAGGGTGCACGTCTCGGAAAGTTATGGACCCCATAGATGGAAGAAGCTGCAGGGGGCCATGTGGCTCGTGTGGGAGGTGAGGCTGCTTGGGGCTGGCCACCCAGGAAGGACTGTGCAGACTGTAGATGAGAAGCTTTGCCCGAAAGCCAAGCCACTAGATGATTTTTAGCCATAAAACCCAGTTAGATTTCCACTGCCATGTAAAGGATGAAGTAGGGAAAGGAAAGTTGGTTGGGCAAGCAGGCCAGTGGCCAGCCTTGTTCAATGGTTCTGTAGAAATGTCACAGTGCTTGGTTCATTCATGTGCATAAAAAGCATGGATCAATGAAAAAAGAAAGCAAGAAGGAAGGAAGAAGGCACACAGGAAGGAAGAAAGGCAGGCAAGAGAAAGAAAGAAAAGAAAAGAAAGGAAAGGAGAAGATGGTCCCTCCTCTACTTTAAGCCCATATAAGGCTGCGATGTTCATTGTGTATCTTTTTGGGTATTGGTGTCTGGCTCTGTGACTCCATACAGAACCCTCAATGCATGGTGAGGAAATGCATGAACGAAGCATGAATACTTCTCACCGCAGGCTGTGAGGCAATGGGAAGTGGAGACACACAGTCTTGGGCTCCTCCCCTCCTTGGGAGCCCATCAGAGCCCATAAGGTGCAACAGAAAAGGAGTGACAGGGAAAGGGAACATCGTGGGCTTGAGAAACATTCAGATTAGGAAGTCAGCTCCACTCCATCATAAAACATTGGCAAATGTTTCCTGCTCTGGGGAGAAAAACAGAGGTCTAAAAGAATCTTTAACTTTTTCTTTTCTGTGTTTTCCAAAGCAACCCCGTAGTGTGTCTAGTACGTTGCTCAAGAGTCCCTCTGCTGGGGCCACCTCCTGACTGGCCATCTGAATCTTCCCTGCTTCTCCTCAGGATCCACAATATTAAAAAACAAAATTTAAAGAGTTTATATTTTGCGTCTTATTATACATGCAGTAAAATTCAGTCATGTGCTGTAGAGCCCTGTGAATGTTGAAGAATCCGTAGCCACATACATAGCAGCACAACTAAGACACGCAGCAGGTCTATCACTGGAAAAACACTCCTCTATGCTGCTCCTTTGTAGACAACCCTTCCCCCGAGCAACCACTGGCCACCACTGAGCTGTTCTCCCACTACAGCTTTGCCTTCACCAGAATTTCATGTAAATGGAATCATAGCCTTTTGGGTCTGGCTTCTTTCATTTACAAAAATGCATTTGAGATTCATCCATGTTGCTGCTTACATCAATAGTTTGTTTCATTGTATAGCTGTGTAGGATCCTACTCATTAAGAGTGTCTTTTCATCATTTGAAAGTCAATTGTTTTCCCTCCAATTTGGGGCAAATACATGATGTGTATTTTGGGCATATACTCATGGACATGTTTTCTTGTGAACATACATTTTGTATATTTTGAACAAGGCTGCCTGGTAACAAGTTCCATGCAATTTGATGGTATGATGACAAAAATTCCATATCCTAATTTATTATTAAAAAAAAAATCAGGGCCAGGCACAGTGGCTCATGCCTGTAATTCCACCACTTTGAGAGGCAGAGGCAGGAGGATAGCTTGAGACCAGGAGTTTGAGACCAGCCCAAGTAACATAGCAAGACCCTATCTCAACAAAAAATGAAAAACTTAGCTGGGCATGGTGGCACACACCTGTAGTCCCAGCTATGCAGGAGATTGGCATGGGAGGATCACTTGAGTTCAACAGTTGGAGGCTGCAGTGAGCTATGATTGTGCCACTATACTTCAGCCTGGGCAACAGAGCAAGTTGCCCTGTCTCAAAAAAAAAAAAAAAAATTCAGGGTAATTGAGGTATAATTGAATATAGTAAATTTTACCATTTGAGGTGTATAGTTTAATCAGTTTTGGCAAATATACAGTCATGTAACCACCACCTCAACTGAGACATAGAATATTTCCATCACACCCAGAACTTTTCTGGTACCCCTTTACATTCAATCTCTCCTTTCCACTTTCAGCCCCTGGCAAGAATTTGTCTTTTTTTTGTCCCTATAGTTTTGTCTTTTCAAGAATCTCATAAAAATGGAATCCAGTTTCCTCCACCTACCATAATGTTTTGGATATCCAATCATGTTTTTGTATGCATCAGCAGTTTGTCTTTTTATTGCTGAGTAGTATTTTATTGCATAGATGGACCACATTGTGCCCAGAGGTCTTTGTGTGGATGTATGTTTTCATTTCTCTCACCTAGCAATGGGGCTGTGAGGCCAGGTAGTTTGCTATGCTTAATTTTCCATAGTTGCTATATCATTCTCAATCTTCCAGTAATGTATGAAAGTTCGTTTTCCTACTGTCTAATCAGCACTTGGTTCTGTCAGATTTGATTTTAAACCATTCTAATATGTGTGCAGTGGTATCTCATTGTGATTTTGATTTATATTTTACTAATAATTAATGATGTTGAACATGTATTTATGTTCTTTGGTGAACTGTCTGTTAAGGTCTTTTGCCCTTTTCAAATTGGATTATTTTCTTATTGTTGAGCTTTGTGAAGTTTTCATATTTTCAGAATATTAAGTCCTTTGTCATCTTTGATTTGAAAAATTTTCCTGAGTCTCATCTCTTCATTTTTCTAATAGTATAGTTCTCAGACAAAGTTTTAAGCTCTGATAAAGTTCAGTTGATGAATTTGTCCCTTTGGGGATCATGCCTTTAGTATTATATTTAAGAAATTTTTGGCTAGCACAAGATCACAAAGATTTTCTCTTAGATTTTCTAAGTTTTACTTTTACCTCTAAATCTATGATCCATTTTGAGTTTAGATTTATTTTTGTTTGCATATAGATATCTATTCATTATAGTACCATTTGTTGAAAAGACTATAATTTTTCATTAAATTGCTTTTGTACTTTTGCTAAAAATCAAATAAAAATCAGACTAGCCAGACATTTAATAGGTGATGCAGGGAATGTGACAGCCAGAGTAGACTTTGATAAGCGCCCCCTGTGTCCCTGAGGGCATAGAAAGCTGAGTATGTGCACAGGGCTGCATCTGTACTTGAGAGGCCAGAGGGGACTTTCATGGGCTCTTCATTGCTGTTTACATGAAAAGCCTCATGTAAGAATACAATAAGAACAATAGCTGACTTCTCATCTCATCAGAAATAAGTGTAGGCCAAAAAGCAGTAGTATGACATTTAAAATGTTGAAACGAAGATACAAACTCAAGAAAGAATTTCATTTCTAGAAAAACTATTTTTCAAAATGATGTTGAAAAAAGATATGACCAGATTTAAAACAAAACAAAAGAAAGACTCAGAGAATTAATTGTTGGCATACCTACCTTGAAAGAAATACTAAAGAAAGGAATGGAAATTACAACAGACAATAACTTGAATCCAACCCTCCCCCCGCCCAGAAAAAAAAAGAGCACTGGAAAAGGTATATATACATCTATATAGCTATACACAGCTATATAGATGAGCCTGAATAAATGTATTTTTGTCTTTTCTTCTTTTAACTAATTGAAACTAAAATCACATAAAGTAACATGAATATGCTTTTGGCCTTTTGACATAGAGAGATGTAATATATATTAAAATAATAGCATAAAGGAGGAGGGAAAGAATGGGCCACCTTAGAGCAGAATCTCTAGGTTTTAATGAAATTAGGTTAGTTATTAATCTAGGCCAGATTGTGATAAATAGGATGTATATTGAAATCTCAATGGCAATTACTAAAAACAAATTGAAAACACAAAGTAAAAATAGCAACAAAGGAATTAAAATAGTAGGTCAGAAAACATCTATTTAACATAAGTGAAAGTAGTAAAAAGAAACAGGAACAAAAAAAAATGTGAGACATAGAAAACAGCAAAATAGCAGATATAAATCCAACCACATAAACAATTACATTGAATGTAAATATACTAAAGACTCCAATTAAATTGCATAGATTTACAAACTAGATTTTTAAAAAAGGGTTTCACTCTAATCTGTTTACATATTTAGGTTTACGATCCAGATTCAGGTTTAGACTAAAAATACGAATAGCCTGAAAATAAAAGGAAGGAAAAAGATAAATGGAATGGTGCAAACATAAGAAAGCTGAAATGGCTATACAAATGTCAGACAAAATAGATTTAAAGACAGAAAATACTACTAGAGAAGAAGACAAATGTCCTCCTAGCACATTTTTATCAGGGTCAATAAATCAGGATGATATAACAACTGTTCATATACATATACCTAAGAACAAAATCCCTAAATGTATGAAGAACAAAACAAATAAATGGAGACTTTAATAACCTCTTCTTAATAATGGATATAGCAACTAGACAGAAAAATTAGCAAGGCTATAGAAAATTTGAGTAATACTCGCAATTACTTGACCTAATATCTACAGAATAGTCAACCCAACAAAGGCAGAATACACATTGTTTTTTTCAAGCTTACAAAGAACACTCTTCAGGATAGACCATAAGCTAGGCCATAAATCAAGTGCTGATACATTTACAAAGACTGAAATTATACAAAGTATGTCATCTGACCACAATAGAACTGAATTAGAAATGAACCATAAATGGATTTGGGGAAATACAGAAATATTTGGAAATTAGACAGCTCACTTCTAAATAACCTATGAGTCAAAAGAGAAAACACAAAGAAAGAAAATATTTTGAACAAAATTAAAATAAAAGCATAATCTATTAAATATATGAGATATAACTCAAGCAGTGTTTAGAAGAAAATTTATGGAGTTGAAGGACTATGACGGAAAAGAAGAAAAATCTGAGAATATTAACTTAAACTTTTACCATAAGAAAGTACAAAAAGAAGAGCAAACTAAATTAAAGTCAATTGGAAGGAAGAAAATAATAAACAATAGGGAAAATATAATATTGAAAATAATAGAGAAAATCAATGAAACCCAAATTGATTCTTTAAAAATCTTGACAAAATTGACAAATTGTTCATGAGACTAATAAAGGAAAAAGAAGACCCTAATTGCCAAAATCAGAAATGAAAGATGAGACATTACTACCAGCCTTTCAAAAGTTATAAGTATTATAAAAGAACGCTCTGAACAATGTTACGCTAACAAATAAGACAACTTAGATAAAATGGCTACATGTGTAGAAAGTCACAATTTACCAAACAGAACCTATGAGAACTAGAAAATAGGAAGAGTCTTATAACAAGTAAACAGATTAAATTTGTGATTAAAAATCTTATAAGGAAAAACTAAGGCCTAAATGACTGCACTGTTGAATTCTATCAAACATTGAAATTTAGAAAAATATACCACTACTTGAAAAGCTCTTCCAGATTTTTTAGTACTGTTCTAATGCCAAAGGCAGGCAAGGCTATTAACATGAAAATAAAACTGCAGATGACTATTTTAGGAATGTAGATGCAGAAATTCTCAACAAAATATTAGCAAGTCAAGTCCAGCAATATATGAAAGGATTACTATCATGTCCAAGTGAGATTTTTAACGGTAATGCAAGATTTGCTTTAACATTCAAAAATCAGTTAGCCTAATTATTCCTTTTAATAGCATAAAGGGCAAAAAACTCCCACATAATTATCTCAACAGGAACAGAAAAAGCATTTGACAAAATCCAACACCCATTCATGATTAAAAGTCTCGAAACAGTAGAAATAGAAGGGAACATCCCCAGCCTGGTAAAGGCTGTCTACAAAAGATTCTGAAGCTAGTATCATACCTAATGGTGAGAGAATGAATGTTTTCCCTCGGATTGAAACTTGCCACTTTGATTCAAGATTGTGCTCATGGTTCTGGCAAGTTTAATCATATAAGAAAAAGAAATAAAGACATTCAAGGAAAGTTATGGAAAGGAAGAAGTAAAACGGCTTTTATTTACAAATGACAGAATCCTGTATATAGAAAATTCTATGGAACCCATGAAAAATTCTGTAGAAAATTTATAAGAATGAATAAATTCAGCAAGTTTTCAGGGTACAAGATCAATATACAAAATTCTACTGTATTGCTGTATATTAACAGCAACAATAACAATAATCTAAAAGTGAAATTAAGAAAACAATTCTATTCAATAGTATCAGAAAGGATAAAACAGGATGAATTTTAGCAAAAGAAGTGCAAGACATGTACACTGCAAACAACGTGGCATTGCTGAGAGTAATTTAAGAAAGACTCAACTAATGGAAAGGTGTTCATATTCAAGACTCAGTTCATATGCAAGACTCAGTATTTAGATGATAACTCGTCTCAAGTTGAGCTGTAGAGTCAGTGCAGTTCCTATCAACACCCAGTAGGCTTTTTCCCCCTCAGAAATTAACAACACGATTCTAAAATTTAAGTGGATATTCAAAGGACACAGAATAGCTCAAACATCTTGAAGAAGAACAAAGGTGTAGGGCTTACACTTTCCTATTTAAAAACATACTATGAAGCTACTGTAATAGAGGCAAATGTGTTCCTGGCAACTACAAAGGTAATTCAATTGGAAAAGGATAGTCATTTAAACAAACGGTGCTGGAACAATTGGATTTCAACATACATGAAGACAAAGTTAGATGTATATCTGTATTTATAGATTTTCCTATTCCAGATATTTCAAATAAATAGAATCATATAATATATGACCTTTGGTGTTGGGCTTCTTTCACTTAGCGTAATGCTTTTGAGGTGCATTCACATTGTAGCAGGTATCAGTACTTCATCTTTTTTATGGCAGGAAAATATTCCATTGTATGTTTATACCACAGTTTGTTTATTCATTCATCAATGGACACTTGAGTTGCTTCCACCTTTTGGCTATTATGAATAATGCCATAAGGAACATGGGTGTACAATGATCTGTTCAAGTCCCTGCTTTCATTTCACTGGGGTATATACCCAGAAGTGGGATTGTGGGAACATATGGGATTTCCTGCTCAGTATTTTGAGGCACTGCCATACTGTCTTCCATAGTGGCCCCACAATATTACACTCCCCCTAGCTGTGCACAAGCATTGAAATTTTCCCACATCATCTTCAATACTTCTTTTCTTTTCTTTCTTACCTTTTTTATTTAAATAGCTAATCTGAAGGGTATAAAGTGGTATCTCATTGTGGTTTTGATTTGAATTTCCCTAATGATTAGTAATATTGAGTATCTTTAATGTTGGCTATTTGCAGATCTTCTTTGGATAAATGGCAGAATAATATTCCCTTGCATAGATATACTAGCTTTTGTTAATTCGTTCATATATTGATGAATATTTGGGCTGTTTCTACCTTTTTGCTATTGTAAATAGTGTTGCTATGAACATGTGTGTACATGAATTTGTTTATGTACCTGTTTTCAGTTCTTTTGCGTACATACCTAGGAATGGAATTTCTGCGTCTGCTTTATTTTTGAAATGTATTTTTTTTGCTGTGCATAGAATTTTGTGTTGACATATTTTTTTCCTAATACTCCAAAGGTGTCACCCTAGCACCTCCTGGCTTGCATAGTCTGACAAGTTTTCCATAATTATCATCTGTGTTTTTCTGTATGTAATGTGGTGGTTATTTTTTCTGTCTTTGGTTTTCAGAAGTTTGTGTATGGCATACCTTGGTTTGGTTTTGATTTGTTTGCTTGTTGGCATTTATTCTGCTTGATGTTTTCTGTGCTATTTAGATTTGTGGTTTGATATCATTAATTTTGACAAATTCTTGGCTATTTTTTCTGCCCATTTCTCTCTCTCTCTCTCTCTCTCTGTCTCTCTCTTTCTGCTTCTTAGATTCTGATTACACATGCTGGATGTTTTGATGTTATTCCACAATTCATGAAAGCTCTGCTGGTTGTTTTTTTCTGTTCATGTTTCAGTTTGGGCAATTTTTATTGTTCTATTTTCAAGTTCACTAATTACTTTCTGAGATTTGTTAGGCCTATAGTGAGCCGGTCAAAGGCATTCTTTTTGTTAATATGGTTTTCATTTCTAGCATTTCATTTGATGTTTTGTTCTTCCCATCTCTCTGCTCAAAATACTCATTTGATTTTGTATGGTGTCCACATTTTCCATTAGGCTTTTAAACATATTAATGTCAGTTATTTAAAATTTCTGATCTGAAAGTGTCATACCTGAGTCTGGTTTCATTGGTTGCATTATCTCTTGAGAGGTTCTTTTTCCCTAGCTTATTTATATGTCACAAAATTTTTGATCCAAGGTAGATAGTACAAAGGCAAATATTCATTTGTGCCTGGAAATGAATACTTTTCCTTCCATTAGGCCTTTAAGGTGGGGTTTTGATTCAGGCTAGCCAGGAGGACTTGGTTCGTGGTTTGCTGTTGCTATGGTTACCCTCAATGCACCCTAACCTTCAGATTCCTCTCGTGGTACCTTGTGTTCAGGGTGGAACCGGTTTGCCTGAGCATTTTTACCAATGTGTTTTCCGTCCTCACTTTTAGGTGTTTTCTTTGAACTGATTTTCAGAGACAGCCTTCCTCTATGCTCCTGCCGTTCACCCTAAAGTGATTACTACATGCTGTTACTTGTCGCTGGACACTTGTTCACCTGGTGGGACTGTGGCTGGTGCTGTCCTCTGCTATTCTGGTTAACTTTCAGCCTTAGGCTGGTGTTGTGTCCCTGTGTCTTGACTGTGTGGCTTTCAGTGCTATCCAGCCTTGCTTCTTGCCTCTCCTCCCCTGCTTTAAGGCCTTGTTGCTGTGCCTTCCCCTGGAGGCAGTGGGTTTTCATCAGCGCCCTGGGTGTAGAGTGCTTGCTGTCCTCCCATAAGGACGTCCTGGACAGTGATCCAGGCCTGGCTTCATGCTTTCTGACAGCACATGCTGACCCCTTGCCAGGCCTGAGCCACAAGGATGTTTTCTCAGAAATGCAATCTCTTGCCCGTCTTCAGTGAGCACTCAGTGAGGTTCATGCTGAGAGGGTACAAGGGAGTGTAAATTCTTCTTTTACTTGAAGCTTCAGGATTGTTCTCTTCTCTTGCTAGTTCACATCTAGCCTTTGCCAATTCGTGAGAAGCTTCTGGCCGAACTCTTCATAGTGGTGTCTGGGGTATCTGGCATGTATCTGCCCTGGCTAGCAGCTGCTCACATCCCATTTTTCCTTGCAGGTCCCTCCCCCTCTTCATATTTCAGGTTAATCAGTTGCATCAACACCTCACTTCCATGATGCATTCAAGAAAAGTTTTTAATTTGCAGTTTGTGTGGACTTTTTTTTATTACAAAATTGGTAGTGATACTCTTGCGAGCTTCCTTCTGGTTGGAAGCCCTGAATGGGAATTTGAATTAGCAAGATAGGAGTCACTTTGGTATATTCACTAAATCAAAGTGTAAGGTGTGGAGAAACACATTCTAAAAACTGACCTGGTCTTTTTCTCTTTGCCTATAATGTTCCAGTAATTCACCTTCACAGGTGCTTTAAGAATGACTTTCACTTTCATGCTTGGGGTCCCCAGAATCCCCCCACCCAGGGCCTGGACACTGCTAATGAGCTTATTATTTAAGGTGCAGTTTGAACAATGTCTTCTTAATGAAATAGTCATAGATTATCACAATGGGCTGTGCTGTCTTACTGGTCCATTTAGGCACATGATTACCTGTGCCTCATGCTATTTTGTCAACACCTTGTACATTTTCCTATAAACCCATAGCCCTATTTCAGAGTCCAGTGTAATAGATGTTGGATAAATGATTTAATAAACAAGGACTAGTTGGAATCACACACGTGACATTATGTTAGTGAAGCTGTTTATTGGTCTGTCTGCTCTGCAAATTTATGAGCTAATGAAGGCAAGAATTGTCTTATTTACTTTAGAGCCCCTATGGGGATAGTAGGCTTTCAATGTATTTTATTAAATGAGCAAAAAAATTAAAGGCCTTCAAAGGTGGGACACGCATTGGCTCCTCCAAAGAATCAGGTTAGGAAGAGAATGAACTGGAAGAGAGAAAGATGTCGCATTAGCACTATGAGGGCATTAAGGAGCAGCTTCCCTCCAGGGCCCACTCTGCTGAGGCATGACCCTTCAAGATACACATAGCACAGTTCTGGAAAATCAGTTTTGAGGGGGCATTCTTTATCAATTAGATAAAAGAGATGACTGCCAGTAAAATAAGCAAAAAATGTTCAAAGAATGTTATTCTTAGAAATGTCACCTTTTATGTGAGTTGACATTTTTGCTGTGGTTTTTCAATTTTGCCAACAAAATAAAAAATGAAATTTGTGATAGAGTTTTCCCTCATCTTGCATTAGAACACACTCTCAGTGAAGTTCTGTTGGGAGACACTCCACATTTGTTTCTCTTTAGACAGCTGTACTGTGTTTTGTCACGGAGGCACAGAATCTGGAAAGTGAAACATCTTTTTTTCTTGGATTGCATTTCATTTGAGGTTGCTCTATCTGGGGCTGGGTTCCTCCAGAAACAAACTTAGTAGCTTTAATTGCTTTACAAATGTAGCTTTATTGTAAATATAAATCTTCTTTCATCAGTCTTGGCTATTATATACATACGAACATTTAGAAAGACTATCATGATATTCAGAGAGCAAAAAAGGAAAGACAGAAAGAGACAGCAAGAGAAGGATTGGGTTCATTTTCCAGTTCTTCTTCAAAATAAAATGTAAGTTGCAATAGAACAAATGCTTTTGTGTGTTTTTTCCACAGTGTGTCTCTAGCACAGGAATGGTGCCTGGAACACTGTAGATGCTCAAAAACATATAATAAAGGAGTTAACTCCAGCAGATCGCTTGACTCCTCAGACCTCAGTCTCCTGTGTGTAAAATGAAGGTTTAGATGAGATTGCTTTCAAGATTCTCATTTTAAAATTCTGAAACTTTACTATAATTTTAATGTCAGTATGTACGTTACCTTTAGGCTTTCAAAATCATTTTACTCTAATATGGCTTTACTCTCTGATATGCTATTTACTTTCTGGTATTTACCATATGGTAAATTTACCAGAGAGTAAATAGCATATTAGACAGTAAAATGATTTTAATAAATGATTCTAATAATATATATAAGAAAGGATGAAGCAGTTATTAAAGATGATAAAGCACACAAAAGAAATAAAAAGATTTAAGGATCTTGGTTTAACCTGTGGAGATTTAAAGATCTCAGGAAGTCAGTATTAATCAATGGTAAGGTGCTGGGAAAAAATTATTTCAACCAATGAGTGACTGAGCAATAGTGAGACACCCCCACAACCGCAGTGTCCACCCTGCTGTGTGGTGCTGGGATGGTTTGCTTTGAATATGTGAGGTGGGATGGACACTGAGAAACTAGCTCTTACTCAAAGGATGGCAGCTGCCAATGATTTAAACATCCCTTCCATCTGAGAAAGAGTGGTAGGAACTGGGTGTGCTGGACCTGAAAAAGAATACAAGGGAGGCTTGGTAGCTGCCTTCCAACACCCAAGAAGAGATAGGATGTTTCCACATTGCTGCAGGGAATAGAGATGGGATCTGTGAGTACAAGTGGGGTGACTGAACCCACACAAGGGAGGACAATGAACCATAGGCACTGACAGTGGGATGCCTTCTTAGGCAGCAGACTCTAATCCTGGAGATGTCCA
This sequence comes from Homo sapiens, assembly GCF_000001405.40. Classification (NCBI taxonomy): domain Eukaryota; kingdom Metazoa; phylum Chordata; class Mammalia; order Primates; family Hominidae; genus Homo; species Homo sapiens. The sequence continues at coordinate 27,781,077 of NC_000015.10, read as the reverse complement.
ATGAGCTTAGAGCCTTGATAAAATGATGCATTTGATGGACAAAATCAGGTATTTCTTGAGTGAAGTTTATGAGAAGAGACACTCAGCTTAGAATGAAACAGACAAGGTACTTTTATATAATGTCAGAATAATTCTGAATTAGGTCAGAGCTTTTTTTTCCTCATAATTTCGTGGAGAGATACAAATATGAACCATGGATTTTTATTTTCCATTAAAAAATCTAAAGTAGCTAAAATCATTTTTGATGGTTGATAATTTCCTAATTCTTGGTCCTACAACCTTGATTCTCCCGTTCCTCTTCAAAGGATATCGCCTCAGAACACTGGTTGTTTAAAGTCATTCAAGCAAAAGGGTTTCCAGGTCCAACTCATTCTGAAAACACTGCGTAATATATCCAACCCTTGGAGAAGCACAGTGCACATCAGAATATTAGGCTCTAAGGAGCCTGTAATTAATTACCCGAGTAACCTGAGTTGCTCTTTAGTCGGTGTTCTCAAATTTATTTGACCTTGGAATTTCATTTGAATAACACTCAGAGACAACTAAAGGAGCCCTCCTTGGGAGTTGGGACAGGCAGGCATGAGCCTCTGGGTGTCTCTTCCTATCAATTCCATGCACTTGGACTGCAGCACCAGGAAGTCTTCACAGGCTGCTTGGGAAGCTTGCACTATTGTGTTGGGCAAGAGAGTGCCCTTGCTGGAAGCCAGGGCCCATATTCCAAAGGGGAATGCCCAGAGGGCCAACTGTGGTCAGGGGAGGGAGGTGAAGAATGATGGTAGTCTCGGGCATACCACTTTCTCCCCTGTCCAGGACAGATCAGTCTGGACAGAAGCCCGAGAGAACAGAAGGTAGCCTGGCAGGGAGGTTTGCAGAGTGCAGAGTTCACCTACGCCCCTCTCAGCATGTGGAGGGCCTGGTTGTTTTAGGGAAACATTTCCTTTAATGGAATTGAGCATGTAGGGATCAGACACATTAAAAAATCTCTTTGAGAGAACTCTGCTTTCAGTCATGCTCACCCTAACTCTACTTTAACCCTTTCTTTCACTAAGGACACATTTTTGTTATGGTAAGAACTTTTAACATGAGATCTACCCTCTTAGATTTTTGAGTGTACAATACAGTATTGTCATCTATAGGTATAATTCTTTACAGCAGGTCTCTAGAATTTATTCAAAGCATATCAGTATAAACAAAAGCACAAGGAAACACAAGGCAAGATGGCAAGAGAGAAAAAGAGGGACAAAAAAGCTATAAGACAAACAGAAAACAGTGAACAAAGTGGCAATAGTAAATCCTTCCCTATCAGTAATTACTTTAAATGTAAATGGTTTAAATTCCCCAATCAAAAGACATAAAGTGGATGAATGGATTCAAAAAAGCAAGATCCAGCAATGTGTTGTCTATAAGAGATTCACTTTAAATTTAAGGACACATATAGGCTGAAAGTAAAAGGATAGAAAAAGATATTCTGTGCAAATGGTAACTAAACCAGAAAAGGGTGGCTATAGTTATATCAGACAAGATAGGCTTTAAGTAAGAAACTGTCACAAGAGACAAAGAAAGATGCCATATAATGATGAAAGGGTCAATCCACCCAAAATATATAACAATTATAAATATATATGCACCCAACATTAGAGCACCTAAATATATAAAGTAAGCATTGACAGAACTGAAGGGAGACACAGACAGCAATACTTAATAGTAGGAAACGTTAATACTCCATTTTCAATAATAGATGGAACATCCAGGCAGAAAATCCAGAAAGCAACAGGAGACTCGAAAACCACTGTAGACCAAATGGACCTAGCAGACACATCCAGATCATTCAACCCAGGAGCAACATTCTTCCCAAGTACACAGGGAACATTCTCCAGGACAGATCACATATTAGGTCACCAAACCAGTTTTAACAAATTTAAGAGGATTAGAATCATACCAAGGATCTTTTCTGACCACATATGAAACTAGAAATCAAATAAGACATTTTAAGTATTGTAGGAAACTCCAGTACTTTAATGCCTAACAGTTTTAGTAAACTTCTGTCTCATCTCTCTAGAGCAATTATTTGAGCCTTAGTCTTCTCTTCCATAATGAAGGGATAATGCTATCTAACCATATCCAGGTTGCTGTAAAAATTTCAAAAGAGGCATATATAGCTCATAGCATAATGCTCAGCGTATAATAGTACTTAAGTGAAATTCCTGCATGTTTTCTTTCTTTTTACCTCCTGCAAGGAGCCTAATTTATAACTTTCTATCAACGTAGAAAGTCTAATCTTTTTTCCAAGTCTCTGCCACTTGCCTTTTCCAGGCAAGAGCAGATTCTCTCAGCAGCTTTCCTCACTTGGTCTAGTTTCCTTTTTCCTCTGTGTTTGCTTTGCTGCTGTGTGGGAAGGACGAGGGCCCTGGGAAATTTCCACAACTTTTCTTCTCTCCTGCTACACCTTGACCTCTGACAGGACCACATCTTTTTTTTTTTCTCTACAAGATATGTAATTTAAAAACAATATAAGCAGAACGTTATAGCTTTAAAAACAGATATGCAAGGGCGTGTCTTCTGTGCAGTGTCTCTTGCTATTCAAACCATGTGCAAGGAAAGGGGCCCAGGGTAACTGATTGAATATCAAATCAGCCCCAAACCTCCTCTCGGAGTGACCTCACCAAACACAGACTCTTCTGATGAGACTTTCCTCTCTTTTGTTTTTCTTTCTTTTTGATGGTCACATTCTCCTGGTGCGTATGAGCTCGTTTTAGAAACAGAAGAATGAATGCTGCCTAGCGAGAACTCTACTGAACAGTGTTGCAAAAATGGAAAGAAAATCATTTGGATTTTAAAATGCCCACTAGACTTTCGTGGTTTCACAGTCAGCAAAAGGTTTGATACTAAAAATTAAAGTTAACTCATGGAATTATGTCCCCAGTGCCATTGTAATCATGGTCTGCCTGAGTTTTAAAAAAATGAGATCTGAATTTCTAAAATAGGGTCAATTTAATAAGGATTATTTGTGCTTAAAGTTTTCCTCCTGAAATGTGGTATTCTACACTAAAAGGCCACTCTAATATGCCTCAAAATATTGTAGAATGTGGTTCATCACAGGCTTGTTAAAAAGAGCTTGCCTGCCTTTATTATTCCAGACTTCCTTTCTGAGAAAGAGTCACGAGTACCTCTGTCTGTTTTTCAGTTAGGGCTGGCTAATTTCTTCCATGAATATGAAATTCAGAGCAGCAAATAATAAGGCAGTCAGAATAGTCAACAGGCCCTCTGCAGACAGGTGCAGCATCCTACCCTCCAGGTGCTCCTGACCTCTGAGCCACCAGGCCAGGCAAGGGAGACCCTGGGCCAGCTCATGGCTTACAGACTCTCCAAGGCATTGGGGCTAGAGTTTCGAGCTTGACTGCCACTCTGATAAGCCCCTGATGGTAAAGAATATTGTGTACTCTGTGGTTTCATTGCAGTAAAAATGTGCATGTGAATAAAAAATGTGTGCACATGGACAAGCCAAACAGCATTTCTGTTAGGATAATGAGATTATAAGTGGCTGGAAACTTCAACATTTAGTAGGTGATTTTTTGGTTTGTTTTTTGCCTTTAGCATATAGTCACTAATTTTAAGTGCATTTTTCCAGCTAGAGAAGCAATGCATAAATGCATTCTCACTGTAAAATTATAAAGTCAGACAATGTAGAAGCAGAGAAAAAACCAGGGGATCTCCCTGTTCCCTTATCACTCCCTCCCTAGAAGGGAGTCCCTTGCCACTATTGCTCTAGCGTTTTTTTCTGTGCGTTTATTAAGTATAACCTGTTTTAAGAATGTTAAGTAGGACCCTTCCTGCTCTCCCTTAGTCTCACTTGAGCCCAGAGCGTAGTCCAGCAGTAGTGACAAGGACCCCACTTTTTGAAGGGGGTTGCTAGAGCCACCCTGCTCAGGGTTGGCCAGGGTGGGGCCAATGCTCGCCTGTAAACTCAGCCCACCAGGCACCTCTAGGGTGTGGAGCAGAAAGGCTGGGCGCCGATGGGGATGTGTGGACAAAGCTCCCTCTGGAGAAAGTGGCAGGGCTGGTGTGGGGGGAAGTGCTCTCCAACACTCCCCCCACCCCCCCCCACCTCACGCTCCCCGCCGCCACACTTGCCTGTAGGTCTGCTCTCCGCTGCTGCTGCGGGCCCTGGTGAAGGGGCTTTGAGAAAGCTGCCCTCATGTTGCCCAGAAAAGTCCAGAGTGGCTCCTGAGCTCTGAGGAACGCTGCTGGATTAAAGAGGGTGCAGAGGAGACCTCTGCTCCGAGACTGCTGACACCAGGTTGTCGCACGGAGGATATGGGTGCCAAGTGCAATCGTCAGCTGGAGCCGTGTTCTGGGATGCTGACCTCAGCAGACAGAGGGGTCTAGTACTCCTTGAGTAGGGCGGAGCGACATCCTCAGAGAAGCACAGGAGAGAGAGCCTCCGCAGGCCTCAGAGGACAGGTGCCTCAGCCTGCCTCCATCCCTGCCTGCCATGGGGAGGGCGGCCACGGAGGCCGGTGTGGGCTGGCCGTGTCGAGGAGAGGGGAGATCACGCTGAACAGCCAAGTGGAAGAGACATGGGCTGTGCAGTCGATGTAACTCAACACATCCTGGGCTGCCTCTGAAGGTGATTAAGCAGGGGAAAATAATTAATACTGTGATTTAGCTCAGCTTTACAGAAGCATCTCAGCAAGTGTGAAGTATTAAGGGGAGAGTGGGCGTGAGGTGGGAAGATGGGATGGAGCGAAGGAAAGAATGTAGGGATGGCAGGAGGGAGGGAAGAAGAGATGGTGTGCAGAATGGCTTCTGAGACAAAGAGGCAGATGAGGCCACTGCCACTGAGAAGGGTATATATCTGCATGTGCACACAGCACCATGGGCCGGAACCGCAGCAAGCCAGGGAGAAACTATTTTAAAATGGAGAAAGATCGGACATACCGATAGCAACAGAAATTCTAGGATTTCATGGGTGACAGACTACAAAGGCTAAAGAGGAAATTATGACTTCAAGGACTAAACTCAATGTTGGAGCAAGAGCAGTGCCCAAGAAGGTGGGCCAGGAGGTAGCTCCGTTCAAGGGCACATGGCAAAACTTTGGTGCTGGACATTGCTATGGACTAAACCATGTCCCCGCAAAATCCATAGTCCCCAGCACCTCAGAATGTGACTGTGTTTGCAGACAGGGCCTTTACAAGGTGGTTAGTTAAAATGAGGTCATAGGGCCGAGCCCTCATCCAGTCTGGCCACATCCTTTCAGAAGAGGGGATTGGGATCCCTACACTCACAGAGGAAAACATTGTGAAGACACAGGGAGAAGACGGCCAAGGAACGAGGCCTCAGGGGAAACCAGCCCTGCCCTGGCCTGATCTCGGACATCCAACCTTTAGAACTGAGAGAGAACAGGCTTTTGATGGGAAACCATGGCCTGCAGTGCTTTGTCACAGCAGCCTGAGCTGACGGATGCCAGCCTGCTGACTTTGAAGGACCTGGGGGTGGTGCCTGGCAGGGTTTGCACAGAGCCTGGGACTGTGACCTCACAGGGGTCCACCTGCAGGGAGTAATTCCTGAGTGATGGGTCTCCAAGGGATGCAGTACGGAGTACGAGGAGAGGAGGTGTGAGGAGAAAACACTGGAGAGAATCTGCTTTCATAGATTTTAATACCATCTCCATAGGTGTGGGATCTTTTTCAGTACAGGAGCCAATGACACACAAAGTCATCTGAGAACTGGGCGTCTGGGCAGCATGGCCCCTGCAGTTAGAGGGGAAGAGAACACGTGACAGAGGACGAGCTTCACTGATGCAATGGGCAGAAGTGAAGAAAACAGGCCGCCAACTGTGGGGTCGCCAGGCCGCACTCAGCCAGCATATCCCGTAGGGGGCGGAGCTAACCCTACTGTGTGGGCCAGCTTCCTGGTTCACGTGGCCCAGGGCGCCAGCCCCAGAGGGCCCAGCTTCTTATTAACAAACACACAGACACACACACACACACACACACACACACACACACACACACGAGTTCTAAAAACTCCTTTGAGCAAGTGACTGGAGAGAATATCTACAAACTACAAACTAAAGAGGGCTGGATTGCTGTCATCGTCTGCTCAGGCTGCCAGGACAAAGTACCACAGCCTGGGTAGCTCAGACAACAGACATGTATTTCTGTACCGTTCGGGAGCCTGGAAGTCCAAGGTCAAGGTGCCAGGAGGGCTGGTTCTCCTGAGCCTCTCTCGTGGCCTGCGGACTTGGCCTTGCTGCGTCTTCACTGGGTCTTTCCTCTGTGCGTCCGGCTGCCTCTCTGTGTGTCTAGACCTGCTCTGCTTATAAGGACACCTGTTTTCCCGGATTGGGGCCCCATCCCAAGGGCCTCATTTTATCTTAATCACCTCTTTAAAGAGCTTGTCTCCAAATCCAGTGGAATTCTGAGGTCCTGGGGGCTAGGGCTTCAACATATGGATTCCTAGGGTCACAGTTCAGCCATAACAACTGAGAAACCAAAATGGTCTCACATGTGCTTCAGTGGCTGAAATCCAGCTAGAACTGCTGGCTCAAAGATCAGAGAAGTGGAAATGGTCTACACCAAGAAGCTGCCTGCACCACATGAAGGTACCTTCCGAGGGACCAGAGGAGTTTCATCCATACCTGGGTTCAAAGGTTACACTGGTCTCCGCTCAATGATGCTGGGTGGCCAGGCACAGCAGGAGGCTCTCAGTGCAGAACGCGGGGGGCCTGAAGGCCTCAGATGTAGGCCCTTGAACTTGTGTTATAACATGGACTCTCTTCCTCACTGCCAGAGAGAGGCGGGGGCAGCAGAGACATCATCTGGAATGCACTCGATGGGGCCTTCACTGGCCCCCCACAGTGGGGTGAGGTGACACCAGCATTCAGTGAACAGATTTGAGGGACTTGGTGACAGTCTACAAGCCTGTTTATTGGGAAACAAGTTCTGGGTGGACTTCAGTTTGATACAAGATGACTGAATTAAAAAGGAAATAAACAGTGGCAATAATCAAAACATAGTTGAAGAAAATATACCTGAATAGAAAAAAAACCATAGAAACAGATTATGGAATGTACATGGAAAATATACTTCCTGTGTCCCAGTTAACGGAATGATATTTTAACTAAGGCACAGCCTGTCAGCAATTTTAATTACAAAGATAAAGACAGATATCATTTCTACAAGAATTCAGGAATTGTATACGCACAAATAGAAACAAAATTAAGAGGACTTCCAACTCCTGGGTATCCAACTCCTGAATAGTCAATGACAAAGCTTTGAGAGGAAATGGCTGTGATCCCAAAGCTCCAGTTTCAGATCCAGCCAAGTTTCACATGTCTACTAAAGTTACAGAAACCTGTCTGTGTCTGTTATTAACCTCCTGTGTGACCTTGGGTATGACTTAGCCTCTCTGGGCCTTAGTTTCCTTAGCTCTAAGCAGTAATAATAATGCTCCCTATCTCACAGAATTATCGTGAGGATTAGCTGAGCTAATACTCATGAACCACACAAAATGCCTGATGTAACCACTCACAAATGTAACCTGATATTATTATAGTTATCAGATGTCATCTTTCTCCAAACATATCTGAACAAATGACATATATTGTAAATAATAAGAATTTAACAAATATAACCTGAGTCTAAAATCTCATATTGAATTAATGAAGATCACAAAATCTCTTGAGATGTCAGTGAGAGAAATTAAAACTTTCTATTAGGCGGGTCAAAGGATACTGGTTCATTTATTTATCTTTTGTCACTGAGATATATAGATTTATTCTCATTATTTTTTGGCAAATCTATAAATAAAAAAAGGAATAAAAAACTCAAAACCTAAACCAAAATTATATAAAAATAGCCAACAAAAAATAAGAATTAAATTTCTAACTGGATTCTACTTTAAAACTGATCAGAGTAACTTGAGAGAATTAAAACTTGTGAACAAAAATAAATGGCTAATACAACTTAAATAATACAATTGAAAAGGTAGAATTATAGAGAATATTTTATAGAGTTCATATTTAAAAATTCAATGAGACAGTCAACATAATAGTTCTAATTGCCAAAAATATTGCATCAGAATAGAGAAAATGAATTTAATCAGAAAATATAAGGGGAAATTAATAGAAACTTCACTGCCATGGAAGACTTTCATATGACACTATCTGTCTCTGAGCATTGAATTCTTAGACATATAGTTCTCTCCATTTTCTTTTTTTCCTTTTTTTTTTTTTTGAGATAGAGTCTCCCTCTGTCACGCAGGCTGGAGTGCAGTGGCGAGATCTCAGCTCACTGCAACCTCCACCTCCTGGGTTCAAGGGATTCTCCTGCCTCAGCCTCCCAAGGAGCTGGGACTACAGGCGCCTGCCACCACACCCAGCTAATTTTTGTATTTTTAGTAGAGATGGGGTTTCACCGTGTTAGCCAGGATGGTCTTGATCTCTTGACCTCGTGATCTACCCACCTCGGCCTCCCAAAGTGCTGGGATTACAGGCGTGAGCCACCGTGCCCGGCCAGTTCTCTCCATTTTCTATGGAAAATAGGCCTTTTCAAGAGTCCACAAAACAGCTACAAAATTCATCATATATTAAGCCAGGAAGATAATCTCAATGATTTCCTAACTGGATATTTTCCAACATTTCTTCAATTATTTTCCAGTCTTTGACCAGAATACATTAATTGCAAAATAAAAATGAGAGGGAAAAAGTGATCCTCTTTCAAAAAGTAAATTAAAAAAGTAATAGTAGTAGTAGTAATAGAATTTGCAGTAGTAGTGGCAAAAACAATAATGCATACCATTTCAGTAACATTGACAAAGTACAGAATTACAAAGTATTAAGTCACTACTTTATACATTTTAAATTTCTTAGCAGAAAATATTGTTTTAAAGGAAGGTCAGGCCCAGAGAGGTTGGCTAGTTGTTCAGGACGCACAGCAAACTCACCTCCCATTCCAGGGCTTGGCTATGATGCCTTCCTCGTGGGCCCGCAGGCGGCTTGCTCAGCTCAGGGAACCACAGCAGCCTCAGAGTTCACGGCAGGCCTTGACGCTGTGCTTGGGAATAATGTCTAGACTTAGTTATTTTAATTGTTTTCAAATTGAGGAAAAGTAATAGGCGCACAAAGTAACACAGGAGAGAAGGAGGAAAGAGCTGAACCACATGAAGGCAAGCATACAAAATTAGAAGACTAAAAATGGCAGAACTGGTAAGCCAGGAGGCGATTTTGGGGGGTAAACATTATTGATAGTACAGGTAGAGTTTTAGCGTCAAGAAAGAGAATGGGAAAGCAAAAATTAACAAAATTAAGTATTTAAAAAGGGAATACAGTAGCAGAGGTAAAGAAGATTAAAGTCAGACGATTACATGCTGATAAAAAAAATACAGATTTCACACAATGGGTGATTTTCTGGAAAAACATGTATTATTAAAATTCTAGAAACTAGTGGAACCAATGGATACTGTCTTTGGGATCTCCCACGCCCATTCTCCTCTCTTTGCCATTAAATTCTTCCTCGCTGTGGAACACAAGTCTCAAAGTCACCCCTGCAGCCACCTCAGCTGGACTCGGCCCGCGGCCACGGAGCACCCCCCAGCTGGGCGCTGCCTGGAGAACCCACGCCTCTGCGGAGCACACGGAGGGGCGGCCCATTGATTTCCGTGCGCGGCTGTATTTTTTTTTTTTTTTTTTAGGCTTCTCTCTCCCCCGGGGCCTCTCGCAGGCAGGGCCCGTCCTCTCTATAGCGCCGCCCTTTCTCCGAGCTGGGGCCGTGGAGTGGCAGTAGCGCTGTGACCTTGGCGGGACCGCGGTGGAGAGTGGGGCGATTTGCTGTGAGCAGGAGGACCTGGGGGTGTTTATGGGCCTCAGAAGGTGTGAGGGGACCTGATGGAGGCGTTCTAGGAGGAGGCCAAGGGGGTGTCGCTGCAAGGGGAGGGAAGGAAGGGAGGGAAGGAAAGAAGGAAGAAGGAAGCAAAAAATGGAGGGAGAAAAGAGGGAGGGAGGAAGGGAGGGAAGAAAGGAAGGAAAGGAAGGAAAAGAGGGAGGGAGGGAAGGAAAGAAGAAAAGAAGGGAAGGAAGGAAGGGAAGGAAGAAAGAAGGAAAGGAAGGGAGGGAGGAAGGAAAGATGGAAGCAAGGAAGGAAGAAAGGAAAAGAGGGAGGGAGGAGGGAAGGAAGGAAAAGGAGATGGGAAGGAGCAAAGGAAGGAGGGAAGGAAGGAAGAAAGGAAGGAAGGAAAAGAGGGAGGAAGGAAGAATGGAAGGGAGGAAGGAAGGAAAAGAGGGAGGGAGGAAGGAAGGATGGAAGGGAGGGAGGGAGAGAGGAAGGAAGGAAGGAAAAGAGGAAGGGAGGGAAGTAAGAAAGGAGCGGGAAAGAGCTCCCTGGTGGAGAGGGCCGAAGCCACCGCTGTCCATCTTGGATTCAGAGGCCACGGGAGCGGCCGGGTTCTGAGGAGGGAAGTGGGTAAGGACACGGGAGGCCAAGGGCAGCTGCGCTGGGCACCGTGCGCGCCCATCGGGGACCTTCCCCGGCGGCGAGGGAGGAAGGAAGGGCGAGCCCGGCGGCCTGCGGGGAGGGTCCTGGAGCCGGGAGGTGGTCGCTTCTCCAGGGCAGCCGGTGTGGATGCCGGTTCTCAGGGAGAGCAGACAGGCGGCAATGAGCCTCTTCTGCCGGCGGAGACGGGGACAGCGCCACACACGGCTGGAGGTCTGAGAAACCGGGCGCACTGAAAGCCTCGCCCGGCCCCGCGTTGCCCGTCCCTGGCCCCTCCCGGCTTGGGGTCCGCGCAGTGTCTCCGTGGCCCCGCGCGCGACCAGGAGGCCTGCGGACCCCGCGGAGCCCCCGCCCTGAACGCCCCTTCCCTCCGCCCGCCTGGAAACGCTCTTGCTTTGTGTGGCAAATAACGAGGATGAGCTTTGTTTCCAGGGACCGAGACTTTGTTATGGAACCGAGTTGGGATATTGTATTTCCATGCTTGGTGGTGCTGGGGGTGGGGGGCACTGCAGGCCCTGCAAAAAAGGGGGTCCCTGCCCCATCTCAGCTTCTAGCCTTTCCTCATAAAAGGAGTTAGCTAAGGACTATTACCCTGGGAGACCCAGGAGATGGGGTATGAGGCTGTTCAGATGGGGGCTGAGGATGAGCCTGGTCCTGAGGCCCAGAGGGGCCGCGCACAGGCCGAGGCGCTGCACACAGGCCGAGGCGCTGCACACAGGCCGAGGTGCTGGGGAGGGCAGGCCTCAAGGGGTCCACTGGCACAGAAAAGGGACAGCCTCCGTGCCCGGGCGGCTTGCTCGTGCATCCTCCATGGGCCTTCGGAAGTAGAAGCAGTTCTTCCTTCTGCTCAGAATCATGTGTTACCTTTGTAGAAGGGCGACAGCCAAATGGCTTTTTGTTTAAAAACCATAGTTATGGTTTGTTATTAAAGCCTTTTTTTTTATTTCAATAGGTTTTAGGGGGAACAGGTGGTGTCTGGTTCCATGGATAAGTTCTTAGGTGGTGATTCCTGAGATTTTGGTGCACCCCTCACCTTAGCAGTGTGCCCTGCACCCAATGTGTAGTCTTTTGGAAAGGAAACATAAACAGGAAGAATGGTTTCAGTCTGAGACTCAAGTAGGAGACTTCATTAGCAGACACTTCTTTTGGAAGCCAGGCTCTGTTGGAAACGCTCCGGGCACTATTCTGGGGCTGCCCCATTTCCCAGCAATCCGGAAGCCTTGGTTCCTTAGAGAACTGTGTGTCAGCACAGGCAGGTTTTTAACTTAAAACTAAACGCGTGTAACACAGGGGCTGTGTGGGCGTCCATCTGACGTGTGCATCGTGATTTGTGCTTTGACACGCAAGTGCCTTCCCTAACATGGCATGGTGAGAGAGCCAGAATGGATTGAAAATCACCCCGGAGGGAGATGAAGGCGTAGTGTGATGCTGGATGTTGAACAAATGCCCTTTTCCTGAGCTTTTGGTTGAGATTGTTGCCTTGAGGAGAGGCTTAGGGTGCAAGACAAATGGATCTTCTGGGAAATGGAGGCTCCCGGTGAACCCGCAGCATCCGTGTCCTGTGTATCTGGAGTCGTCCTGGCAGCGACAGGAAGTCATAACATCCTCTCTTCAAATAAATCTCCCTCTGGCTGCCTCCCGGCTGGGCAGCGCATGAAGCATTGAAGCTCCAATCAAGCTGCTTGCATCCCACGGGAGGAAGCAACTGGCTCGGCCCCAGAAGAAACAGGCCAGCCTTTGAAGTGCCAGGGAAAGAGCTGCCCGCAGGCCTTGCCTTCCCCTTCAGAAACTCGGGCGTGTGCCACTGTGAACGGGGGCTGCCACCACAGGGTCCCATAGACAGGGTTATCACTGGTCTCTTCTTGACTCTAACTAATGTCAACCCTAAAAAACAAGATTCATAAAACATGACTAAATATAAAGTTTATTCGAGTCCAAAGCTCGAGGCTGGCCAAGCCAGGAGCATAGATTCTACTTGCCCTGAATGTACACTCAGATTAGCTGCAGTTACAAGAGAGTTTTTAAGGAAAAAAGAACTGGCACTTCCTAAGTTGTTACCGAGAATTTACATTAGAATAACATAAGCTATTGATTCGCTATACATTGTTCTTTGTATCACAAATTCCAGGCAGGAGAAGATAATAGGTGAGGCGGCTAGTCGGGAACACAGTGTCTTTAAACAGTTGCCCCTGGGTGTGGGGGCAGGAGAGGAGGAGTGACGGCGTGTGACTGAAGTCCCATACTCGATTCTCTCTGGACCTGATAATTTTGCATATCTCACAGAAGTTACACTGCTCAAAGCTATATTTCTTTTCTCAGTAATAGAAGAATTTTTTTCATGACTTCCAAAATGTATAAGGAAGAGGCTGCAGTGTGAGATGGTCCCTGTAGGGCGGTGGAGCTCCCTCAGCCTGCCTAGCTCAGACCTGCTTTCTTGGCAGGGGCCGCACCTCACAGGCATCCACCTAGAAAGACCCATCCTGGGCCGGCCCTCCCTGCGCCAGGTCACAGCTGCAAGTCTGCCTTTCCAACCGCTTTCAGCTGGAAGCCGGGCCTTCCTGGAGCCCTCTGTCCAGTACACTATTCCCCCTTCCTCCACTGCCATTGTGGCTGCTGAGCTTAAAATGTGGCAAGTCCAAACAGAGGTGTGCCATTGTCATGCGACCCCTCTGACTCCAGTAGGAGTTTTTGTTTTGTTTTGTTTGAGCAACAGCAAGATTTAGTGTGAAGAGTGAAAGAACAAAGCTTCCACAGTGTGGAAGGGGACCTCAGTAGGTTGCCTCTGCTGGCTGGGGTGGCCAGCTTTTATTTGCTTATTTGTCCCCACCCACATCCTGCTGATTAGTCCATTTTACAGAGTGCTGATTGGTCCATTTTACAGAGTGCTGATTGGTCCATTTTACAGAGTGCTGATTGGTGTGTTTACAATCCCTTAGCTAGACACAGAGTGCTGATTGGTGCATTTTTACAGAGTGCTGATTGGTGCATTTACAATCCTTTAGCTAGACATAGAGTGCTGATTGGTGCATTTTTACAGAGTGCTGATTGGTGCATTTACAATCCTTTAGCTAGACACCCAGTGCTGACTGGTGCATTTACAATCCTTTAGCTAGACACAGAGTGCTGATTGGTGCATTTACAATCCTCTAGTTAGACAGAAAAGTTCTTCAAGTCCCCACTCAACCCAAGAAATCCAGCTGGCTTCACCTGTCAATCACCCCTCTAAACAGGACACCCCAACTGCTGTTGGGAATTGGGACTTCCTGCTGGATAGGGGCAAAGAAGGTGCCCTGCAGTTGTAGTGTGCCCCAGAAGGGAACTCTTTAGGCCAGTCAAAGGGCCAGTGGGTCAGTCCATGGGTCCTCAGTAGAAGTTGTTAGTTGAGCTCATTTGGGTTTCCATTTGTAAGACCATCTGTAGCTTGATAGCCTTGATCCTAGAGGAAACTAATTTGACAAGGAGGTTAAAAGTACAGGGCCCAAAGGCAAGTAATAGCAAGATGGCGGTCACAGGACCTAGAAAAGGGAGAAGCCATGTAGCCCAACTCCAGAGGCCGGTATTTGGGAACTGGGACTTCCCGCTGGATAGGGGCGAAGAAGGGGCCAGGGAAGGAGACGTAAGGTTTATTGAGGATTTCATACAGGGCGGTCCAGGAGCAGTGGGCAGGACAGGAAAATCCTCTCCAGTTTGTAAAGAGCAGGCAGATTACAGAGCATTTTCACTTGGCGCCCTCCACCTAGCAACCTCTATTTGGCCCAGAACCAAGGGCCTGGATCCCCAGGGTAGCCTGCCTGTGTTCAAGGGATGGCTGGGAGGTAGGTGCCCTCCTGGGAAGCAGGGCTGCTGGGCTGGGAGGAGACTGTGCCTCAGGGAAAAGGCGAGGCTGCCTTGGTACTGGGTAGGAGTGAGTGGTGAGGACCTAGCCAAAGGTAGGTGAGAGGACACCCTCTGTGTCCATTTAACAAAGCAGAGTTTCAGACAGGGTGTGAGGCTTCCAGAGAGACATTTAACATTCACTGAGCTTCAGGAGAGCTGACCACCCCAAGCCAAGGCCAACACTGCCTAGTGTCCTCACTAAGCAACCCCTCAGGACACAGGTTCCAACTCAGCCACTGAGGGAGAGAGAGACAAGGCGGTGTCAGTGTCCTTCATAGAGAAGGAGCGAATGTCTGGGTTGGCTGCTCCCAGATTCCTTAGCTGGGAACTCTGAGCACACATTCTTTTCAGAGATGACCATAGGGTCCTTCTCAGGGCATGCTTCAGTGCCATGAGTAGAACATCCATACTGGATTTTTTTATTTAAAAAATGTCAACTATTCCATCAAAATGTTATGTTGACTATATGGTCAAATAATATTTTGGATATGTTAGGTTAAATAAAATATATTATTATACTTAATTTCATCTGTTTCCTTTTACTTTAAAAAATGTGATAGTTGAACATTTAAGACTACACAACATATTTATTGGTCTGGACTTCCTTGCATTTTAGATAGAGGCTGACAGGAAGCTGACAAGTTCCTTTGTCAGAGCTGTCTGAACCAGAGCGACTCCATCTTAAATAGGGGTTGACTCCATCTTAAAATGAGGCTGAGGCCCGCTGGGCAGCATTCCCAGGAAGGTAGGCATTCTAATTCACGGGATGAGTTAGGAGGTTGGCACAAGATACAGGTCACAAAGACCTTGCTGATAAAACAGGTTGCAATAAAGAAACTGGCCAAAACCCACCAAAACCAAGATGGTGATGAGAGTGACCTCTGATTGTTCGCACTGCTCATTATACACCAATTATAATGCATTCCTGTTCCCGGACCAAACCGAGGGTCGGGCTTATTATTCTTGAAGCCCAATAACAGGATGCAGATGACCTGGGAAAGGAAAAGAGTTTTATTTTATTTCTATAACTGGTTAAGGGAGAAGGTCTGGTAAATATCTCCAGACCAACTCAAGATTACAGCCTTCCAGCTATAACCTTCTAAGCTGTATGTCTACATGTAAGTGTGATTCTTTCATCTAAAGACGTAAGTGATTAGTTTCTAATCCATAACTAAGACTTGAATCCTGAAAACCTTCCTCTGGAGCCTCAGGAAATTTACTTAATCTAAATGGGTCCAGGTGCTTGAGTGATTTGTCTTGTCTCTTGCTAAATCATGGAGTTATAGGGAGTTCCTTCAGACCCCAGATAAACTTGTTTGTGGAAGCCTGGGGAGTTTCTTCAGTCCCCCAGTAAAACTTGTTTAATCCTAAACGGGTCCTGTTAAGAATTCCCTCGTTATCTTGTCATGCTTCAAGGCCCAGGAAAGGCCTGGGCAAAACTCTTGGTGGGCTTTTTTTACATTCCAGTGTTTGTATAAGGACACTGGCTCTCTCAGCTTTTGATGTTGAACCTGAGCACTCAGTCAGTGCTGAGATAGTTTTTTGGAGGCCTGCGTCCGTGAGACCTGGCCTGCTACACTCACCTGGTAAGAGACACTCCCACCAGCACCTTGACAGTTCACAAATGCCATGGCAACATCAGGAAGTTAGTCTATACAGTCTAAAAATGGGAGGAACCCTCAGTTCTGGGAATTGCCCACCCCTTTCCTGGAAAACGCATGAATAATCCACCCCTTGTTTAGCAAGAAATATCTACACAAAATATCAAGAAATAGCTACACGTATCCTTAGTCCAGCAGCCCAAGCTGCTGCTCTGCCTATGGACTAGCCATTCTTTATTCCTTTACTTTCTTAATACACTTGCTTTTGCTTTACTCTATGGATTCACCTCAAGTTTTTTCTTGGGCAAGATCTAAGAATCCTCTCTTGGGGTCTGGATCAGGACCCCTTTCCTGTAACTCCTTCACCTTCCCAGGACCTGATATTCTTAGGGTCAGCAAGTGTTTTCAGTAAGGGTGAATGCATATTTCAGGCTTTGTGGACCGCAAGGCCTCTGTCACAACTGCTCCACTGGACTCTACCTTGGTGGCTCTGGGGTGGCCGTAGACAGCAAGCAAATGCATGGGCGGCTGAGTCCCAGTCCCAGTGGAGTTTTCTCACAAGAAAAAGGTGGTGACCACATTTGGCCTGAGGCTGTAGTTTGTTGGCTCCTGGTCTGTAAAAAGGGAGCAGTTTACCTTGAGTTGTCTTTGGAATGGAAGGGGAGATTTTCATTCATGGAAGCCCTGCTGTGTGCATCTTTATGAGATAAGGGCTCTTTCAGGGATCTTGTGGCATGTGCAAAATGCCTTTCAGTGTGAGTGTTATTCTTTGCTGGCTCATGGTAACCCTGCAAGCAGATGATGAAGCCAGGATATAAAATACTAGAGCTGGCATTTGATGCCAATCTCCTCCCCCTCCTGCCTCTCCTTTCTCCCCTCTATTTTCCCCTCTCTCTCTTCCCCTCTCCTTGCCTCTGTCCCTCCTTCTTTCTCTCTCCCCGTCTCCCTCCTCCCTCTTTCTGTATCCCTCTCTGATCCCTCTCCCTTTTTCCTTCTGTCTCTCTCCCCTGTCCCTTCTGTTTCTCAGTGCCTTCCATTTCTCCCTCTGTCTATCTCTCCCTCTCCCTTCCCTCCTACCTCTCTCTCTGTCTCTCTCCACTCCCCAAACCCCCACCCCTCAGTGGCTGGGTTGGAACCTGTGTCCTGAGGGGTTTCTTAGTGAGGACACTGGGCAGTGTTGGCCTTGGCCTGGGGTGATCAGCTCTCCTGAAGCTCAGTGAATATTAAATGTCTCTCTGGCTGCCTCACACCCTGTCTGAAACTCTGCCTTGTTAAATGGACACAGAGGCTGTCCTGTCACCTACATTTGGCCAGGCCCTCACCACTCACTCCCACCCAGTACCAGGGCAACCTCACCTTCTCCCTGAGGCACAGTCTCCTCCCAGCCCAGCAGCCCTGCTTCCCAGGAGGGTGCCTGCCTCCCAGCCAGCTGTGCCCTGGGCATCTGCTGCCTGTCTCCCCACAGGAAGGGCCCTACCATAGCCAGGGACATCTCCATCACACCGGCATCGCAACCACTCACAGCAGCCGCATCATTGCCCACTTCCCTAATGGCTAGTGATGTGAGGCATCTTTTTGTGTGCTGGTTTTCCACTCATATAGCTTCAGTGAAATGTCTCTTCATGTCTTTTGTTCGTTTTCTAATTGGATTTTTTAGTGTTTGTACCACTGAGTTTTGAGATCTTTTCATATATTCTAGATAAGAATCCTTTGACTGGTCTATGGTCTGCAAATGTTTTCTCCTAGCCAGTAGCATGTCTTTATACCCTCCTAGCAGGGTCTTTTATTTATTGAGCAAATGTTTTAAAAAATATTTTTATTTTGATGAAGTTGATTTTATCAATTTTTTTTTCTTATGGAATCATACTTTTGGTGTCATGCCTAAGAACTCTTCACTAAACTGTAGGCCTCAGATTTTTATCCTATGTTTTCTTCTAAATGTTTTGTAGTTTTACATTTTGCATTTAAATCTGTGATCCATTATGAGTTAATGTTTGTATAAAGTGTGAGGTTGAGGTTGAAATTTATTTTCTGACATTTAGATACCCAATTGCTCTAGAAGTATTTGTCAAAAAGGGCATCCTAAAGTGTAGTGTATATGCTCAGTGGAATACTACTCAGCCATAACAAATGAAATCACGTCATTTGTGGCAACATGGATGGAACTGGAGGTCCTTTTCTTAAGTGAAATAACTCAGAAACAGAAAGACAAATACCACGTGTTCTCACTTATAAGCAGGAGCTTAATAACAGGTACATGTGTTATCAGCATGAGATTTTTGGCTCTCAATGTAAGAGAAATTAACACAAGCCTAGGCAAACCGTTTTTAGACAAGGTCCATTAAGACTTAGGCCCAGAAAGGTTGGGCATAAGGGAGATTTAGTGCAGGAACAAATGTTACCTGGCTGACACCCTGAGGGGAGTGCATTGTGGTGTCTTAAGGAGGGTGACATGCATGAAGTAGGTAAGCATCACTGAATGTGCAGGGTGGAGTGTTCGGGTGCACAGGCTAGTAAGGGGGCATGCTAATCCACACGTCACATGATTAGAAAATGGCAGATAAGCCCCTCCCTGGGTGGGGATTTCAGTATTACAATAAGTCATGGGTTAAAGATGGCTCATTATTCTGCTCTTAGGTACATGCTGGTGATGGGGTTAACTTTTTTTGAGTGAGATTTATGTTAGGATGTTGCTTATTTTAGGTTTTTGAGGTCCTGCAGTCAGCAGGTATGGCTCCTTGAATAAGATTTATGGTGGGAAGCTGCTTATCTCAGTTTCTTCAGAGAGCTTCCAAGGTCTGGTCAATGGGCATGTATGGAAAAATACCATAGTGGAGGTGGGCTGAGTCCTGTGTCTACTCTGTCTCACATGGACATGGAGTATGGAATAATAGACATTGTAGACTCAGAAAGATGGGAGGGTGGGAGAGGGTGAGGGATGGGAAATTACTTAAAAGTACATTATTCTGGTGATATTACACTAAAAGCCCAGACCTCACCACTATGCAATATGTCCATGTTACGAAACTGCACTTATACCCCTTACATTTATACAAATATAAAGAAAGAAAAGGCTATTCTTGCAAAGACTCACTTTTGCATCTTTGTCAAAAATAAGCTGGGCATACTGGGCATGGTGGCACCTGTAGTTCCAGCTGGCTGGGAGGCTAAGGCAAGAGCATCCCTTGAGCCTGGGAAGTCAAGGCTGTAGGGAGCTGTGATGACGCCAATGCGCTCCAGACTGGATGACAGAATGAGACCCCATATCTTAAAAAAAATAAGTTGGGCATGTCTTTATGGGTCTGTTTTCAGGTTCTGTGTTCTGGCCCATTGATCCATGTGTCTATATCTGCATCCGTGCTGTATTGCCTTAATTACTGGTGCTACATAGTAGACCTTCATGTTGGATAGAGAGGGTCTCCCATTCAGTTCTTCTTTGTTAAGATTGTCTTTGCTATTCTAGAGCCTGTGCCTTTCCATATACATTTTAGAATAAGCTTGTCTATGGCTAGAAAAATTTCTGCTAGGAATTGCATTAAACCTAGAATCAATTTGGGGCAAATTAACATTTTGTCTATGTTGAGTCTTCCATTAATGAACACTCTATATCTCTCCATTTATCTAGAACTGCTTTGGGTTTTTTTTTTTTTAATCACCATTTTGTAACTTACAGCACACAGATGCTGGTGTGCTGTAAGTTACAAACACGATTTAAGTTTAAAACAAGATTTAAGTTTATGCCTAAGTGTTTAATTTTAATTGGAGTGATTTTAAGTGGTATTGTGTTTTTAATTTTAATTTTTATGTATTCATTGGTAGTTTATAGGAAAAAATAAGGTTTGAATGTTGATCTTGTGTTGCAGTCCTTGCTGAACTTACTGCTCACTGATTAGTTTTAGAAATGTTTTGTTTTGCTTTTTTTTTCAATTTCTTAGGATTTTTTAATGTAAGCTATCATGTCATCTGCAGATAGAGAGAATTTTATTTCATCTATTTTAGTCTATGTGTCTTTTGCCTTATTATACTGACTTGGGCTTTCAGTACTATGTTGAATAAGAGTGGTGAGAATCCTGTGGGGGAGAAGCATTCAGTTTCTCCTTATTAAGTATTATGTTAGCTGTAGTTTTTTCATTTGCTTCCTTTTCCTAGATGATTTTCTTTATGGGGTTGAGGTAATACAGGGATCATAAAATAATTTAGAAAATGATGTTCCCTCCCCTTTTATTTTCTGGAAGCATTTGTATAGAATTAGTGTTAGTTCTTTAAATATTTCACAGAATTCACCAGTGAGACAATCTGGCCTTACAATTTTCTTTTTTGGAAGGTCTCTAACTACCAGTTTAAATTCTCTAATATATATAGGGTGATTTAAATTATTTCATTCTAGTTGTTAAATGTATATGTATACAATTGTTAATAGTACAACAGTAGTTAATATGAGAAACTTTTAATCTTTTGATTAAATCCTGAAGGTTTTTTGTGATGACTCCTGTTTCATTGATATTGACCATTTCTCTTTTTTCTCTTTTTACTTGTCAGTCCTTCTAGAAGCTGGTTAATTTTATTGATCTTTTTTAAAAAATCAGCTTTGTTTCATTGGTTTTTCTCCACTGTTTTCCTATTTTTAAATTCATGAATTTATGCTCTTATCTTTATTATTTCTTTTCTTCTGCTTGTTTTTGGGTTTATTTTTAAATTCTTTTTCTATTTCCTTAAGATGGGAACTTAAATTATTGATTTAAGACCTTTTCTTTTTTCTAATACAAACATTTAGTGCTATACGTTTCCTTCTCAACAAGTGACATGTTAGCTGTAGTTTTTAATTTGCTTTCTTTTCCTAGATGATTTTCTTTATAGGGTTGAGGTAACACAGAGATCATAAATTAGAAAATGATGCTCCATTTTCATTCAGTTCCATGTGGTTTTTTTACTTTCCTTGTGACAATCTCTTGGATCTATGAATTATTTAGAAGTATAATATTTAATTTGAAAATGCTTGGATAGTTTCTGGTTGCCTTTCTGTTACTGATTTCTTATCAAACTAGCAAATCAAATCAAATCAAATTTGAAATCAAAATTAGTTTGATTGCTTATGGTAAGAAAAAAAACCCTCTGTATAATTTTAATTCTTTTAAACTTGTTGATGTTTATTTTTTGGTCCAGGATATGATCTGTCTTGCTAAATGTTTCTTGGATGCTGAAAGGAATGTGCATTCTGCTGTTGTTGGCTGGAGCACTCTGTAGTATCAGCAAGATTTGATTGCTGGAAGATATTGTTGAGTTCTCTCTGCTGAATTTCTTTCTAGTTCTTCCATGAATTACAGAGAGAGAGAATAAAAGTCTCCATCTATAATAGTGGATTTGTCAGTCTACAATCCATTTGTGCATGTGCCACTTTCTCTTGTCATTTACTTTCTCTTGTCATTTTGTCAGTTTTTGTTTCAATTTTTCAGCTCAGTTATTTGGTGAATACACATTCAGGATAACTATGATCTCTCGGTGGATTGACTGCTTTATCTATATGCAATATCCCTCTCTGCCTTGGAAATGTTCTTTGCTCTGAAATATACTTCATGTGATATTAATATAGCCATTCCTGCTCTTTTGATTACTGTTTGTGTGGTTTATTCTTTATCCGTGCTTTTACTATTTTGCTATTTATTTTGTTTCAACCATCAAACATAATTTAAAAACTCAAGATGAAAAGGAAAGTTTATCATATTTAACCATACATTTGCTCTTTATTTTGTTATTCCTTCCTGATACTCCAAGATTCCTTCTTTTTATCATTTCATTTCTGTTTGAAGACCTTCTTAGCAGTACTTTTAGGGTAAGTTTGCTGCTCTTCTAGTTTTTCTTCATCTGAGAGTGTCTTGAGTCTCCCTTTATTCCTGAAGGATATTTTTGATGGATATAGAAATTGGGGTTGATTGTTCATGTCTTTTATCAATTAAAAATATTATGCCACTTTTTTCTGGCCTCCATAGTTTCTGAGGAGAAACTTGTAGTTTTTCTCTATAGGTAAATTGTCATTTATCTCTGACTGCTTTCAAGAAATTTTATCTTTCTTTAGTTTTCACGAGTTTGATTTGTTGATTGTTGTGTCTTGGCATAGATTTTGGGGGGTGCCTAGCCTTTTTAGGATTTTCCCAGCTTCTTAAATCTCTAGGTTTATATCTTTTACCAATTTTTTAATCATTATTTCTTTGAATACTTTTTCATCCCTGCCCTCTTTCTCCGATGATACAAATGTTAGATCTTTTGTTCATGTCCCACAGATCCCTGAGGGTTGGTTCCTTTTGTTTTTTTAGTCTTTTTTCATTTTTCAGATGAACAATTTCTGTTGTTGTATCTTCAAGTTCACCGATTCTTTCCTTTATACTCTCCATTATATTATTGTGCCCATTCCGTTAGAGTTTTACTTCAGTTGAACTGAAAAATTTCCATGTGGTCCTCCTTTATAGTTTTAATTTCTTGTCTGAGACTTTCCATTTTTTTTCACTTATTTCAAGTGTGTTTGTCATTGCTTGTTGAAGAATTTTTATGGTAGCTGCTTTGAAATCCTTTTCAGATAATTTCGACATCTGTATCACCTCAGTATTGGCTTCTGTTGATTGGCTTTTCTCATTCAACTTGAAACACCCCTGGCTCGTGGGATCCCCACGTGGTCTCTGCTGTTACCACAGGAGAGGGGCTTGCTACAGCCTGGTGAGTGTGGAAGTTCTGGTTCCCACTTGGCCTTCACCAAGGAGCTTAATTTTTTTTCCCGTGGAATTTGGCAGGAGTGGTTATTATCTAGGAGTGTTATGTCTAGCTTTAGTGCCCTTTCCTGGCTTTCTGGCTAGGGAGAGCAGGCTTCTCTTGGGGCTTTTTGTTTTCTTTCTAGTACCCACTGACGTATCAGCTTCCCAGCACCTAGTCCAGGATATATGAGGGGAAACAAAAAGGAAACCCACCTCCATGCCATTCTTTGGGACCCCAAGATCCCCAGCTGATCTGCCTCTTCTTCATCTTTATGGTCTCCTTATGCTTGTTTTCTATAAAATGCCAAGCTTTTAGCTCTGCTTAGTGGGAGGAATTGGAAGAAACGCATCCACTTCATCTTGCTTGAGAACTAGAAGCCTGCTTTATCATCTTTAATTTGAGAGTAAAATTCTCTTCTCCGATAAACCCTTATGTATTTGTATCATTAAATTCCTTACCACCAAACACAACTCATGCACCAGGGAGGTGCTCCAGGCTTACTCTGTGATTTTGGGCACTTTGTAATCCCAGTCAACATGCACTTTGGGGCAGGTGTCCCGGTTTGAGGAGCACTGGTCTGTGGCTAAAACTTGTTGAGGGCTCATTATGTGGCCACTGTTCTCACTGTTCTAAGGGATTTATAAGAGTGAACTCATGGAATCCTCATAGCTCTCTTAGGTACTGTTATTACCTTCATTTTATATATAAAGAAATTGAGTTATGGAGACATTTAATACTTTTCCAAGGTGATGCCACTGGGCAAGAGCAGGAATTGAAAACTAGAGCCCTAAGCTAGTGTATTGTGGTACCTGTCTCTGTTGGGAAAATGCATTTGGGTTTTGAAGCCAGAAGAATATTCCAAGACACCATCTCTGCCTTTTACTGGTGGTGGCCTTTGTCAAGTTCCCTACTATATGCAAGCTTCAGTTGCTTCATCTATATAATAGGGGTAACATGACATGCCTCACCATGTTTGGGAAATAATAGATAATGTCAACGTCTAGTCTATGAGGCCCTTAGCATACAGCAGATATTCAGTAAGTCATTTACCTACTAATGGCAGGTTGCCATTGTTATGATTTATCCATGTCCACAGGGAGGCAGCATATGTAGTGATTAGGAGTACACACTCTTAATCACTCTTAATCACACAATCTAACTAGAGTTAGACTGATGCATTTGGATTGTCACACCAGAGCAAACTAGCTGAGAGACCCAGGCAAGCCTGCTTACCTCTCAACATCCCACCTCTGCAGTAGGTGTGATGATGCCAATTCCAGAAGGCACTGTGGGCAGTTGAGAGGGTCCTGTGCATGGAGAGTGTCACAGTGACTAGGTGTTGTGAGGGAGAGTAGGGTTTCTGATGGGTCTGAGTGATTGCATCAGTTCTGGGTGAAATGAAAATGTTTGGTGATGCTAGGTGATGCTCCTTCTCTGCGTTGGTGCCATCCTCAAGACATCAGTGGCTCTCACTTGGGAGCACGGCAAAACCACCCACCAGGAACTTTCTCCAGTCTTGGGCTTCTCAAGCAAGGTCTGCTTTTTGTGGAATTCACCCCTTGGCAGGCAAATTTGCTTCTAAAACATGGCCAGGTGTCTCAGCACCCGGATTGAGATTCTCGGCATCTTACCTGACACTGACTCACTCTACACAATCTGTCACAGAGGAACGAAGGCTTTGTGCTTCCATGAAGGCTTGCAGTGATGTCTGTGATGCCTGGAGTTGACCAGACACTGTCGTGGGTTGTGTTTTTCCAGAACTCAATGATCAGGGCTGACATTTTGCAAACATGTTCAGCTATTTTCAAAAACAAAGTTGATAAAGTTCAAGAAATTTAAGTAGTTTTCCCAAAATATGTTCTGTGTTTCTTTTTGTTTGTTTTGTAAAATAAAATGTGTTCAGAAGAGAAGCCAAGAGAATCCTACCACTTTCTTGAAATGCCCAAGTCTACTCTATAATTTCGGGAGCTGTCTCGCTCATGGAATCAGTTTTTGTGTTTAATTGTAGCTCTGTTGAGGAACCCTTGCTGTGGCTCTTTCTGAGTAGCCTCTTCCTACACTTATGGCCAGGGAAGAGAGAATGTCTTTATAATTGCCACATGCTAGGCTCTTACTGCTAAAACTTAAGCCTTTTGAAACCAAAATTGTAACATTTGCAGGGGCTTCCCTTAGTGACCAGGCAGCACTGAGCAATGGCTACAGAGCGTGCATTACCCATGCCAAGTGGCATCTGTCAGTGCCTGGAAGCTGGGGTAGGAATTTGTGGAGATGTGTGTACATTGGAGGAGGCACACAATGAGGGATGCTTCTCTCTTCTCATGACTGCTTTTGTATCTGTGCATACCCTCCTTGTCCACACGTCTCACACCTCACCGGCTACAGAAGAAAAACTTCTTCTTCCCTTTGCCTTTCCTTAGACAACAGTTGGCCTTAGTTTCCAACACTACTTATCAAGCTCTCCTTGGCCTTAAGTGTGAGGGACTTCAGGAGCCTGCTGGAAGCTGGGATCTCTGGGAAATCTCCAGAGAAGAAAAGTTGGAAGATGACACAAGTAGAGGAAACATCCAGAGATTTAAATGGTGGCCCAGCACATGGCATTGAAAGACCAACAGTCTAATATAGATGAACAAACAGAGGCTCCATATAGCCATTAAAAATTTGAGAAAACCTTAAGCAGTTCTCAAATAAAATTGCACACAATGGAGGATGTCTAATAGAAGCATGCATTCACATAATTTAGTCTAAAACTAACTTCCTGATTTATGGAAATAAAAGGTAGTGGCCATTGTGAAAATGCAAAGGTGCTAAGGCCATGTTCTCATGAGCTATGAGTCCGTATCTCATGAGATTATCCAGATTTCAGATGCCATAACTCATTTCTCTTTGTATTTCAGGCTGGGCTTCCCAATGATGGTTGTGTCCTGCACTGTTGGGATGTGTTATCTCCTTGTGGCTCATGTGGTGGTGGGATGGAATTAATAGACATCCATCTATTGCTCGAAGACTAAAGGAAACTTCATCCATCACAACCCATTAGTCATAAAACTACCCTGACCCCACTGTTTGAAGAAGAAAAGGTGCTTACCCTGGAGATGCTACAGAGACACAGTGGAATAGACCTTGACACTAACACTCTAATTCAAGCGAATGTTGGAACACCATGACCTCCTCTGTGTGTCCTTTCTCCCCAAGGACAAAATGTAGAAAGATGTGAGATAACTTACTCAAGATTCCCCTCCAGAAAAATACGTATGTTTAAAAACCCTTCCTGCTATACATAGGAAAAGACACACATCCACCTAAAATTGACTGTACTGTTTAACTGTCAATTCTCCTGAGGCTAAACACAGTTTGTTTTTCTTGTAATCACTTTTCATGTTAAAATAATCAGCATTCAAATTGTATGCTTTCTGAATATAGACTTTCTGGGAAAAGGTTTACTGCTCGTAAGGAAACATTTTATGTATTAAAATAAACTGTTCCTTGATAAAAGGCTTTGGAGTAGTTTACATTATGTAAAATTGCATTTTATCCATTTATATTTTTCTCTGCAGTTTTAAAGTTATTAATTAAAAGTCCAGAAATTTGACTTGCAGAAGATCATAGGTATCTTTTAAGGATATCTTACATATTTAACAGCTTAGAGTAATGATTTTTCCATTTTGCAAGTGGTGCATGCTATTTCCATCAATTACACAGACGTACACTCGATACCCTCAGTCCTGCTCTCCCTGCAGGACGCTGTGGCTCAGTCGGTGTTTATTAAATGCAGTTCTTTTGTGAAGCATTCCTTGTGAGGTAAGGGTAATGAGAACAAAGACCAAGGGGGAGCCCTGTGCTTCCTGCGAGGTCTCCTCTGCTCTGCCTCATCAGTATCATGGCTATGCCCCAGAGGAAGAAGCCCTTCTTCAGTTTCTGATCTTCTGTGCATGACACCTTGGAATGAAAATGGGGACACTGCTCCGAAGTGATTGTGTGTCAAGCGTCTGACTTCAAAAGTTCCAAGATGCTCAGGGCACTAAGAACTGCAAGGCAGGAGACCTTTCTGGTCCCATTTCTGTCACAGGTGCCCTCAGGATGGGTGTCCCTGTCTACTGTTTAGAGTCTGTATTGTCGAATGGCAACACAGTTCTTCCCTGAAAGGTTGGGAGTGTTTATATGCCCTTTGAATTCCTTGACAGCAAAGCTGACGTGCAACCGTAGTTTATTTTAAAATGCAGTGTTGGACAACGTCACACAGAAGCCTTGAGACACGTGCAGCTGACTGGATATCCCGGAGGAGCCCCTGCCACAGCCTGTCCAGGGAAGGGTTCTTCTGGCCACTCCCGTGCTGCCCGTACTTTGCTTGGTCTCACTGGACCTGGATATCCCTGAGCCGGTCACTGAAAAGCACTGTTTCCTCTTCTATCCCACATCAGGATGGCTGGGGACAGCACTGGGCTCCCTCATGTCCGGCTCCTTCCAGCTCAGCTCCCATCTGCTCTTTCATCCTTTAACACGTCATCCCCTACAATGCTCAGGCCCCATCTCCCACCCACTGCCTCTCCTCGTTGGTGCCTCTCTCTACTCTTCAGTCATGCCTTCTCATTCTTTTTTCTTTCTTTCTTTCTTTCTTTTCTTTTTTCTTTTTGAGATGGAGTCTCGCTCAGTTGCCCAGGCTGGAGTGTAGTGGTGCGATCTCAGCTCACTGCCAGCTCCGCCTCCCGGGTTCACGCCATTCTCCTGCCTCAGCCTCCCGAGTAGCTGGGACTACATGCACCCGCCACCACGCCTGGCTAATTTTGTTTTTGTATTTTTAGTAGACACGGGGTTTCACTGTGTTAGCCAGGATGGTCTCGATCTCCTGACCTCGTGATCCACCCGACTCGGCCTCCCAAAGTGCTGGAATTACAGGCATGAGCCACCGTGCCCGGCCCATCCCTTCTCATTCTTAAAAACCATTAGCTCCGGGCTCATTTCTCCCTCTTGCTCATACCCCCAGCCTCCCCCGAGGTTCCTATTCATGCCCCACAGTTCTGATTTCTCTGCCCCCACCCCCTTCTCCCACTCCCCTCCGTGTTACACCCACCCTGGGTCTCCAGGACCTGCCTAGGGTCCTTCATCTCTGTGGTCTTTCTCTGACGCTCCAACACTTCCAGTCATTTACCCCAGGTTACCCTCTAAAACAAAACTTGCCCCTGCTGGAACCTCTCGTTCATTGGCCTAGGACATTTTAAATTCCCCTGTCAACTCCCTCGTAGCTTAGTTGTTTGTTTATGCTCTAAAATTTAAAAGTCAACCAACAAACTGGCCCCATGCTACCTTTACTGCCCCTCAATGTTGCTGAGGTGAATCATCCCACAGGGATGGCTGGTTTTATTTTTAAATGAAGATCTCAAGCATCAGACAGGACCTCAGCACTGCCTGGCTCTTTGATTCCATTTCCCTAGCGCAGCAGCCAGAGAACTGGCTGGAAATAGGTGTCTGCCCACATTGGGTAAGTGCAAGTGACTGCAGCCAGGGATGGTGCAATCCTTTAGGGCCAGTGAGAGGAGGCAGCTGTGGGCCTCTGGGGGGGGGGGGGGGGTGGGGGACCAGGACCTGGAGATGCAGGGAGCTGTGTCCAGAGGGACTGGACGGGAGCCGTGGCCTTCTGCTGGGGCTGTGCCAGCATGAGACACTTGGTAGCCAGGGCCGGGGGTGGGCTGTGGGAATCATCCTGAGTTTATGCCTTTCTTCCTGTGGCTTCCCTCTGTACGTGGACTGAGCTAGCTGGAAGCCAGGGGACAGGAAGCACTGCTGATGCTGTCCGGGAATGGGAGTGTGGCAGGAGGAGCAGATGGAAGATACTCAGCTTTATGTACTGTTTTGCTCCTCAGCAGATGAAAAGTCCACTTCTGAAGAAAGGAGACACTAAAAGTGCCATGAGCTTTTCCACTCAAGAGACCACGCGAGCTTGCCCACACTCCCTCCTGACGCTGTCTACAGAATTATTAGGTGAACAATCCAGTGCTTATTAAATCCTGTGTCGTTATGATGGAAAAAGACAACCTCGAAGAAACCAGCTGTGCCTTTGCTATAAATGTTGGACTGCCACAGGCAGTTGTCCTTGCTAGAGTTTGCCCGACATCACGTGCATAAAGTCCTGAAGACCACAGGGACGGTGAGGACACACTTTTACTGTCTGAATTCACCATGAAAATCCAGATGAAGGGTCTGTGTGCTGCAGACGAGGATCTGGTCCTGCCTGAGCTTGCATGAGGAGCTGTGCCTTACCTTTGACACACGGCCCCACGCAGGCAACGTGGCAGCAGCAGAGTCCATGGGAATCTGAGCCACTTCCTCCTGCAGTGCATGTGCGCCTTCCAGATCTGCTGGGGCCCAGTCTTGTAAATGCAACATACTTCATAACAGAAGATCACTGTGCACATCTGACTTGATGGTTCAGTGGATCAGATAGCCCTTGGCTTGTGACGCACAGCCCAAGTTCTGTAGTCACTCTGTTTTCCACAGTCAGATCTTCAACCTGCACCAAGGCCCAGTGGCAGCCTGGAGCTGCTTTTCTAGAGAAGACTAGTACACTAGTCAGAACAGGAAGGCAGGGACTTCATTCAGATCCTGAGGTTTGCACTCCTATTCTCCCCTCAAGGCTTGCCAGCATCTCCCTACAGTGTGTGTGTCTGCCCTTGGGATACCTGCAGCTGTGCTGTGCTATTTCACAAGGCCCAAGTGGCAGGGCAGCCAGTGTGGCAACCTGGACCTGTGAGCTGCACTTGCTTGCTCTGGTCCCCCTCAAACCTTGCAGCCTTGGGAGGTTACCTGCTAATGGGTCAGAGCAGCGAATCCAATATGTTATATGCTGCCTTCGAAATTAAAAGTGGACCATCAAGAATTGTATTTTTTTCTTGTTTTTGATGATTGGTACAACTTTTTCTCACTTTGTAGGGTAATTTTAAGTCACTCCTAAAATTACCATCAGGATGTTGTATTTCTTTTGTGTTACCATCTTGGTGTGAGATGGGCAACTTCCTCATGTAATAGGAAACAAACTTGGTCATTCTAATGGTTATTTAACATGATCTCTCTCAGCATTCATTCTGGAGAAGGGGAATAACCATAGGAAGGGTCCACCATTTCATAGGACCAATTATTATGCGGACTTAGCACAAGAATGCACTTGTCACTTGACCAACATAAGCCTCTATTCTGTCTTAAGGACCAGAGGATGTTTTGGATCTCTGAGAATCAGGGAAAATTTAAAACCATTAGGACCGTCTGGATATTTCTTACTGGAATGCAAAAGTCACCTGGTAAATGGCCACAGGTCCCTCTGAGGAAGGTGTGGGAAGAGCAGTAAATGCATCCGTGGGTCTGTTGCAGGATCTTTCTCAAATGCACCTGGCTGACCTCTCTTCAATCAATGACCTGTGAGGCTAGGAACACTCTCAGGTCTGGGAAGCAGCTTGTGTCATTCATCCTTCTTATGATGACTGAAGCTTCTCCCCAGGTCCAGATTCTCTCCAGGTTTCTATGTCAAGCTTCCCATAGAAGCCATTGCTTTGAGCTCTGTGATCCACTTGCCTTTTGGCACAGACCTCTGAAGCATAATGTGGTAACTGTGCCAACCTTGACTATGACAATTAAGCACACCGCTGGTCTTTACCACCTTGGAATCCCATTATTCCCACTGAGAAAAGATAACTTTATTCCATTACTGCCTCTCCTACTGTCAGCAACAGTCTCCAAAGGACAGATATCAGAGACTTCTAAGGACACTGGTGGCCCCTGCAACACTGCATTTATTAATGCTTCAATGCAGGAAGTGTCCACTGGATTCTCTTGCAGGGAATGCTAGGGGACAGCTGAGTAAGGGACACATAAAAATCTGAGCCTTTGGACTCCTTTCTCTATATGCCCAATATTAACCAACTGTGCATATTAATAATGCCTATTCCAAGGGGTCAGCTAACACATTAAATCTCAAACTCCCGGTGAGTGTGCCTGTCCAGGAATTTGGCCCGTTCAAGCCTTGTATTTTATCCTCTGGGATGTAATATACTTAGATTCCATTTCCTTAAGTGCACTCCAAAGAGGGGTGTAGTTCTGTAACTTTTTCAATATACAGGTTAATTTGTCTTGAAGGAGACGTTCTACTTCTCTATCCAGGATGCGTTAGTATCTTGTAAGAGCCCTGGAGAAAATGATGGGTATTGAGGGATGAATCTTGAGACAAATACACATCAGTTTCTGAGGCAACTAACCAAGGTGCAGTCACTAGGTGGCTTTAAGTGGAGAAAAGAGGGGTGGGCTTGTGGATCAGAGGGAGATAGAGTGATTCTTCCCACTTAACTCTTGGTCAAGATTGTCTTTGCTAAAGCCTATGCTTGCAAATAAATTTTAGGATAAGCTTGCTTATGCCTATTTTAAAAAACTTGACCTGATGTGATAGAAATCACACTAAACTTATAAGTTAATTTGGGAAGAATTGACAATTTTACTATGTTGAACTTTCCATCCCTTGGACATGATATGTCTCTCCATTTATTTAGGTCTCTTTTGGTTTCTTTCATCAACATCTTACAATTTTCAGCGTGCATAACCTGGACAAGTTTTGTTAGATTTATAATTGAGTATTTAATATTCTTTGAAGAGAAAGGTACTGTGTTTTAAATTTCAGTTTCCAAATCTGCATAATTAACGTGTAGAAATGTGATTGATTTGTGTGTGTAGATCCTGTATACCATGGCCTTGCTGAGTTCACTTATTAGTTACAGAATTAAAAAAAAAATTCCTTGGTATTTTTTACATAGATCATTATGTCATCTACTAATAGGGACATTTTCATTTCTGCCTTCTCAATCTTTATGCCTTTAATATATATTTTTTGCCTTATTCTGGTGGCTAGAACTCATAAGAAAGAATTTGGCCATTCATTCACTAAGCTAGATCTACTTGCAACAACTTCTTTCAGTTTTTCTTCATTCTAGAAGAGTTTCATTTCACCTTCATTCTTGAAGGAAGTCTTACTGGACATAGTTCTTAGTTGACAGTTCTTTTCTTTCAGCCCTTGAGAAATGCTCTGTTACTTCCTTGTGCCCATATGGTCTCTAATGAGGAATGTACTGTCATTCAAATTGATTTTCCCCTACAGATAAGTTGTCATTTCCTCTTGCTGCTTTCAGGAATTTCTTTTTTTTATTTAATTTCAGGGATTTGATTATGTTGTGGCTTAGTATGGATTTCTTTGAGTTTATTGTTTTTGAAGTTTTCTCAGCTTTGTGAACTTTAGATTTCTTTTACCAAAATCGGGAAATTTTCAGTTAACAATTATCCAAATATTCCTTCAGCCCCATTCTCTTTTTCTTCTTCTAGAACTCCAGTGATACAAATGTTGAATTACAGTCTTAAAGCTCTGTTCATTTTTTTTTCAGTATTTTCTCTCTGTGTTCATATTGGATGAATTTTATTGATCTGACCCAAAGTTCACTAATTCTATACTCTGTCGTCTCCACTCTACTGTTGAACACATTCAGCAAGTATTTTATTTTTATTTTATCATTATCATATTTTTCAGTGTTTAGTTTTCATTTGGTTCATTTATTTATTGCTTATTCATTGCCTATTGCATCATTTTGTAATATAGGCTTTAGAATCCTTGTCATATAATTTGTACAACTGACTTCTCCTAGTGTTGGCATCAGTTGATTGTCTTTTCTTATCCAAGTTTTAATTTTCCGGATCATTGCATGACAGATGATCTATATATACTGGAAAAACTGGCTATTAGGACATTATGGATTATATTTAAAAGTTGAATTTTAGCAAGCAGTTACCCTTTTCAGGTTTGGCACAAAGGTCCTGGTGTACTTTTGTGCACTGCGGCTCCAATGACTGTCTAGTTTTGGGAGCTGATGCCATGCTATTTTGGTCTGCTTGCTTTATCATTGGTGTTGATGCTTCCACTGCTCCCTGCTGATGCTGCTTGAGGATGTGGAGAAAATACCCAGGTCAGGCCACCTGGTGTCCCTAGGATGATGGGATCTTCTGACTTGCTCATTTGTTTTGAGGTTCTCCCCCAACTATGGAGCAGTGCCGACCATGAGCATTTCCCAGCCCAGGTAGTTTGGGAGCAGGATATTCCTCATAGGTGCATCCTGGCCTCAGTGTGTCTGGGTTGGGGAAGGGATTCATCAGGCTCACTGATGGGAAGAGGAACACTTATTGTCAGTGGAGATTCAGATTGCTCTCCCTAGTTGGTTCTTCTGGGCTGACCTGGTATTGTTGGTGGGACTCGTGTTCAGCTTGAAGGAAGACAGAGCCCATCTGGGCTGTCTTCTGTAGCTAGGCTGGGCCAGGAATAATTCTGGCTGGGTTACCTTCTTCTGTTGAGTGGAGGGTGTGGGTGCCCCACCACTATATTTTTCCTCCTACCCTGGATTCCAAACCAGTTCACCCTCCTCATCCACGTTTCAGAGTTCTCCTTTGGTCATCTCAAGTTACCAAGATGCATAATTGTACTGAGTGGGGAGCAACAGGCAGAAATAGAACTTTCTGGAAATGTCATCTTTTCCAGATCAAAATTCTCATTTGCTGTTGAGAAAGAACTCATGTGATCAAACGAGAATACTCATTTTTTTTAATAGATATTAAATCTAGGTTTAAGATAAGCATAGCATTATTTCTTTAATTTCAAATTGGAGAGAGTTAGTTTTAGGTAAACAGGTACAACTTAAAAACAGGTTTTAGGTAACCTCCCTGTTTAATTCTTATATGGGTTCTTTCCATAAAAACTGACGTCTGGGTGGTTCTGCACTGAGAACCACTGCTCACTGCTCCCCTCAGTCAGTTCCAGGCCGGCCTGCCCACTTCATGGCCTTTGTCACCCTGACACTGGCTCCCCAACATCTAAAACCAGCAGTGTTTTAGTCTGGAGGATCTTGAAACTGTTGGCTGAACATGCCCAGAACTGGCTGTTATACACCACAATGTCAATTTTCAGCGGCTTCTTACTTTTTCAAAGTAGCTTAGTCCAGAATAAGGAAGACCGATCGAACACTTACTCACATTTCTGACTTTTACATTTTCTGCAGGACATTTGTTGTGCTGTATATAATCACAGTTCTTCCCATGTCACCATGCCCCAGCAGGGGTCCTTGCCCCATGTGACTGTCACAGCCATACCTCACCTGCACTGGCATGAGGCTGGGGTGGAGTCCCCTCCTCACTGTGTGGTTGTTGGTGGTGGGGGGCTGGAGGTGCTCACTGAGTCTGTCTGTGTGCCTGTTTCCTGGGCAGTGATCTGATGGTATTAATTTTCAAGTGGAGGAGACAGTAAGTGAAATTGATACATTTAGGAGTGATAAGTTTTGGGGAAAATGGAGTCAAGTCATTTAAACAGGTTCATTGGGAGGGAACATCTGAATGGATGTCTTGAGCCAGGGTTCTTGTTACAGCCAGGAGGTCTGTAGCATGAGCAGGATGAGTGAGGGTGGAACCAGGGTCTGATCCCACCAGACTGTAGGCCAAAGAGGGACTCTGGATCTTAGTGCCTGGGAGAAGCAGCTAGATAAATGGATGGGGATGTGGGAGAGAGGGGAGTACATCCCACTGTCCAAAAATGGTATGCTGTCTCCACTGCTGCATCAAAGGCCAAAGTTGGGTGAGGGAGGAGACTGACTTTATTTAGGCTGTCACCATAGGAGAACACCCCAGATCTGAAGACCAGTGTCGTGGCTGGGGGGTTATCCTGGAATTTTACAGGGATGGTTAACCAGTTGCAGAGGAGTTGACTCACAGCTAGGGTTGTTCCGCAGAAGAGGAAGTCTCCATCAGTTTTTGGAACAAGGATTGTTTTTCTTTCTAGTTAAGTAGTTTCAGGGGGAAAAAAGTTCTATTTATTTATTTATTTATTTATTTATTTATTTTTTAATACAGAGTCTTGCTCTGTCACCCAGGCTGGAGTGCAGCGGCACGATCTCGGCTCACTGCAACCTCCATTTCCTGGGTTCAAGTAATTCTCCTGTTTCAGCCTCCCGAGTAGCTGGGATTACAGGGATGCACCACCACTCCTGGCTAATTTAATTTTTGTATTTTTAGTAGAGATGGGGTTTCACCATGTTGGCCAGGCTTGTCTTGAACTCCTGACCCCGTGATCCACCTGCCTTGGCCTCCCAAAGTGCTGGGATTACAGGCGTGAGCCACTGCGTCCAGCCAAAAAGTTCTAATTTTAATGTTGATGAAGAGTGAAACGCTGTAAAATGTTTAAAGAGGTTTATTCTGAACCAAATATGAGTGACCAAGGCCTGAAGCACAGTCTCAAGAGGTCCTGAGAACATGTGCCCAAGGTGGTTGGGTTAGAGCTTGGTTTTATACATTTTAGGGGGGCAGAAGTTATAAGCAGACGTCAAGCAATACGTGTAAGGTGTACATTGGTTTGGTCCAGAAAGGTGGGACAACTTGAAGCAGGGGGCTTCCAAGTCATAGGTGGATTCAAAGGTTTTCTGATTGGCAATTGGTTGAAAGAGTTATTATCTAAAGACCTGGAATGAATCGAAAGGAGTGCTGGGGTTGTGGACAACAGGGTTCTGATTATGTGGGTGAAATCTCTTCAGCAGCTGCCCTTAGATGCTATAGATGGCAAATGTTTCCTATTCAGACCTTTAAAAGGTGCCAGAATCTTAGTTAATTCTCTCCTGGATCAGGAAAAGGCCTGGAAGGGAAGGGGGATTCTCTACACAGCGTAAATTTCCCCCCACAAGAGAAAGCATTGCAGGGCCATTTCAAAATATTTCAAAGTGTCAGACGTGTTCAAACCAGAGCAACTCCATCTTGGGTGAGGGCTAGGAAAATAAGGCTGGGACTTGCTGGTCTGCATTCCCAGAAAGTTAGGTATTTCTAGCCGCTAGAGGTTTACGGTTAAGGGAACAGACTGAGAAGGTTTACTAAACAGATCCAGACTTGGGAGTGTCCAGATATCCCAATATCTTGAGAATAAAGGCATTCCTAATTTTGCTTTAAGTATAATAATATTGATTCTTGCAAAATATGGTAATTAAGAAAATTAATCCTTTACTACAAACCCTTGTAACAGAGCACATCTCCCCATGACCTTTTTTTATCCTATATACATACACACACGAGCATTGTACCTAGGGTGGACACGTTTCCTCCTCTTACTTTTGGAAATGCCCGACTCCGTCTAAGGAGTAGCTGCACTTTCAACACTTTACTTTCTTAATAAACTTGCTTTTGCTTTGCATTGTGGACTTGCCCTGAATTCTTTCTTGTGGGAGATCCAAGAACCCTCTCTGGGGGTCGGGATCGGGACTCCTTTCCTGTAACAAAAGGAGTACATTTTGTGGTAAAATACTGCAGGTTCTTTCAGGGCCCGCTATCTGTCATGCGATGCTGCACTAGAGTCAGGTTGGAATTTGGTCTCTTACTGCTACAAAGGGTCTGCTCTGTCAGAATCTCTGGTCAATTGTGCCTGAATTCCAAAGGGAGGAGGGTATCATGAGACATGTCTGACTCAACTTCCCCTCATGGCCTGAATTAGTTTTCCAGGCTTCTTTGGAATGTCTTAGGCCAAGAGAGGGGTCCATCAGTCAGTTGAGTGGGGAAGGGTAGAAGTTTATTTCTTGTTGACATTACCTAATCAGAGGCAAGGAACAGTTTTAATGTTATCTAATCAATCATAAGTCGAACAGCAGGAGGTCAGAGGGTCTGTCTTTGGCTTTGTCAGCTGCATATACATGGGGCCCGGGTAATCCTGTCTGAACAGAGCAACATTCAAATAAAATTCATCCAGCAACTGAGAATAACTGAATATGGAATGTAAATCTTTACTGGAATTTTAACAGAGAAACCCAAAGGGCCAATGCAAAAACCATGGCCCACCTTGAGAAGAGCAAATCCTTTTTCTCTGCCTCTTGCCCCATCACCAGCCCTGCTGGCCTGACCCCTGGCTTTCCCTCCATCTCGTGCCCACGGTTCCCCCATCCAGCCCAGCCTCTTGCTTTCTCCATCCCTGCCTGCCCTTATTGTCAATGTCAAGTTCCCACCATCCTGCTTTTGCTTGCTTTAAATTCAGCAGCTCTTTTCCCGCATGATTTTAATGAATTTATCAACTTTTGAAAGACCACCATCCCCCTCCGCTGGCCCCACCAGGTCTTAAAGATCCAGGCTGAGGGTGCGGAGGGGCTGACACCCCGGATCTTAGTCATTGTTGTTGGCTGTCTTTGCCCTTGTTGCCTGCCTGTCTTTGGGGCTAAGGATGCTAAATCGAGGTGCAGGTGTTGCTGCAAGAGTGTCTGGGCCAGCTGTGGGCACTGCCCGAACTGACCTTCAGTCTTTCTCACAATACTTTATGGACTCTGCAGTGTAGAAAATCAGTGAGAGGTTTCCTGGGGGGATATGGGTTACAGGGAAGCATTTGTGGCCAGGGAGCAGCTGGTAGACAGTCAAAAGCAACGATGACGTGGTGGCCAGGTGTGAAGGTGAAAGGCAGGTGCTCAGGACCTGGCTGCGGGAGGGAAGCTGGCTGGCCTCGGGGCAGGGGTGCTGGTGAAGGAGGCTGCCGAAAGCCAAGGGCCGTCAGCTTCTCCAACTGCACAAGCTGATGGAATGCATTTGCCGTGTGCTATCTGGACATAATCTGTGCCTGAAGAGCAAGGATATTTGATCGAAACCCACTTGTCCTATGATGGTGAGCTCCTGGTGTAAGGACAGCAGGCATTTAGTTGCTGAATTCACTAATTCATGGCCTCCCTGGGCCCCACCGTGTTTCTGGGCCTGACACGTGGGCAGACCATCTGTGATATGGACAGAGGTGTGCTGTTGCATTGCTGACACTCTGGAATAAGCTTCCTGGGCAGACGGAGGAGAGCAGGAGCAAAATTCCACCAGAAGGCTTCTGGGAGGCTCTCTGCCCTGGTGTTCAATAAGCCCAGACGAGGGACCCTTGATAAGCATGCTGTTTTGTTGGATTGTAGCTGATGTTTCTCCTGGCAGCCTGAAAGCGACTGGAATAAACCTGTCCCCACCCCTTCTCAAGAGTGTGGCAGAGTGTCACTGTCCTCTTGCTCGTCTCCGCATCCATTGGCAGTGCAGCCCTTACAGACTTGTGGCCGTGCAGACTGGGATGCGTGCCATTCAGATTTCCTCTTGCCAGTAACTGGCAGCTGCCCTGGGTGGCCGGGCAGCCAGCTCCCCTGCAGATGCCTTTTGATAAAGTGCCACTGTGAGCCAGGGTACCAGGGTTCTCCCTTCCCAAGCATGTGGGTGCTAAGAGGCGAGATGTGCTATGCAGAGAAGCAGCAGGATCGCAGAGGCAGCCAATGGAGCCTTGCGGAATGTCTACCCTGATGGCATTTTATGCCATGGATAAATTAAAAACAAGCTTCCTAATTAAGTGCTTAATCGAATACTCAGCCTCCTGAGGTGTGTACAGAAGAAACGGAAGATGGCTTTTGGCCTCCAGGGGCTTTCATTAAGCATTCCATATTTCATCATTTTCTCCCGCTTCCTTCACTCCCCAAGGCCACGGCCATGTGTGCTGCTTCCAGACTTCTCAGAGGGCCTTATGTATGGTGAGCCCTTAAACAAGCTGTGTGTGGACTAACGCATCATTTCGGATTCTATCATACATATAAAGAGAGCTCGAGGTGCCTGAGGGATTCTTTTAGTGACAAAGCCAGATTATAGCCGGTTAGGTTCAAGCTGTTCTCGTTTTGCTCTCTTCAGCTCATCCTTTCCTCGTGTTTTGCCCAGCTTGCTTCTGCAGACAGTGTGCAGAAAGCTTTAAGGGAAGGTGGCCCGGTGCTGCATCCTCCATTGCCTATAAATCTTACCGGCCACAGCTCTGCCATCGTGCTTCTTCTGCCTCTCAGTCTTCAGCCTGGGATGGGACTCTTGGGGTGGGAGGTGATTGGCTTTTGTCCCCCTCCCACATGGCCCTTCCCTTGACCTATGCACAGTTGGTCTGGGCTGGTCCCACCTTTTGACAAATTCTTGAAGACTGACCTTTCCCCAAGCATACTGTCTGCTCCAAGGTTCCACAGCTGCTTTGCTGTGCATCAACATCATGCTTTAGAGCACTGGGGAATGATGTTTAACTTGCAATCTGCAGCCAGAGAGGCCCCATTTGCTTTGTCAGTGCCCACTCTCACCGCCCTTCCACCATCAAGGCCCAACCAGAAGGCAGGGCATGTGTTCTCTCCTCCCACCTTGCCCTGGACCTGGCATGGTGCTCTTCTCCCAGACAACACTGAGCACGTGTTGAAATGAACATATCACCTGCCTCCAAGCAAAGGCATAGCTGCCACAGTTCAGATACGTCTGCAATGTGTATTTCCTAAAACCATTATTTTCAGCAAAAGAAAATGTCAAGAGGAGGATGTTTAAATCCTTGTCTAAATGTCCAATCCTTAGAGAAACCAGCTTGGATAAGTTGCTACTGTTTCAGTGCTGAATTGTTTTGCAGGATGAGTAATGTTAATCGTGTAACAATAATGATTGATATGCTATCTAAAACAATTTGTATGACACATTTGAATAAAAGTAATTTGAAACAATTCATAGTGGCATTGTTACACTTTCCTTGAGCTCTGCTGTCCTGGAAACCTCATGGTTAAGAAGCCCCCGTCCCCTCCCTTATCTTTTTGTTCCCCAGGAAAAGGCTCACTGCCAAGATCCACCCTTTCCCATGCGACTTACATAAAACTCTGGAATGCCCCTTGTTTATCTGGGATAAGGCCAGGCACAGACCCTCATAAATAATTAGCTGGACTTTGTCCCCACTCCTCAATCTGGACAAAACATTCAGTAACTTGACTTGCCCAACCGTACTCAGGATTCTGTCCCACCGCCAGATGCAGACCCATCCTTTCTCATGTCCACTGAGAATGTTTTCTGCTCAACCGTGGGGTCACGACACCGGCTCACTCCTCTTACCATACCCTGTTCTTTATAGCTGTGCCTACCCCTCCCTATGAAAGAGAATCCCTTTCTTTCTGGCCTTTGGGACGCTTGCAGGTCTGATGGTCAAAGCCTCCCCCATGCAGCAGTCCTTCCCCCAATGGCAATGTTCCTTTTGGATACAGTCTCTCCTTGCCTAAGTCTGGGTTTGGTTTTAATTTGACAATAGGAATCTTCTATGTGTGTAAGGGATGTGTTTCTCAGAGATCTCCATTTTGAAGTGTCCAGTTGGTGAAGTCGTAGTTATATTTTCATGATCTAAGACAGAGACATTTTGTCTTGGTGAGGGTTAGAGGCCTCCGCCGTAAGCAGGCCTGAGATAAGAGCTGTGCTGTACACAAGGATGTGCTGGAAAGCCTTGCTGCTCACTCACCCTGCTGTTATCCACAGCTCTGGAAATGCTGCTGAGCCTTCAGCTTCCTCTACTCTACTTACTGTTATCAAACTCAGCAAGGGGCCTCCAAGCTTCTTGCAGGTCTGCTCCTCGGGGAGTTAGGTGGGATGGATGAGGAGGAATAGGACTCATTTCAGGAGGCTGGAGACTCGTGAGACAAGCATGGGAGCTTCTCTCAGATCTGCTGACTGTGTAGGGACAGAGACAGAGCAGGGTGCACCTTGGGCTCGGCCGACCCAGCCTGTGCCTATGCCCAGCTCTGCTGGTACACGGGGAGCAGAGATCACTGCTTCTTCAGGCAGGATCTGAATTAATCTGCTGATTCCAGTCATCAGGATCAATATTTAATAAGCACTTGTTCACCTGCTTGTCCTCCCCATGAGGTCCTTAGAAATCAAGGACCATGTGTAACTCAACTCTGCATTTCCAGCACATGGCAAAATGCCCATACATACTTGCACTGCATGTACTTTTGTTGACTAAATTGATGAATTAGGTTAAGTCACCCTTCACCTCTCCTTCTTCTTCTCTCCTAGTGGAGAGATGACCAGATGCACGAGTGGACCCAGGAAGGCTTTGATGTCCTTCCCTGACCCTCCCAGGGGCGATGGTCAGGGCTGCAGCCTGTGGCTCCCGGGTTGTGTCTGAATTGGGAGGACGGGCACGGGGGCTGGCCTCTGGTAAAAAATGTAGGGGACCTTTTGATCTTTTTCTGTCCCTCCACAGCCAAGAACACTCAAGCTGGCCCTGCTGGAAATAGGGAGTCACACCCAAGCACAGGGCTGGTCACAGATCTCAGAAATGCCAACCTTATTGGCCTTTTATTCTAAACAACATTTCTGAAAGCAGCATATGGGCACAGCACACTGTGCTGTAAGTCACGTCTATGGAAGCAGATGTAAATAGCAAGGCCATTTATCAACAGAACAGTTTCTCAAGACAGGAAAGTGGAAGACAACATCCAATTTGTTTTATTACTCAATCACAAAAAATAACCAGTGTATAGTCAAACATGTACCTTAAACAGTAGTGTGCTGAGGGAAATGGCCTGAAATGCAAATCTCACCTGTACCTC
Organism: Homo sapiens; assembly: GCF_000001405.40. Taxonomy (NCBI): domain Eukaryota; kingdom Metazoa; phylum Chordata; class Mammalia; order Primates; family Hominidae; genus Homo; species Homo sapiens. The sequence continues at coordinate 27,739,944 of NC_000015.10, read as the reverse complement.
TGCACCCCTGAGTCACGTCCTCTGCTGACAGTGATCTCTGAGACATTTGCCAACTCTTTGGGAGAAGATGGCTTCTGTAGTTGAGGTAAAAGAGCTCTTCATGGGTGCATGGAGGGAGATGAGGAAGATATGGGATTTATGCCTGAGGTAGATCCGGTTGGAGGTAAGAGAATTCATGTGCTTAGAAATCATTAATATTGGCCAGGCGCTGTGGCTCACACCTGTAATCCCAGCATTTTGGGAGGCCAAGGCGGGTGGATCAGCTGAGGTCAGGAGTTCAAGACCTGCCTGGCCAATGTGGTGAAACCCCGTCTCTACTAAAAATACAAAAATTAGCCAGGCATGGTGGTGGGCGCCTGTAGTTCCAGCTACTCGGGAGGCTGAGGCAGGAGAATCACTTGAACCCGGGAGGTGGAGGTTGCAGAGAGCAGAGATCATGCCACTGCACTCCAGCCTGGGTGACAGAGTGAGACTCTGTCTCAAAAAAAAAAAAAAAAAAAAAAAGAAAGAAATTATTAATATTATCATTGGTAAGTGTAATGATCAGCAGGCAGTCATGTCATCACTGCTTCTCCAAGGAACAACTTAAATCTGGAAATAATAGTCAAGCACTGCTATCCCTTATAAAGACAGGGTGACCACGCACCGCAGGATCCTTCCTAGGGGTGGAGTTGACCAAATCATGAGGTAGTCCTCTTTCAGTGTTCTCCTTAAAGGATGCTGCAGCCTGGCAAGGGTCTTTAAGAAATCATTTCCTATTTATTTTTAGGGTTTCCCACTTCTCATTTTTCATCACGAAGGTATCTGGAACTAAAGAAAACTCAAGTAGTTCATGTTGACAGGAAAAGGCAAAAGAGGCTCCATGTGCTAGAAGACGCTGGCGACCTCACTCTGCCCTGGTTCCGCCACTGAGTCAACCTCAGACACACTGGTCTCTGTGCCTCAGGGTCCCACCTGTAGAGCAGAGGCATTGGACAAGGGGATGCTGGACTCTTCTTCTAGACTGTCGATATTAAGTTAGATGCTTAACCTTGATGCCTTCATATTTTTAAATAAACATTTGTGTAGATGTACAACACACATAAAGGAAATTATAAATATTTCCCTAGTGAATTTTCACAAAACTCTTACAACCTAGAAACCCATTCCCTGTATGCTTTCTGGAAATACGGATTTTTAGCTCCGTAGGTTAGTTGCGTTTGGCGTAGAGCCTTTTTTTTTTCTGAGACCGAGTCTCGCTGGAGTGCGGTGGCGCGATCTCGGCTCACTGCAAGCTCTGCCTCCCGGATTCAAGCCATTCTCCAGCCTCAGCCTCCCGAGTAGCTGGGACTACAGGCGCCCACCACCATGCCCGGCTAATTTTTTGTATGTTTAGTAGAGACGGGGTTTCACCGTGTTAGCCAGGATGGTCTCGATCTCCTGACCTCGTGATCTGCCCGCCTCGGCCTCCCAAAATGCTGGGATTACAGGCATGAGCCACCGCGCCCGGCCCGGCGTTGAGCTTCTTATAAGTGGAAGCGCATCGTGTGATTTTGCTGTGTGTCAGTCTTGTTTTGCCCCACACGATATTTATGACACTCATCGGTGGTCTTGGCACGTAGCAGAGTTTGCTCATTTTGATCCTTCAGGTATTCCATTGTGTGAATGTGCCGCAGTTTATTTACCATCTGTGGTTGGTTGGTATTTGGGCTGTTTTTTGTTTCTAGGTCTTATTAATAATTGTGCTAGGAACATTCTTGTGCATAGTTTTTGCTTTGTTTGGTTTTTGGTGTATTTCTGGTTGCTATATATCTAGGAATGAAATTTCTCTGCCCTAGAGTGAGCAAAGGTTCAAGATTAGTACATAGTTTTCTAAAGAGATTATGTTACTTTATACTCCCACCAGTAGAATATTAGATTCCATGTGCTCCCTGTCCTCAGTAGTAGGTGGTGGTGTCAGCATTTTGTTATTAGGCATTCTGGCGGGTGTGTAACAGCACTTCAAGACAGTTTCGATGTGCATTTTTCTGATGACTGATGATGTTGAGCATAGCCTCTTTTGTAAAGTGTCTGCCCACACCTTTTGTCCATTCTCCTATGACGTTGTCTGACCTTTGGCTAATTTGTGGGAGTTCTTTCACTACTCTGGATCAATGACTGCCTTGTTACTCTTTTAATGGCATATTTGATCGCAACAAAAGTTGTTAATTTTAAGGCAGTCCAATTTATGAATCTTTCTTCTTATGATTAGTGCTTTTTGTGTCCTAAGTAAGGAATATTTGCTCACCTCCCAAAACATGGTAATTTCCCATTAGCTCTTGTAGAAATTCTACTGTTTGCCTTTTATGTTTAGCTCCACAATCCAGCTAGTCTTATTATTTTTACGTATGGTGTGAGTAGGAGTCAAGATAGCATTTTTTTGGTATGGATATTCAGTTGACTTTTCATTTAAAAGACTATCTCTTCTCTTTCTGGTCTAGAACAGACTATTCTGTTCTATTGACATATTTTGCTATCCTCAAACCGACACTCCCTGTTTTAATAACTGCAGTTTTATGATGTGTCCAGATATGCTGAGGTGTAAGCCTTCCAACTTTGTCCTTCATTCTCAAGATTGTACTATTTGCCTTTTTCATTTTCATAAATAAATATATTTTGAATGTTTCTTATGAATTTCTATAAACCTACCTGCTATGATTTTGATTACAATTGCATTGAATCTACAAATAAATTTGAGAAGAATCATACTCATGAGCTTTTATTTAGGCTTTAAGTTCTCTGAAGAATGATTTGTAGAAGTTCTGTGGGGAGGCCATGCATATTTTTCACTAGATTTATTCCTAATAACTTGATGTTCTTTGAGGCTATTGTAAATGGTATCCTTTAAAAAGTTTCTTTTCTAATTTATTATTGCTGACATAAACAAAGGTAATTGATTTTTTTGTATGTGTTGGCCCTCTGTCTACAAACTAACTTTGCTAAATTTAATTAATAATTCCCACAGTATGTCTGAATGAACTCTTGTATTTTCCACAGAAGTATGTCATAATAAATAATGGCATTTTAAGTTTCTTTTTTTCCAGTCTATTCTCTTATCCCATTTCTCAAATTATTGCACTGGTCAGGACTAGACATTTCTATATCATGCCCAAATTCATAGTGAAAGCTTTCAACATTTCATAGTTCAATATGATGTTGGCTGTGAATTGCTGTGTATTTAACAGGTAAGAAACTTCCTTCTGGGGAGGATTTTACAGGAGGTGGGAACTTGACTCTGTTTTCTGTGACAACACTTGAGGCCATTATTTCTTTGCTTCAACCAGATTTATTTGTAAACATACTAATGGGATTTGCTAATTGGAAGATAACCAGGGGCATTTAGGGGTTGTTATGTAATAAGTCCTTTTATAAGAATGCTTTTAGCAGGATAGACCTGGTTTTTATTTTTCTAGCCCCAAGAGACTACTGAAAACTCCATGTAGCTTCCTGGCTTCTCAGCTACTCCATTCTGCTCTGTGTCCTGCCTTTCAGATGCCACCTTAGAGTCCACAAATAAACTGAGGAAAAAGTGTCAGGAAGCCCTAGGTGCCTCCCCCTACTCTTGAAATTTGGAATCCTTGAATTCTGGTAATCTGTTTGTTCTCAACAAAAATATTTTGTCCAACTTTTATATTGTTCTCTGGGGATAGTCCATCAGGAATAACTTAATCTGCTATTGCAAGAAGCAGGAGTAAATTCTTCTGAAAATGCACATTTTAGCATATGTAATACACAATTTCAAAATAATAATTTTAATATTTTATGAATATAACATGTACACTTATAGTTATTTTTATTATTTTATTTTTTAATTAGCAGATCTAATTTTATATTTATCATGTACAGTATGATGCTACAAACTATATGTACATTGTGGATTGACTAAACCTCACTAATTACCATATGTATTACCTTACATAGTTATCATTTATGTGGTGAGAACACCCAATGTCCATTCTTTTTACCAGTGAGTTTTATACTTTCAGATGTTTTCTTGTTACTCATTAGCATCCTTTTCTTTCAGCTTAAATAACTCCTTTGAGCATTTCTTGAAAGATAGGTCTGGTATTGAACTCCCTCAGCTTTTGTCTGGGAAAGTATCTCACCTCACCTCTATTTCTGAAAGACAGTTTTGCTGTGTACAAGATTCTTGGTTGGCAGGTTTTTTGTTTTGTTTTTTTGTTTTTTTGTTTTGTTTTTTTCCTTCAGTACTTTTAATATAGCATCTTACTGTCTTGGCCTGTAAGGTTTCTGCTGAGAAATCTGCTGCTAGCCATATTGTAACTCCTTTTATTTTATTTGCTTCTTTACTCTTGCTACTTTCAGGATCTTGTCTTTGTTTTGGTTTTTGACAGTTTGATTATAATATGTCCTGGGTTTGTCTTGCTTTGATGGAATCTAATTGGAGATCTTTGACCTTCCTGTATCTAGTTATTTATATCTTTCTCTAGGTTTGAAAAGTTTTCCGCTATTATTTCTTTAAATATCCTTTCTACCTTTTCTCTTCCTCCTTTTTAACTCCTATAACACAAACATTTGCTCTTTTGATGTTGTCCTATAAATTTTGTAAGCTTTCTTCATGTCTTTTCATTCTTCCCTATTTTTTCCCCTCTGACTATATATTTTCAAATGACTTGTCTTCCAGTTTGAAGATTCTTTCTTCTGTTTGGTCAATTCCAACGTTGATGCTCTCTATTGCATTTTTTGTGTCATTCATTGTATTTTTCACCTCCAGGATTTCTGCTTGATTTTTAAAATTATTTCAATCTGACTGTTAAATTTCTCATTCTGGCCACTTAATATTTTCTTCATTTCACTGATTTTTTTTTCTCCTGTATTTTCTTGAAGTTCACAAAGCTTCCTTAGTAGTTAATTTTAATTCTTTGTTAGGTAGTTCATATATCTTCATTTTTTTAGGCTCAGTCATTGGCACTTTATTTTGTCCCTTTGATGATGTCATGTTTCCATGATTGCTCTTCATCCTTGTGGTCATATGTTGATGTTTGTGCATTTCAAGAAGTAGGAGCTTATTTCAGACTTTGCAGACTTACTTTCTCTGGAAAAGCCGTTCAGCAGTCAACCTGTTTAGAGATTTTGAGCTGGTTGTCTGGCATGGTTCTGAAGCCTGGGGCAGCTAGGGCCAATGTGGTGTGGGGGTGGACCTGACTTTTGGTGCCACTGTGGCCAGTGTGGTGCCAGGAGACAATGGAAGCCTAAGGCTGCAATGGCTGTCATGGTGCTGGGGCATGCCCCAAACCCAGGCCTATTATAACCAGCATAATGCTAGGGTGAGCTGGAGGTCGAGCCTGCCTCACAGCCCTGAAGCCCCACACCTGGACAGGTCTGGAAGCTTAGTTTGCTGGTACTAACCTGGAGTCTGGGTCCATGGGGATCTGTCTGGTGCTGAGTTTTAACTATGACAGGCCCAGTGCTGGGGCCTAAGGCAAGGTCCTGTGCTCACTTTCCTCTCATTCCCCCAAGAAGACATTATCTCACTCCATCCTGTGCTGATTGAGGTTGGGAAAGGCATGATGTGGGTAATGTAAAACTGTCCTTCCTACCCTTTTCAATGCATTCTTTCTTATGACTGTGCTACAACCAGGTATCATGATCTCTCATTTTTTTTTTTTTTTTTTTTTTGCTCTTGAAAAGGTATTTTTGTGCATGGATAGTTGTTCAAATTGATGTTTCTGCAATCACTGGAGAGTGATTGCACTATTCTGCCATTCTGCCATTTGGCTCCACTTCTCTCATATAATTTTTTTTTTTTTTTTTGAGACAGAGCCTCACTCTATCTGGAGTGCAGTGGTGTAAGCTTGGCCCACTGCGACCTCTGCCTGCCAGGCTCAAGCAATTCTCCTGCATCAGCCTCCTGAGTAGCTGGGATTACAGTCGTGCACCACTATTCCCAGCTAATTTTTGTATTTTTAGTAGAGACGGGGTTTCACCATGTTGGCCAGGCTGGTCTTGAACTCCTGACCTCATGGTACTCCCACCATGGCCTCTCAAAGTGCTGGGATTACAGGTGTGAGCCACTGTACCTGGCTTCTCATATAATTTTAATAATATACTTTAATATGTAATATTTTAAATGATATTTTAATAAGTTAATACTTTGAGTGAAGTTAAATGTACATAAAATGTGATGATTTAAAATGGAGACATTCAATTTTATGGCTGTTTTTCATTATTAATAAATAAAAAATTAATTATTAATAAATGTTTAGTGAACACCTACTGCATATCACGCAGCTTTAGATGCTCAGGACACATCAATGAGCAATACAAAGACCCCTGCTTGTATTTTCAGGTGCAGACACAGAGAATCACACACTAACCCTGTCAGTTTATGGGAAATGCTGGGAGGGCCTGGAGTGGTTCTGATGGGCACAGCCAACTGAGATGGAGAACAGCCCTGTTAGGAAGGGTGGGCAACATGAGGCCATGAGGCCATGAGCCAGTTTGGCTGAGGGAAGAGCATGCTGGGCCGTGGGTGGCTGACAGACTGACAGCCTGATGTTCAGGAGGTACCAGTGTGGGCGGGCTGGAGACAGGGGAGTGACAGACCTGGGGCAGAGGCAGACAAGCCTGAAGACCACAGGGGCGGTGAAATGTGGGCAGTCTGCTGGTTTCTATTACAGGAAGGATGGGACCTTACTTACATTTTCAAAGGAAAAAAATATTCTATCTGAAAGAAGATATGAACTTTAAAAAATCCGAACATCTGAATGTAACCATATCTCATGTCTCTTGAAAGTCTAGATGAACCAAACAAAATTGAGGTATTTTGATGATATTTCAACCAAATTGGATCAGTTCAAAAGAATGCAGGCATTCGTGACCAGCCTTTCATGAGAGACGAGTGCTAATGGATTTGGGGGTCACAAGAGTTCTGCCTCTGAGGGTGCTTTTTCTTTCTTGTTTTTGCTTTTCGTTACAAAGTTGTAATTATCCTTTGCCGCAATTTTCTGTAATGGACAGATGAAGAAGGATGTAAATGGTCAGTGTGAGAATATAAATGGCAATCAAATTGAGTTCTTCCTGTTGGGCAAAACCAAAGCAATAAATATTTCCTTATACCCTATTTTTGTAAGTTATTATCTCCAAAAGTCATGAATGGGCTTTTAGTTTACTAAAACATCTGAGGGAGGAGAAATGCCTGTTTACATGGTGTACCCAGGAGGGGCCCACAGAAGACTTGTGCTAGTGAGCAGAGTGCTATCCTATCACAGGGCCACCTTGGAGATGTCTGCTGGGAACCAGTGTCACAAGGGAGAACCCAGCCTGCACAGCAATACAGCAGCAAGGACAGACACCTTGAGGGGCTTGCACACCCACACATGCCCTCTCTCCACCCTCCACACTCTGCTGCCATTCCCTTGAATGCAGGGGACTCTAGTCTCTCTTCTTAGTTTTCAGCTGTGAAGTCTTCTGCTGGCAGCCCCTACCATCCTGGTTACCTACCTGGGTCTTCCATCGTGGCTTTGCGAGCACTGTGCCTGCTGTGGTGGGCTGGACCCCACGGGCCACCTTAGATGGTGCCTTCTCAACAGAGGGGCTCTCTTCCATGTCTCCGGGCCCTCCAGGTCTGGTGTACAACAGGTGCTGAAGATAGAAACCAACCATACACCATTAGTGTGTTTTTGGTCCTTCTTCCTCCACTTTGAGAAGGGAAGATCCCCAGCCCTGGCTATTTTCACAATTTTCATGCATGATGGAATTCATTGTTCTCAAATTCAGGTTCATATTCATTGTTTTCAAGTATAAATTTTGGAGGAAGCTCTTTCACTCTGAAATGAAAAGTGAATACTGTGTATGGCTGATTGGCACTTGAAATAAAACCATCTCTTGCCAGCAAGCCTGTGTCTCATTAGCAGACCTACTCACTCTACTTCAAGGGCAGCTGTCAAGAGATCCTGTCAGACCCTGGGCTGTGGATACAATACTCCAGGGGTCTCGCCTGAAAGCTGAGCCAAAAGTGATTAAGCCTCTTGGCAGTACTGGAATGGGTTCCACATTTTTGCTTATTGATGGCTTAAATATATGAATGAATATAGGAACCCACACTGGGGATGCTGGTATGTTAAACAGTGTTAACATATGCATCATCTTTAAATATGCCCTCAGAATTCTCTGCATCTATTTAAAGGAGATTCCTTTTTTCTCTCCTGTGAACACACGGCACCTGATGCCTAAACCCTGCCTCATTCTCAGAACTGACTGAAGCCCATTCAGCTGAGGTAATTTAAGTACACCCCCAGGGTCACTGATGGAGCAGGTACAAGAGAGTGAAGAATGAAAGTATAATGTTTCTGTAACTCTTCATACCTCATTAAATCAAAGAAAGATGTAGTTCACCATTTCTATCTACAAATAGCTTAACATTAACATCACAATGTATTCATTTCCTTTGAATTCTTTTTCTCCTTTTACATCCAGGCTGAGGCCAAATCCCACATATGAGAAATCTCTACAACTGCCACAAAACAAAATACCATCAACATTTCATTCTCCAAAAGAGATATGTAATTTGAAATATATATATATGTCACAGCTAAAATGGCTGTTCTTGCTTAATAGTATTTTTATACAGGTAATTTTCTCACTGAGAACTAATAAGTACTATAAATTCGAGATCCATTATAATTTTATGACAAAGTATATGAGTTTTATAAGATAACCTTTGAAGACTTTGCATGCAAAGCCATCATTGCTTTTTGAATTTTAAGAGAATGTTATAATCAAGTGCAAAATTGAATGAAAGTGAATATGCCTGTGCAAGCTGTTTGAAGGTAACTTACAGCCAGTGTACTAACAGCCTGTGACACAGGGTTAAGTCATAGGAACTGAGAATGCCATTCTGCTTACTATGTGGCTACATTTAGGATGACTTTGGCTGCAAGTAATAGAAAACTTAACTTTGATGGATTTCAGAAATAAAAAAAATTTTTAACTCACTTAGGGAAAATGCTGAGAAAACACAGGCTTTAGAATTAGTTGATCCATGCATAGCTGAAAAACAGTCTAAAACTCACTCTGTTGCTCATCCTGTGTGTCAGTATTCTGCTGCGTTTAGGCTTGGATTGTTTTTGGTGTTGCCCATCAGTTCAGTTCTCAAAGCTCCTGTGATATAATTTGAAAAAAAAACATATATATATATATATATATATATATATATATATATATATATATATTTGGTCTTTTTCTCTGGTTCCTGGCATATAGCTCCTAAAACTCTTGTAATCTGGAGAGTGTTAACAGTGTTTTTTGCATGCTAATGAGGCAAATGGTGACGGAGACCCTAGATAGCTGTAGGATGGAGGCTGGCTGCCAGCAACACCAAGGCGTGATTAGAGGGTTGGAGCTTTTAGTCCAGCCCCCAACCTTGGGAATGGGGAGGGGTGGGAGATTGAGCCAATTACCAATGGCCAGTGATTTAATCAATTATGCCTACCCAGTGAAACCTCCATAAAACCCTTAAACAACGGGGTTTGCAGACCTTCCAGTTGGTATGCACATTGGCACACCTGCCGAGGCCAGGGAAGTTCTGTGTACCCTCCTTTCCCAGTGTCTTGAACTATGCATCTCTTCCAACCTGCAGAGGCCAGGGAAGCTCGGTGCACCCCTCCTTCCCCCAGGACCTTACACTATGCATCCCTTCCATTTGGCTGTTCCTGACTTGTATCCTCTATAATTAACTGGCAATGACATATAAAGTGTTTTCCTGATTCTGTAAGTCAGTCTAGCAAATTATCAAACCAGAGGAGGAGCTGTGTGAGCCCCCAGTTTTTAGTAGATTGATTAGAAGCATAGGAGGACCAGGACTTGAGACTGGTATCTGAAGTTGGGGTGGTCTTGAGGGACTGAGTCCTTAACCTGTGAGGTCTGCATTAACTCCAGGTAGTTAGTGTTGGAATTGATTGAATTGTTGGACACCTAGTTGTTGTCAGAGAGTTAAATAATTTGTTGGTGTTGGAAAAAGAAACAACCCACATTTTTGGTGCCAGAAATGTCACGAGTACACTAGAGTAGAAACACAGTAGAACCCCAATGTCATCTATTTTTTAAGATGTCCTTTAATAGAAGTGTAAATTATGAAACACTAAATGGCTACACTCCAGTTTATAGCTCAGTGAAGTTTTACATTTGTCCATGGTGGTAGGCAGAATAATGCCCCAACAAAGAGGTCCACAATTTAATAACAACCATGAGTCCTTAAACGCACAGAAGCTAGAGGATTTTTTCCCGCCATAGGCAGAGAAAGTGGCAGCATGAGAAGGCTGTGATGCTCCAGTTGCTGGTTCTGAGAAGTAGGGAGACCCTGTTGTTGAGTTCTGCCAGCAATTCAAACAGGAAGGAAAGCCATCCTCCTTACAGCCTCCAGAAAGAAATACAGCCTCCCAACACCTTGATTTGAGCCTGGTAGTGTAACGAATTGTGGCAATTCCTTATAGTAACAATAGAAGGCTAATACATATTTTTGGAACCGGGAAGTGAGATTTGCTGTAATAAACATCTAAAAATATGCAAGTGGCTTTGAAATTGGAAATAGGGAGAGACTGGAAGAATTTTGAGATGACAAAAAGTCTCAATTGCCTTGAGCAGACTATTAGTCAAAAAAAAAAAAAAAAAAAAAATAGATGATAATGACATTGCCCATGAGGAAACAGAAGAAAGTGAGGGATACAATAGACAAACCTAGGTCAGGCTTAGAGAACATTTAAGTTGCCGTGAACAGATTGTTGGTAGAAATAATGGACATTAAAAACACTGCTGGTGAGGATGCAGAAGAAATTAGGGAATGTGGTATTGGATATGGAGGAAAAGGGGGCCAATAGCAGAAAGCTTACAGGTCTTGCAGGCGTGGAAAGCAGAACCTGTAAGTGATTTCCAAGCCAAGCGTTGAAAGTGCAGTCTGGCTTCTTCTTGCAGAGTGGAAGAGAGAAAAGTTACATTGAGGGAAGAACCATTAAATAAAAAGAAACCAGGACTTGATCGTTTGAAAAACTCTCAGTCCTTCCAGGTTGTAAACGACACTAAAATTGAGAGATTTATTGTCAGAAAAGCATGTTCTAGAGAAAAGGCTGACGGTATGGCTCTACACTTTCTGGAAATATCTTAGGAAGACCAAAAGGTCAGAGTATTCTGTCACACAAAAGGCTCTTTGACGGGGTAAAGAAAGGGACTCACAAATGTCCTGGAACCAGAGAGCCTCTTCCTCTTTCTAACAATGCCCTTAGGAAGCTCAAGGGCATTGTTCCTCAGCCATCTCCGCAAAGGAAAAGTAGAGATGGGATTACCTGGAAAGATCTGTGGGCAAGCCTCTTGTCTAATGAGTGAATCCCCATGATGTACGTGTGTGATCCACGAGGTTCCTGAGAATTTCATATCAGCAGGAACAGTGCCAGCTTGCGCCGAAAGGGATGGAAAGAGCAAAAATGAAAGAAGGCTGATGGACCCCCAAAATTCTACTGGCAGGAAACAGGCTGATAAAACGACTCAGCTCTGCAGCTCATTTAGAAAAAAAAAAGGGGGTAAGATGATTTAGAGGGTAGAGCTGAGAGCTACAGAGGATTTTTTTTTCTTGCCTCAAAACCTAATGGAGTTTTCCCTTCTTGATTTCAAAACTGCTTGAGACCAGTCTTTCCTTCTGTTTCTGAAAGGAAATGTCTACGACTGTCCCACCATTGTATTTTGGAAACAAAACACTTGTTTCTTTGGATTCACAGCTTCACAGATGAAGGGGAATTTTGCTCCAGGATGGATTATTGTCAGAGTCCTACCCTTGCCTGATTTAGATGATATTTTGGGCTTTTAAACTGGTGAGATTTAATGAGATAATGGACTTGGAGTTGCTATGATGAATTGAGATTTTTGGAGACCTTAAGAGGAGGTGAATGCCTTTGGCGTGTGTGAGAGACATACACCTTTGGAAGCCAGACTGCAGGCTGGCATAGCTTCATCCCCAAAGATGTCCATGTCCTCGTGCCAGGGCCTGTGAATACGTTGTCTTAAACAGCAAAGGAGACTTTGCAGATGTGTTTAAAGTAAGGATATTGAATTGGGGAGGACACTCTCCGTTTGGGTGTGGGTCTCATTGGTGTCATCCGGTTCTACTCCTACTGGAGCCCCACTACCTCTCCCCTGTGGTGGTGCCTGCAGGACACTGCCCTGGTGTGGCCTTCATGGCAGGCCATGATCGTTTAGAATACTCACTTCACTGTCTGCAGATGAATTCATTTCTTGGTGTTGTCTTTTAGTCAAGCTGTTAGCCTGAGTGCTGGATGATTTTACGTGCCTTCATTGTCCTTCTGAGTATTTTTGGGAAGATGTAAGGATATATTCTAACTTAATGAGCTGAGCCGATGTTACCTTGTAGGACCTGCATCTGGGTGCTGTTTTTAAGCCTAAAATCTCCGTGCTTTACACTCCTGCCCCTGCACCTTCGGTGTTCTCTTCCCACTCCATGGCAATCCCTTTGATGAGAGGGTAACATCTGTGATCACATCTCTGAAGCTGGCCTCATTCTCACTGGTTGGAATCACAGTTTTTTTCCAGGTTAAAGTTACCACTTCTGTAACAGCTTTAGTGTGAGTGACAAAAGCAGTAACTGTTGCTGCCCTGTGAGGCCCTAAATTCCTAGACTCTCAGTTGATGTACAGGCAGCTGTAGGGAGGCTCTCATCCTCAAGGAGACTGTACCACTCCCTGCTCTGCTCCAGCCTGAGCTCAATTCTCTCTTCAGACTTTGCAGAGCGGAGAGGTGTAGCTGAGACACCACCACATGCCTCATTTTCCCATCCTTTTCCCTAGAGTTAGAAGCTTTGTTGCACATGGTGCGCCTTCTAACATCTCATGCCTGTGAGCTTTGCCCTAATGATTTGCCACAACATAACTCGCATCACAAGCTTTCCAGCTTGCAAATGCCTGTGTCTTTGCTACTTGCCTTTAGACTGCCGAGCTGATGCTGCAGGGTTTAGCTTCTGCCATGTGCAGCGCTCTGCTTTCAGGAGGCGCACTCTTCACTGTTTAAGATTCAGGTTCCCCTGCATGTAATGGAGATCCATCTCAACAGTGGCTGAGAGAGACGAAGAACATTTCTTCTTCATGCAATTTTCTGGAAGCAGACGGCCAAGTGCTGGATTCACCTTCTTCTTTTTATTTTATTTTATTTTATTATACTTTAAGTTCTAGGGTACATGTGCACAACGTGCAGGTTTGTTACATATGCCCTGTCCCATTCCTCCAGCTTTTGCTCTGGTCTCTCCTCTTCAGGATGTCCCTAGCAGGACAGAAGTAGCACAAATCACTTCCCTTCCACTCCGCTGTCCCAACCCCATCACACATCCATGTCTGGCCACAGGAGAGCTGGAGAAGATTCTCTCTATCTCCAGGCCCATGTGCTGAGCGAAGCATTGTGGTTCCATTACAGTACAACCGGAGTCAGGAAATTGCAGTCTAATCCGGCTGCTGCCTCTTTCTTTGTATTGAGAAGACTGTTTTCATGCAGTTTTAAACCATTTCTTTTTTAACAAGAGGAAGATGTGACAAAGACAGCATTGGGCCCATAAAGTCTAAACTATTTTTATTTATTTATTTATTTATTTATTTATTTATTTATTTATTTTTTGAGCTGGAGTCTCGCTCTGTCGCCCAGGCTAGAGTGTAGTGGCATGATCTTGGCTCACTGCAACCTCTGCCTCTCAGATTAGAGCGATTCTCCTGCCTCAGCCTCCCGAGTAGCTGGGACTACAGGCGTGTGCCACCACGCCCAGCTATTTTTTTGTATTTTTGGTATAGACAGGGTTTCACCATGTTGGCCAGGCTGGTCTCAATCTCCTGCCCTCAGGTGATCCACCCGCCTTAGGCTCCCAAAGTGCTGGGATTACAGGCATGAGCCACTGTGCCCAGCCAACTATTTATTATCTGGTAGTTATGATCTAGTATCTTATTACAGCAAGAGTTTGCAGACGCCAGCTCTAGAGAGGGCACAGCTGACAGATGCTGGCAGCTTCTGCCAATGTGTGCATTCCACGCACCCAGCTTAACCAGAAGGCTGCATGAACTTTTTTTGAGAACTCAACCCACTCTTTTTAAGAAAGCAAGGAAAAAAGCTGACCCTCTTCAAATAAAAGACAAACAGTGCCTACCCTCTCCTGGCCCCAAAACCTAAGAGAAGGAAGACCCTGCAGGCAGAAGCTCCAGACACCCTGGAGGGAGAGCTCCATTGTTCTCTCTTCCCAAGTGAAAAGTAAGGGCCTTTAAAGAAGCTTCAGAACCTCCCTGATCTGTCCTATTTGTACTTTGCTCCCGTGTTGAGAAACGTAGGTTTTTTTGTTTGTTTTGTTTGTTTTTGTTTGTCACGGAGTCTCACTCTTGTTGCCCAGGCTGGAGTGCAGTGGCACAACCTTGGCCCACTACAACCTCCACCTCCTGGGTTCAAGCAATTCTCCTGCCTCAGCCTCCTGAGTAGCTGGGATTATAGGCACCCACCATCATGCTCAGCTAATTTTTGTAGAGAGGGGGTTTCACCATGTTGGCCAGGCTGATCTTGAACTCCTGACCTCAGGTGATCCACCCACCTTGGCCTCCCAAAGTGCTGGGATTATAGGCGTGAGCCACCATGCCCGGTCAAGGAAGGTAGGTCTTGGCCTACAGTCTATGTCCTGCAGTGATGCCAAATGCCCATGTTGGCGTGTGGTCCAGTAAAGCAATAGACAGGCACTAGTAAAAGTTTAGCTGTTGGCTCCTGTATGTGTGGCCCTTCGAGGAATCACCTTCCGCGGTGCTCCTCTGTCTCCCACTGCCCACTCTGCGGTTGAGCACTTACCTCTGGTGCCTGGTATTTGGACTGTTCTCCCTTTCCTGATCCCTGATCTTGCACTTCAACTCTGCTTCAGAGCAGAGTTGAATTGGCTGAAAGCAAGAGCATAAGTCACTGCTACTTACCTCAACCAAGAGAACATATGACTTTTTCACAGAACTCTAGGCAGAGACATCCTGGATTTGAGGACCACTTCTTTCACTAGTCACTCCTGGATAACACTGAGTTCCTGATTGACTTTATCCAAGCGGCAGTTTTCTCATATGTAAATTGGGGTAAAAAAAAAAAAGCGTCTCTCACAGAATTGTGCTTTTTCTTGGGAGGCAGGAAAGAATCAGGTATGTAATATTTCTAAACAATAAACAAGCAAAAAGTTTTCTCTTCCTTGCAGTCACTGTAAGACTAGGGCCCTAAAGCAGTCAGGGTTCCGGACTCTGATGGAGGTTTCTAGAAGCACAGGGCAGCTGGGAGGGTACTGTGCAGTAATACTGCCAGCAACATTCGCATGAAGCCCCTGGGGTCAGGGGCCTGCTGAGGATGAGCTGTGTCCCTTCAAAAAAGAAATGTTGAAGTCCTAACCCCCAGGACCTCACAAAGGGACAGTATTTGGAGATAGGGTCTTAAAAGGGGCAATCAGTTAAAATGAAGTCATTAGAGTGGCCCTGCATCCAACAGGACTGGGTCCTTATACCAAGGGGAAGTGTGGACACAGAGACCGATGTGCACAGAGGGGTGATGATTAAGGCCACCAGGAGTGCCTCACCTACAAGCCAGGGGCAAAAGGGAGAGGCCCGGGGCTAACTCTCCCTCACAGCCCGGGTAGGAACCACCTCTGCCGACACCCTGATCTCAGCCTTCCAGCCTCCAGAATTGTGAGACAATAAAAGTCGGCTGTATGACTCCCCCAGTCTGCAGTATCTTGTTACAGCAGCCCTGGCAGACAGACACCTGCACATTTAAAACATGACCCATGCTGAGGCAGATAGAGCCCTCTAGAAAGCCTTTGGCCACCTCTGCCTGTGATTCCAGCTGCAATATCCCCAGAGATCATCCAAGTCACGTGGTTCATGATGCCTAGTTACAGCAGCCCCAGGAAATGAACACAGGGTCCCACTGGGACATAGGAGCTGACGGCAGGGCTGCTGGGAAGAGGCAAGCGTTGAAGAGGAGGCATTGTGAGGAGGAGGTTGTGCACGCAGAAGGGAGCTGTGTGAGGCTGTGTCCTGGTTTTGGTTATAAACATGCAATTTCCCATATTCTGCACCTGAGATGTCCCTTCTAGACCAAGGCTTTCAGAATTTACTGTGAACAAGCACCTCAAGATTCTATTGCATCCAAAATGTTGACAAGACTGGACTCAGGTTTAGTCGCTGTGACAGGATTTCTGGACTAATGAGGGAGGGGACTATCTACTCACCAAGGATGGGCGGAGGCAAAGAGGAAAATGTGAATGAGAGATTGAAGCCGCCCAGGAAGTCAGCTACGCCCCTCTTGCTCCTCCCTGGGTGCCCATCTCTGACCTGCCCCCAGGTCGGTTCTTCACACTGATTCCCTCTTCTCTGCCTTCTTGGTGGTGGTGGGGGTGCCCTTCTGTCTCTCGGTCAGGTCAGAGTGATGTGGCCTCTCCTGCACTCCTGGGCAGGTTTAGCATCTGTGAGGATGTGGTTTGTGGGGCACTGATTATGATTTCTAAGAGGACGAAAGGAGACCTTGGACTCACACAGCAGTGCTCATAGCACGTGTGTTTGTGCGTGCACACGTCATTTGTTAGCCATTTATTAAATAAATATTAATTGCACTCCTACTATGCTCCAGGCATTATTCTACGCAAGGTGGAAACAATAGGGAAAAAAAAGTTCCTGCTCTTTGAAGTGGGGGGGCAGAGGAGGATAGACCATTATAAAAACACATGTAGGCATAATATTTTAGGTGCTCATAAGGGCTGTGAAATATAAAACAGGGGCCAGGCGCGGTGGCTTATGCTTGTAATCCCAACACTTTGGGAGGGTGAGGCGGGCGGATCACCTGAGGTCAGTAGTTTGAGACCAGCCTGGCCAACATGGTGAAACCCCATCTCTACTAAAAATACAAAAAATTAGCCAGGCATGGTGGTGCATGCCTGTAGTCCCAGCTACTCGGGAGGCTGAGGCAGGAGAATCGCTTGAGTCAGGCAAGTGGAGGTTGCAAAGAGTCAAGATCACGCCACTGGACTCCAGCCTGGGCAACAGAGAGAGACTCAGCCAAAGAAAGAAAGAAAGAGAGAAAGAGAGAAAGAGAGAGAGAGAGAGAAAGAGAGAGAGAAAGAGAGAGAGAGAGAGAGAGAAAGAAAGAAAAGAAAGAAAGGAAGGAAAGAAGAAGAAAGAAGAAAGAAAGAAAGAAGAAAGAGAGAAAGAAAGGAAGGAAGAGAAAGAGAGAGAAAGAAAGAAAGAAAAGAAAGGAAAGAAAGAGAGAAAAGAAGGAAGGAAGGAAAGGAAGGAAGGGAGGAAGGAAGGGAAAGAAGGAAAGAAATATAAAACAGGTTAAGGAGATAAAAGGTGATAGAGAGGGAGTGGGGACATCACAGTTAGGATCCTGTGGGTTTCCCATAAATACTAAAAGAAATGTAAGCAAGTATTAGATGGCCACTGCTACACTGAACCAGATTGCCCATACCTGCCTTGGGTGCAGGAGAGAGGCACACAGCCACAAGGCTGCCAGGTGTGCAGAAGGAAAAGGCGATCTGGCATTTTGGTAACCTCCACTCAGTCATGAAAACCTTGGCACGTGATCTCTGACTGAGCAGTTCAAATCCAAGAACTGATACTGAGAAAATGCCCCCGGATATTTGCAAAGACTGATGTGCTAGGGTATTCACAGTCTCTTTATTTACCACAGAAAAATAGAATACACGACCCGGTCTAAGCGTAGAGGCCAGTACGGCGGATACAGCAGATGCTTTCACTGAACGGCACACATTCTTGCATCCCTACTGAGTTTCAGTAACTACTTGATTCATGGAATTAAATACTCCACAATTATGCTGAATAAGTTCATTTAATGACATGGGCAAATGTCCACGCAGCATTAAGTTGAAAGGGCTGGTGAAATTATTATAGCACAGATCTTGCAATAGATACAAATGTGTCTCCATCAATTTTAGAAGAAATATCAGTTGCAGAGACACAGAGGTCATCTCTTGGATTTTTAAAAAGTGGGTGTGTAGATAGAAGGATATTTTCTTCTTGTCACTTTTTCCCCCACCATATTTTCTCTAAAGAACACATTACCTTTTTGATGAAAATATAAAAACAAAAAAGATTCTATGGCTTTAAACAAGAGAGTAAGAATTTTATAAATAAATAAAATTTTTGTCATTTCCACTTACAGATCTGTGTAAATTACAAAAGAATACCACACAAACATAAACCATGTTTGTTTGGGACTAATGCAACTTGAATTTATAGTTGAGGAATGTGATAATTGTCCTTTGAAAATACTGATTATACTTTAATTTCTATCCAGTTTTCACAAATCACTTTATTACGTGAAGGTAGTAAAGGAGTAGTATTTAACTTTCATTACAGTGAAGTGCAGCTGTTGATGATTAAAAAGCAAAACAATTTTCTTCTATGATATAATTCTATTTTTAATGTTACTCATTAAAATAATATTGTTCACTTTTCCTCCTGAGTTTTCTGTAGTGTCACGTATAATGTGATGTATTAAAAGTGCAAATTACATAATTTTCTTGTGGAGGGGTGCAGGATCTCACTCTGTCACCCAGGTTGAAATGCAGTGACACAATCATGGCTCACTGCAACCTCTGCCTCCTGGGCTCGAGCAATCCTCTTACCTCAGCCTCCCAAAGTGCTGGGATTACAGGCCTGAGCACCGCACCTGGCTGCAAATTACGTTATTTGTTAATAAATGGATTTGAAATCAGAAAATTCTTTAAAGAAGCGAAATTTAAAACTAAATAAAAACTCTCTGAAGTTCCCAGAATCAACTAACAAAGAGCACAACACAAGTATTTAAAGTATTAAAGCCAGTCAGTAACCATAAAGGTAGCCGCGCAGTGCCAAGTGTCACTAGAATGCATGCCAGCTGCTGAGGACAGCAGGTGAAATGTGGCTTCCAGCTCCGTCCTGCTCATCATGTTCATGAACTCACGCAGGAGCTTCCCAGGGGCTTTGAAGGGACTCAGCCTCAGGATTCGCATGCTCCTTTCTTTGGGAAGTAAATATGGTATGTACAGGTTGCTTGTCAGAGGTGATATGGTGAGTAAGAGTGTACTTCTTTTACAATTCTATTGAGGTACTATTGCTGTATAATAAACTCATGTATGCACAGTATACCATTTGGTCAATTGTGACATGTGTGTACACCTGTGAAATGTCACCATCGTCAAGATAGCAAACAGGTCTGTCAGCCCCCAAAGCTTCCTTGTGTCCTCAGGCAACCAACCACTGGTCTAATTTTGCCACCAGAATTTTATATTAATAAAATGATAAGTATGCATTCATTTTTTGCTCAGCCTAGTGGTTTTGAGATCCATCTATGTTTATATATATGTATATATATAAAAACATACATATGTAGATGAATATATTTATACAGCTTCTTCATAGATGAATCTATACATAAACATATAAAAATGCATATATATATAAACAGATGAATTTCAAAATTACTAGGCTGAGCAAAAAATAAATGCATATATATAACATAATATATAAACATATATATTATATATATATTTCTGTGACGCTTGTTTGTTCTGCCTTATTTCTCCCCCGATTGCTAAGTCCCTCCCTGTCTCCCACCCCTGTTCTTTCTCTCTCCCCTAAGTAGTATTCTAATGAATGGATAGATCACAATTTGCTTATTCATTCACTCTTAATGGACGTTTGGATTTTTATCTTGTTTCAGACTATTACAAAGGAGGATGCGATGGAATGCATATTTGTGTGCACTATGGTTTGAATGTTTGTCCCCCCATCAAGTCATGTTAAAACCTAATCTTCATTGTGGCAATACTTAATACTTTAATTACCTAACTGTGCTTTTTGTTGGTTGATTCTGGGATCCTCAGAGAGTTTAAATTTTGTTAAGATGAAATGCAGAGGGTGGGAAATCTATACCAGTATGTGAGAGGGGAAGGTTTGGGAGAGAATCAGATTAGATGGGGCCATGAAGGTGGGGCATTAGCAGCTTTATAGGAGGAGAAAGAGAGACATGAGTGACATGGTCAGTCCTCTTGTCCTGTGATGCCTCCTGCCACATCATGATGCAGCACAGGGCCCCTCACCAGGAGCTGAGCAGATGGGGCCACCCAATCTTGCACTTCCTATCCTCCAGAACTGTGAGCCAAAATAAACCTCTTATCCTAATAAATTACTCACTTTGTGGTATTAAGTTATAGCAATGCAAAATGGACTAAGACAGTGTGGATATGTTTCCGTTTGAGTAAATACCAAGCAATAGAATGATCAGGCTATGGAAACAGATATAGTGCATGTCTAACTTTTTAAGATATTGCTAAACTGTTTTCAAATTATTGTACATTCCCTGCAGCATATATGTGTGTATGAGTGTGCCTACATGTACGTGCATGTATGTGTGGATATATGTGTTATGCACTGAATTGTGGTCCCCCCCGCAAGTTCGTATGTTGAAACCCTAGCCCCCAGTGGGAAAGCATTTAGGTATCTGGAGCTAGAACCTTTAAAAAGGTAACTGAGGTTAAATGAGGGTTAAGTGTAGAGTCCTAATTAAATACGACTGGTGTCCTTTTAGGAAGAGAGAGAGA
This sequence comes from Homo sapiens, assembly GCF_000001405.40. Taxonomy (NCBI): domain Eukaryota; kingdom Metazoa; phylum Chordata; class Mammalia; order Primates; family Hominidae; genus Homo; species Homo sapiens. Next base: position 27,719,315 of record NC_000015.10, on the reverse strand, counting down.
GAGACCAGGGATGTACTCGCACAGAGAAAAGCCCTATGAGGACGTGGCAAGAAGGACTGCAAGGCAAGGAAGGAAGACCTAGGAGAAACCAACCCTGAAGACATCTTCATCCTGGACTTCCAGCATGTTCAAGATCTCAGACTTGAACTCAGTGTTCTCAAGGACATTCCAGTGGGTGTCTATTGCTTGTCTGCTTGAGCAGTAGTATAGGAATTAGCCCTCTAGTTAAATCCCAACATGCTGTGAACCCTTGCTCATGTCAGAAGTTGGGGCTGGGCCAATACAATACAATGTGAATGACAATACAATACAATGTGAATGCAGTACAATGCAATACAATGTGAATGACACACACTCTTTGGTGAGGGGGATAACCCCATACTCATGCATTTATAATGTGATTGGAAGGGGGAGAATCTCTCCCTTTTGGTCATGTTATTTCCTATAAGGACTGTTAGAAAATACCTATTATGAGGCACTTTCTGTCTAGTGGTCCAGGCATCTTCTGGAATGAGTGATTTTCTTTGCCACCTGCCTATAAGAAGGTGCCCTTCCCACCACCTCTAGTTGGTATCACCTGACCCATGACTGGGGTGTTGGGCAGAGACAAGGGGTGGGAGCAGTGAGGAGTGAATCTGCAGATAGAATGATTTTCTTCCAGGAGAGGGAGGAGGATGGGAAATAACCAAGAATTCCAGTTGCTGCGAGAGGGCTCATGTCTGTTTAGTCTAAGGAATATGTTATCCTGTTTGACTCATGAGGTAGTAATACATCATTGATCATTGATCAGTTTAAATCCTCTCTCTAGAAGAAAGGTGCACCTTGGCTTCTCTGTTGTCATTTTGCACTACGGAGCCAGTACACTCACACAAGTGTTGGCCAGATGAGGCCTCTTCCTAGCAGGCCTGGAGCCATGGCGAGGCTGCAGGGATGACCAGGGTAAACCTGCACAGAGCAGAGCAGTGATTCCACTGCAAACCTGAATGACGCACATCGCTGTACCTCCTGCTGTCAGGAATTTAACTGCTGTCAGTGACAGATCACTAACTTTTGACCTTTGCTTGCCATGTTCTTGGGGTCATCCCATAACAATCTATATTTCCCAATTGTTTCCATCCTACTTTTGGTTGGCCTCACAGGCTCAGCTAACTACGGATTAACTGCCACATGTAATAACTCAATACCCCTTCACTCAACATTGACTAAGCATTTTCTGTGTAATTGCTAGCCATTGTCCTGTTTCCCAGAAAATAGCTAGTTTTTACCCTCAAAGTTGAGTGGAAAAAGACAAGATATCCTCTAGCCCCATCCTTATCAGCAAAGCTGATAATGTCTACCCCAATGAAGGTCATCTGTCACAGTTAGTGATTGATGTGGGGTAGAATGTCAATGTCTACCCTGATGAAGGTCATCCATCACAGTTACTGATTGATGTGGTGCCATCCTTTATTTTGGTGGCATCCTTCTTCTAGGCCTAGCTGTCTGGGAATGAGGCATGAGCCTACCATAACATCAGACAGTCTTTGTTCACAGATGAGGAAACAATCCCCATAAGGTCAGAGCACATGTTCAAAAATGGAAAGCTTTTTAAATGTCCAGGAGCAACTTGTTAACACTATATGGTTTTTTGCTTGTTTTAAAGATGATATTTTAACTGAGTGAAAGTAAAAATGCCATATACTAAAGTATGTGGGATGCAGCTAAAGCAGTGCTGAGAGGGAAATATATAGCACTAAAAGGCTACATTAGAAAACAGAAAACATTTCAAATCAATGGTCCAAATTCCAACTTTGAGAAATTAGAAAAAGAAGAGCAAAAAAATTCAAAGCATGCAGAAGGAAATAAATAATAGATATCAGGGCAAATATCAATAAAATAAAAAATAGAAAGATGGTATAAAAATAGAAAGATGGTAGAGGAAATCAATAAAACAAAAACGAAATCTAGTCTCCAAAACAGATCAATAACATTGATAAACTTTTAGCGAGATTGACAAAGATAAAAAGATGACGCAAATCACAAGTATCAGGAATTAAAGCAGAGCTAGCTCTACAGATCCTGCAGCAATCCAGATGGTGATACAGGAATGCCATGAACAACCTTCATTCATAAATTCAACAACTTTAAGGAAGTGAGTCAGTTCTTTGAAACGCAAAAATTACCCAAAAATCAAACAACATGAAATAGAAATTTGAAAAACCTATAAATTTGTAATTAAAAGGCTCTTAAAAAGGAAATCACCAGGCCCAGATGATTTCACTGGCAAATTCTGCCAAATATTTAATGAATACTGAACACCAGCTGTCCACAGTCTTTTCAAGAAAGTAGAAGAGGAGGGAATACTTTGCAACCACATTACAAGGCCAGTATTTGCATAATACCAAAACTAGATAAAAACAGTACAGGAAAACTATAGACTGATATTTCTATAAATTTAAACACAAAAACACTCAAAAAAGATTAGCAAATAGAATGTAGCAATATAAAGAATTATACTCCATGACCAAATGGAATTTATTATAGGGATGAAAAGTGAATTAGTTCAATATTTAAAATTAATCAGTGTAGTCTCCTATACCAACAGCCTAAAGAAGAAAAGTAATATCAATTAATATTGAAATAAAATCAATTGATGCAGAAAAATGCAACACCCAGTCATGATAAAAATCAGCAAAGTAGTAATGGAAGAGAATGGCCTCAACTTCATAAAGAGACTCTACAAAAAGTCTGCAGTTAACACTCAATGTGACAAGACTGAATGGCTTCCTCCTAAGATCAAAAACAAAGCAAGGTGTCTGCTATCATCACTCTTATTCAACATAGTACTGAACGTTCTGGGCAGTGAAATAAGTCAAGAAAAAAACACTTCATGCAGATTGGAAAGGAAAAAATTAAACTGTCCTTATTTGCAAATGACATGAGGGTCTGTAGAAAAATCCCAATCTACAAAAACAAACACATAAACAAACGATGAACCTCTTCAAACTAATAAGTAAGCTTAACGAGGCTGTAGGATTTAAGAGGAACGAAAAGCTTAATTGCATTTTTATATGCTAATATATAGAAACTGAGATTAATAATATATTACCATTTAAAGTTGCTCCAAAGAAAATTATGTACTCAGGTATAAATCTAACAAACACGTGCAGAATCTGTATGTTGAAACTTGAAAAATTGATGGTGAAAGATATCAAATATCACTTAAATGAATGGAGAGACATGTTACCATGGAGATGGAGAAGAAGGGTGGAGGATGGAAGGGAGGGTATGGCTAAAAACGAGCACGAGGAAACCCTGTGGGCATGGCCTAGCTCTGTGACATGACCATTGTGATGGTTACACAACTCTATGCATGGGATTAAACTCACATAGAGTAAGTTATACACACACACGAGTGCACACAACGCTAGTGAAATACAAATTAGATCTGTGGATTGTATTACTGTCAAAGTCTAGGTTTCAATATTGCACTGTAGTCATAAGATTTGCCCTGGGAAAATGGAGTAAAAGATTCCCGGGCATTTCTGTATTATTTTTGCAACTTCCTCTTAATCTATAATTTCAAAATAAAACGTTAAAAATATTAAACCTGCGTGTATCAGTACAGAGAGGGGAACACAGACAAAGGTAATACAATGGAAAGTTTGGAAGCAGGCCTATGGATAATGCCAATCAGCAACAGGGCAGTGCTGCCACTGTACGTTGACATTCAACAAATGACGCTGCAATAGTCGATTCCTCGCTGGGACTCAAAAGGAAACGGCATCCTGACCTCATGCCTTAGAGAAAAATTAACCTCACATAGACCCAGTGGATAAAACCAAAATGTTACTTTGATAATCCTTTTTAATCTCTCTTTTCATTAAATACCAGAGAAAAAGTTGTTTGCTTTTCCTGGCTGTTCATGTAAACAAGGCAAGAAACCAAGTTCGAATTTGGTCCTGTGTATCGTCAGGTTTCTTTTACATTGTCTGCTTTCTATTGTGTACCTAAACTAATTTGGATTAAGCTACATGTAACAGAGACCCACAATTTCACAAGTTAGACAAGATAGCAGCTTTGTGTTTCACGCATTGGTGCAGAGGTACCTCACCCTCGGCTGCTGTGGTGTCTTGTCCACTGCTAACATGTTTCCATCTAGCTTCCTTATATGCCAGCCTTAAGGCGGCTTTCTGCAATGCCCATATTCCAACCACAAAGGAGAAGAGAAATGACCAACATGGGATCGCCTTCCTTTTCTCTATCGATATGACTCATCCCATTGGTTGGAATTTAGTCAACGAACTCACCAAACTGCAACGGATTCTGGGAAACAGTCAATACAATGCTTGGTGTGCACCACTAAAAATCGGGAATTCTAACGCTGTGAAACTGAAAAAGCTGGGCAGGGTTAACTGGCAGTCAACCACCCAGCAACAGGAATGCACAGCGCACCCAAGTGGTCAGGTTTGCTGGGCTCATTCCACGTTCAGTAATAAAACCTGCCAGGGCACAGTGACCACCACCAGGTCGACTTGGAGTGTCAACGCATTGTCCTTTTGCATCCATCTGTTTTTTATTAGAACAGTGGGTTTCAAGACGTTGGTTCCCAATTTCAGCTATACCAGCGTTTAAACATTCTTAAAGATATAAATATTGAGTATCTCTTTTTTCCCTGCCCCCGGTATGCTGAATAAGAAAGTCTAGCCGTGGGCCTGGAACTGGTTCCTTGCGGAGGGTTCTTGGGTTCACAGACTTCAAGAACGAAGCCACGAACCCTCGCAGTGAGTGTTGCGGTTCTTAAAAATGGTGTGTCAGTCGTTTGTTCCTTTCACATGTGTCCGGAATTTCTTCCTTCTGGTGGGTTCGTGGTCTTGCTTACTTCGGAAGTGAAGCCGCAGACCCTGGCCGTGTTACAGCTCCTAAGGGTGGCGGGTCCGGAGTTGTTCATTTTTCCCGGTGAGTTTGTTGTCTCTCTGACGTTAGGAATGAAGCCACAGACCTTTGCCGTGTTACAGCTCCTAAAAGTGTCACGTCCAGAGTTCGCTTCTCTCGAGGAGTTCGTGGTCTTCCTGATTTAGGAGTGAAGCCGCAGACTCTCCCAGTGTTACAGCTTTTAACGGAAATCCGAACCCAAAAAGTGAGAAGCAAGAAGATCTACTGTGAAAAGGAAAATAAGAAAGATTCCACATTCCGGAAAAAGGATTCGAGCAAGTTGCGTTGCAGCCCAGGTGGCCTTTTATTCCCTTATTTGGCCCCGCCCACATCCTGCTGATTGGTCCATTTTACAGAGTGCTGATTGGTCCATTTTACAGAGTGCTGATTGGTCCGTTTTTGCAGAGTGTTGATTGGTGCATTTACAAACTTTTAGCTAGACACAGAGCGCTGATTGGTGTGTTTACAATCCTTTAGCTAGACAAAAAAGTTCTCCAAGTCCCCCTGACCCAGAAGCCCAGCCAGCTTCACCTCTAAGTGGTGGGGCTAGAGTTTCTCCAAATCCTCCAGATGATTCTAATTTAAGCTAAAATTTGAGATCCACTATAATTACAAAGTAAATCATGAAGGAAAGTGTTAGGGGAAAAAGAGATTTAGGTTTGTAGGAATTATGTAGTGGAATTCTTAAAAAGTATAGAAAATTTAAATGTGATTAAATGTGATTCTAAAAGCAATAAACGAGATTTTTTGAAGAGACTGGATGTGAGCAATTGAAAAAAATTGTTTATCACTGCTTACTGGGTTATCTGTATTCTCGTGAACCTGTGACATCCAGAGGTGGCAAAGCCATGTCCATACTGTTGTTTTCAGTCTCCATAGCACACAGCACATTGCCTGGCATGCAGCAGGCACACAATAATGTGCTAGATGAGTGGATGAAAGAGGAGAACAGAAAGTACATTTTTGTGTCTTTATCAGGGAGACAATCATCATTGTGTGGCCATGAATTTTAAGCATTAGTAAGTCTAAGAAGGAAAAATATCTGTGCTTAAGCTTTTATTTTATAGCAATGGTGACAGGTTTTATATTTAAACATATATAGTACAAGCAGTTGCCCAAAAGTTTGATTGCTTGTCCTACTGAAAATATGTGCATTATTTTTTTTATTGCTGCCTGAATTTTAGTGGCTTATACAATGCAAATTTGTTTTCTTAAAGTTAACGTGGATTAGAAGTCCAACACTGGCTGCTCCAGGCTAAAACCAAGGTGTTGACAGAGCTGCCTTCCTTTCGGGAGATCTAGGGAAGAATCCATTTCCTTGCTTATTCAGGTTGCTAGCAAAATTCAGATTCCTGTGGTTGTAGGGTTTAGATTCAAGTTTGCATGTTGACTGAGAGTTGGGGCCATTGCCAGCTTTAAAGGTTCCCTGCTTTCCTTGGCTCATGGCCCCTCCTCCATCTTTATAGCCAGCACCAGCAGGCTGCCTCCTCTTCCCCGTTACATCTTACCTTGACCACTGCTGAGAAAGACTCTCGCCTTCTAAGGACACATATGATTAATTGGGCCCACAAAAAAATCCTGGGCCAGGATTTTATATCCTGGATATAAAATCCAGGATAATATCTCCTCCTCAAATCTTTAATCACATCTGAAAATCCTTTTTGCTGCGTAAGGTAACATATTCACAAAGCCCAAGGAGGAAGTCATGGACTCCTCTGAAGGACTATTGTGACTACTGCAGTCTGTCCGCTAGCCTCCAAATAGTCACACCTGTCCCAGTTGCAAATATACATCCACCCAGTCCCAAGGTTCCCTGAAGTCTTATCCAATTAAAAAATCAACTCAAAATCTAAAAATATTGTTTAAATATCATCAGCTCAAAAGTCTCAGGTATCATTATCTAAATTGTCTAAATTAAGTATGGGTAAGGATCTGGTATGATCCATCTTAGGACAAAATTTCTTTTTATCTGTGAAACTGTTAAACTACAGAAATAAGTTATCTGCTCCCCAAATACAGTAGGATAAGGGTTATAGACATTGTTATTCAAAGAGGGAGGAAATGGAAGAAATAAAGAAGTCATTGGGTTCAAATCCAGCCAAGGAAAACTCCATTATGTGTCAAGGCTTAGAAATAACCCTGTGTTCCTCAAGCTCCACCTTTTGAGCCTCTGACTCCACTCTCTACACTCTGAGATCTCCCGTTTGAGTTAATCTTTCTTAATGAAAGGTAACTTACACTCTCAGCTGAGTAATTTTATCATCCAGTTTCTTGCCTGTGGAATCTGGAGAGTCCAAGTTATTCTCTCATGTTCAACAGCTTTCTTTTCTTTTGTACTCTCCCCAACCCTTTCAGTCCAAGCTGGCACTGTTTCTGCTGATAAAAAATTCTCAGGAACCGTGTGTGTCTTTTGTGTATATCATGGTGATTCACTCCATTAGACAAGTGGCGTGTCCACAAATCTTTTCTAGATAATTTCATCTCAATTTTTGGTTTTTGTCAAGATGGCCAAGGGACGATGTTGTTACATTTCCTAGATGCTCTGTAGCTTGATTTGGGGGGTCTGTGAGTCCTACCCTTAATGTTTTCAAAGATCCTTTGTGTAACTGAAAACTGACTTTTTGATCATTCAAAGGGGTTTACTTTAAGCCATTTCTCTAGAGTATGCTTTCCTGATAGTAAATCTTTTAATTTTAATGCGTCTCACTGTTCAGACATGCTGAGAATTTCCCACACCATCAAGTTCTAGTTCCTTTTTGTTTAATAGCTCTTCCTTCAATTTATCTGTTTCATCTTGCCTTTTACTATAAGCAGCTAGAAAAAAAACAGAACACATCTTTAACATTTTGCCTGAAAATCTCTCTTCTAAATATCTAATTTTATTGTTTACAGGTTCTTCTTGTCACAAAACTGTGACATAATTCAGCTAGGCTTTTTTCCACTTATAAGAAGCATTACCTCTCCTCCAATTTCCAATATATATTCTTTACTTCCTTCTGAGCTCTTAACACCAGCACCTTTAATGTCCATTTTTTCTATCAATGGTCTGTTCATGCAGATTTAGGTATTCTCTAAGGTGATTTACTTTTTTTCTATAATGCTCCTCACTTTCTTCTTAGCCTTCATTGGAAGTATTTAACATTCATGAATAGTTTGTTTAAGACAACGGAGGCTTTTTCTATTATGCTCCTCAAAATTCTTCTCACCTCTGACCAATATCCAATTTTAAATCCACTTCTGTATAGTTAGGTGTTTGTTACAGGTGCATTCCATTTCCAGGTACCATTTCCAGGTACCAATAGCCTGTATGAATCTTCTATTGCTGCCTTGAAAAATAACCACAAACTAAATGGCTTAAAATAACACAAATTCATTATCTCTCAGTTCTGTGGTCAAAAGTCCAATACTGGTCATATCAAGCTAAAATCAGTGTGTTGGCAGGGTTGCATTCCTTTCTGGAGGCTCAAAAGAAAGATGTGATTTTTGATTTTTTTTTTCTTGGCAGAATTTAGTTGCCTGAAGTTGTAGGACTGAGATACCTCTTTTCTTGTTAGCTGTGAGTTGAGGGTCATTCCCCATTTCCAAAGGCTTCATGTGATTAGATTAGGCCCATCCAGGACAATCCAGAAAAATTTTCTTCATATAAAAGCCTGTAATCTTAATCACAAGAGCAAATCCCTTTGCCAGGTAACATATTCACAGGTTCTGGGTATTGGGGCATGAACATCTTTAAGTGGCCATTATTCTGCCAACCACAATGCAGTAGGTAAACAGTAGGCATCACTTCTGGAGTCATGTTAGCAAAAATGGCAGAGTGGGTAGCTCTAAGGCTAGCTAGACCCTTCACAGAAATGCTGAAATAATGAGAAAATCTGTGAGGATCTACTTTATCCGAATTCTAGAAAATGGTCAAAGATTTACACCAGCCAAGTTTGTTTTATTTTCTTTTTTTGAGGCAATATAAAAACAGTAGGAGAGATTTGTGGCATTTTTATTTTCCCTTGTTTTACCTCCCTCCCTAGCTGGTCATTGCTCTTGAAGATGGAAGCCCATGTTTTGACTGTGGGACTCTAGTCATTGGTTTCAGAGGAAACAGAGAAGAACTTTTCTCAAAGAATTATCTTTGTCTGTTTTGATCTGTCTGGGTGTTACCTGAAGGAATGATGCAATGTGCTTGTCTTCGTTTCGCTTAACTTGGAACTCTCTAAGAGCAGAAAAGTGGCTATGCTGAGAGCATTCCTCAGGAACATTGAAAGGCAAGTGAGCCACCTTCTAGTGACTTGGGAAAATACTACATTTCAGGCAAACAAAAGACATACCAAAATCCTGGGATGAAAAGCTTAAAAGAGAGATTCTTTGGCAGATTAGAGTATTGAAAAGCACCTATGTATTCCAGGGTATTTAGAAAGCCACAGCATGCCCAGGGAAGGAAATAAGCTCAGAAAAGACTCAAGAAGACTCTAAACCTCTACTTCTGGCTAACCTTTAAGGCTGGTGTCAGCAGGTAGTGAAGGCTAACACAGAATTGTAAATGGCTGGGCTCAGCACTGAAGGAGTGTCCAATAAAGGGCCATTCTGCAAACACTGTGAGAGGTTTCTTGTTTTTGCATTTTGTTTTCTGGCTTTAGGCATTCAAAGAATCTCTGTCAAAAACACTAGCTGACTGCAAGCTAGAGGAACAGAGACATCAGAGACCACAAATGGCAAAGAATACAGTCTTTATGTATTAGTCCATTTTCCCACTGCTATAAAGAACTACCTGAGACTGGGTAATTTATAAAGAAAAAGGTTTAATTGACTCACAGTTCCACATGGCTGGTCCCTGTCCCTCCCTCAACATGTGGAGATTATAATTCGAGATGAGATTTGGGTGGGGACACAGAGCCAAACCATATCACTTTATAAAAATAGTTTAGAAAAGTTATCAAACAATTATAACCCAAAACAAGCAACAAAAACAAACCCTGAGGAGGGGGAAGAAACTTATTTCCTGAGTTACCGTATTATAATATTTAAAAAGTCCAGTTTTCAACAAAAAGTATGAAGCATACAAGGAAACAGGAAATCATGCTCTATTTAGGGGAAACATTAAAAGAAATTGTTGTGAGGAAACACAGACATTGGACTTACTAGAAATAAACTTTAAATCAACTGTCTTAAATGCTGAAAGAGCTAAGAAAATCATGGACAAATAGTAAAGGAAATAAAGAGACTAATGTCTCAATAGATAGATAGAAACTGTCAATAAAGACAAGTGGTAAAAAAAGAACCAGTCAGAAATTCTGGAGCTCAAAAGCCCCATAACTGAAATGAAAATTCACTGCATACAGGTAATGGGAGTATCAGGAGAAGAGAAAGAATTGTGAAGAAAGAATATTGGAAGAAATAATGCTCAAAATTTCCAAACTTGATAAAAGACATGCATTTAAACATCCAAGAAGCTCAACAAACTCCAAGAATGATAAAGAGATCCATAACTGGGTATTTTATAGTTCTGTCAAAAGCAAAAGACAAAGAGAATCTTGAATGTCACATGAGAGAAATGACCAGTTACATACAAGGGATCCTCAATAACATTAACAGAAAAAAACATGGAGGCCAGATGGCAGTGTGGTGATATTATTTAAAGCATTGAGAGGAAAAAATAATCTATCAACTAAGAATGTTATATCTAGCAAAAGTATACCTCAAAAGTGAAGGAGAACTTAATACTATCCCAGAAAAACAAAACCTGAGGGAACTTGTTGCTAGTGGACCTGCCTTATAAGAAATGCTACAAGGAGTACTTGAGGTGTAAAAGAAAGGCTGCTAGTTATTAGATGCTTGAGTTACTACACAGTAACTCAAATCTATACAAAGAAATAAAAAAGTCTGGTAAAGGTCATTACATAGATAAATATAAAAGCTAACATTATTCTGGATTGTAGCTCCTCTTTGTTTCCTGTATGATTTAAAGGACACATTTATAAAACAATAATTATAAATCTTTGCTAATGGGCACACAATGTATAAAGATGTAATTTGTGACAATGACAACATAAAGGGAAAGGCTGAAGCTGGGTAGGAGCAGATGGGCTGACAGGTGCTGAAGGCTTATATTTAATGAGATTTAGTACAAAACTCTGAAGCTTTCCAGACTCACAGGGGTGATATTTTGATGAAGTAACAGGAGAGAGAGGGTGTTTGGCATCTCCTTTAGAAGTTATAGCTTATGACACTGTCAAGGCAAAAATTGTACCTGACAAAGTTATAAAGGCAAGAACTAATGTATTCAGATTATTGCAGTGGGAATTGTTCAACCCCACTGAAACAACAGACAGGAGGGTTTGTAAGTGGACGACACTACTAGGGGAAGGTTGATCAGTGGGATGAAGCCTGCACACTGAGTGCTGTCTTGGGTAATATGTAATATCTTAATCTCATTCAGAAATGTCTTGGGCAGAGTCCTGTAACAATGAAGGTAGTGGAGCCTGGTCCACTCTGGCCATGGGTCAGGCTGGCAAAGGCTAAGAAGTGGTTGTGGGTGCCACCTGGGGCAGGAGGTGGGGTGGAGAGTGCCCCAGATTCCCACGCTGGGCTGGTGGCCATGCTGAGGAGCTGGGGCTGGCCTGGGCAGAGGATGACTGGGACCTCCTTAGTCTTGAGCAGCCCCTCTGCCACTTTGAAGAACTTTGCAGTCTTTCTCCTTAGAGTCTGCATTTCCGGAAGTTTAAGGGCTGCCCAGAAAGTCTCCTTGCACCCAGCAATAAGCTGGCAGAGCTGTTCAAGCAGAGAACCAGGCAGGGGAGCAAAAGTGGCTTCTCTGCTCTTTGGAAGCACTGGCAGCACAGCTGTGCCCTGCAGAAGAAGATGAAGAATCTCAGACACATAAACCTTCATTGCCGTGGCAGAGGATGAATCTGAAAGAGGAAGGTGGAGTGCGGGTCACATTTACTCTGGCTGGCCCTAACCCTCCCTCCCTGGAAGCCAGCCATGTAGCTAGGCAATCATCCAGACCCACTCAGATGGGGTTTCCAGCAGTCCCTGGTGTTGCCCTGGCCATTCTCTAATGCCAGCTAATGAGGGGCAGCCAGTGGAGCACATGGACTGACCCTCTGAATTAACTCACCACTGGGGGACAGCATCTCTGGATGACCTCATCAAGCATTTGAGAACAGTGGCATGATCAAGATGCTGTGAAAATGGTTTGTTATCATTTATTCAATTAGAAATGGGCTTCCATGCTTCAAACATTTATATTTAGATATAAAATTTAGCTTCCAGAAATACCCTGGTAAAAATGTTATTTCAATGCAAACTTTTTTTTTTTTTTTTTTTTTTTTTTTTTTTTGTAATTCAAGAAACCAAGAAAGATAAAATCAGGTCACAGCTGTCTAGGGCACTAAGGAAACTAATCCAAATAAAATCTACCCTGAGCTTTCATAAAAAACCAAGGGAGGAGGAGGTTTAACTATTACCTACCAATATTACAAACAGCAGTGCATGCATATATTCTCCAAAGACAGGTAGAATGTTCAAATCAGCATTGTACATAGTAGCCCAGCTAGAAATTGCCAACTGTCCATCCACAGCAGAATGGATAAATACCGCATGAAACATTCACACAATGGAATAGTGCTGAGTGGTGAAGATAAATGACCTGCAACAAAGACACACACCAATATGGATGAACCTCCGGGCACAAATAGCACCTACGGCACAATTCTATTTACAGAAACTAAGAAAAGAGGCACAGCTGACCCCGGATGTTCAAGTCAGTAGAGAGACAGCCAGGCTGGTGTGCGCCTGTGATCTGGAAGGGGAATGGTGCCAGGTGGGCTGTTTGTGGAGCTGTACAAGATGACCTGTGGTTTGTGCATGTCCTGCCTCACTAGGAAGGTGTAGACAGCCACCTGGCAGGTAGTACAGTGACAGTCTCTGTGATCTGGGTGTGACAGCCACAACTTCTGAACTCCTGTCTCATGTGGTTTCGGTTGGTCACACTGAGATGCATGACAGTCCGCCTAGATTTGATTGTGAATAGAAAATAAGGCACGAGCAATGCTACATGGGGGCAACATTGCAGGATGGTTTTGCCTGTTCTTCCTACATTTAATGCTACACAAATGAAAACGTTCCATGTGGAATAACAACCAGCATCGTGTCCAACTGAGAGTAATTAGATGGGAGGATGTCTGCCAGGTTCAGAGCAGACAAGTCTTGGTTTCCAAACCTAGAAGTCAAATGAAAAACTTCCAGGCCTCAATGTGTTGAACTCTGAGAAGAAATACATTTTCTTTTCTTTTAAAAAAAAATTGTGGTAAAATACAGAAACATACAGTTTGCCAGTGTAGCCATTTTTCAGTTCCGTGGTATTGAGTACATTCAGGATGCTGCGCAACCATTACCGCACCCGTCTCCAGAACTTCTCCATCTTCCCCAGCAGAAACCCCGAAGAAAGGCATTTCTATAGCCGTGCCTCGTTATCCCCTTCCCCGACACTCTCAGCAGCCTGTCTGAAGGAACTTTAAAGGCAAGTCTCTCTCGAGAGCAGTGGAAAGCATTCATTCAATCATAAGTGCATTCATTCTCCTACTCCGCTGGAGAAGGCATTATAGGTCACTATTTATACAGCTTACAGGCAACTTCAAATAAGTGTTGAATAATTGACGAAAATTCATTCAGCTATTAAATAGTTTTTATGTGTGTTTTAACTTAAAAATTATTTTGCATCCACTATCAAAGCCGATAACTGTGGATGGAAATTTCCAGATAGTTACTCGTGCTTCCATTAAACCTTTGCAGTACTTTTTAGGAAGGAAAATAATTCTGACAAATTGCAGTAATACAAATCATACCTTTTATTTTATTTTTAAATCTCAGTCACAAGAAATAAATAATTTTAAAAAAAGAATAAGAGTTTTCATAAGAAGGGTGCCGTGAAAATCATTCCAGGTAGCTCATGAACTTCTGCAGGTGGCTGGGGCACAGGCGGTGGGTGGGCCATCCTCACAGATTAGCTGTCAGAATGCGATTAAAACATAACCCACTCTTTGAGAATTGCTCATGCTGGCTGGTAGATTTCCCAGTTCTTTAAACCTGGTGAAGGGAGCGCACCCTGAGGCTGGCTAAAAGCTGGGTTGCCAAGGCAACAGGCAGCCTCCACGGTCCTACTCCTCCATGGAGCCTCTCCCTAAGCCAGCTTAATACAGTGGAACACTCGGTTTCCTGGTGCCAGCATAGGCATCTCTGTCCTCCTGACCAGCTGCATGGAACTGGTGTTTCTCACAAAGCATTTGGCCAGGAAAATGCAGACCATGGTGACAAGGAGTTAGAGTTAGTTTGACAGGAAGTTAGTTCATGTTCTGGCCTTAATGACTCTCTAAAGGGATGTGTCAGATTTCATATCAGACAGAAGGTAGCTTAGAAGAGCTTGTAGGAGGTTGCTATTTAAGCATTAGGAATGGCCAGCCCGTGGGATTCCTGGAGGTTTGTGTATCTCGCTTGCCTGCACAAAAGGCTGTTGGGTCCACCAGGGGCTGTCTTGTCCTGGCCTGTCCCGGAGGAGACAGTGAAAGGGCACCCAGAGGGGAGCAAACAGGCGACACTTGTGCAGAGCTGCCCCAGCCTCTTCTCGGGCTTCTGGAGGTGGTAGGGGGGGTGCCTATTTCAGGAAACACGGGCTTTGGGCCTGACAGAGGGTTCCATCCTCCTGCTGTGTATGATTAGTCCATTCTCATGCTGCTACAAAGAAATACCCAAGATTGGGTAATTTATAAAGGAAAGAGGTTTAATTGACTCATGGTTCCACATGGCTGGGGATGCCTCTGGACACGTACAATCATGGCGGAAGGGGAAGCAAACAAGTCTTATAGGGCAGCAGGCGAGAGAGTGAAGGGGGAAGAGCCCCTTATAAAACTATCAGATCTTGTGAGAATTCACTCACTAACAGGAGAGCAGCATGGGGGAAACCGCCCCCATAATCCAACCACTTCCCTACCTTGACACGTGTGGATTACAATTCAAGATGAGATTTGGGTGTGGACACAGAACCAAACCATAGCCGTGGTTAACTGCTTAGAATGCAAAAACAAAAACAAAAACAAACAAACAAAAAACATTGAGCACCCACTTCCCGCTGCAGGCTTTCTGTCTGCATCTTCCCCTCCAAAATCCCCCAAACCCAGGGAGGCAGGCGCTCTTACTACCTCTACACATGAAGAAAGGGAGGCTCAGAGAGATGAGACATTCTCAAGTGGCAAGCCAGCAGCTGCATCCAAGGCTTCCTCTCCGAATCTGCCTTCAGCACCTCTCGCCCTCTTTCTGGCCGTACGATCTACTGGAAGAAGAAATATCCCTCCCCCTCCTTGTTCCGCACCCTCCTCCAGGTACTGTGGTCTGGATCTGGAGGGAGGAAGTACTCGAGGGGCTGCTCCTTGGTGCTGAGCTGTCTCTGCTCTCGGTGGAGGAGTCCTTCCCAGAACATTCTCTGAGGGCTCTGGAGTCTGTTGTCACTCACCTTCCTTCCGCCCTCATCCACCTGTTCCACTACAACATTCATTGCGTGTGCTTGCAATGAATGAGGCTTTTAGTGAGATAATGTTTCTCCCGTAACCCAAGGCTTAGGTGGAGTAAAGTCTTGGTTCCAAGACAAGACAGAAGAGTCTTAAGGGGAAGGGTCATGTCTTATGTTTATCTTGCATCCCCAATTCTCAATGAGTTCATTGGCTTGGACAGGCCTTGAGAAGAAAGTCCGTTTTTCACACAGCCCCCAAATGTAGCTTACACCCCTGTGGCCATGACCAGAGGCAGAGGAAGGCCCTGAGGACTCTCCTCCCCAGGCTTCCAGGTAGGTGGATCTGGGAGGCCTGAGCTGAGGGATGCATGCCCAGTCCTCAGCCCCTTCTCAAGAAGGCTGTGGTGAAAATCAAATGTGCAAAGTGCACGAAGTGGAAAATCCTTACTACAAGTATAAATAGCTAATAATTAGGTGGAAAATGTTCTTAAGTCTACTCCAAATAGAAAAGAGGGAAGTTTTCTCTTATCTGCAGGGCACAGTGCCTGGTACCCACTAAACACTTAATGAATGTCAGCTTCATTCTTCTTTCTCCCAACTGAAATGTGTGGCAATGATCTAAGGGAGGGGGAACATGATGGGAGGAGAGCTGGGGCCAGGGAAGCAGTGGAAGAGGAGAAAAAGAATAAAGAAGATGAGACGATTGCCCTTTAGAGTTAGGGGAAGCCTTGGGTGACTCATCAATGTTAAAAGGGCCAAAATCCAAATGGGAGGACGTCAACTTGGGATTGTCCGAGGCTCAAGGCACAGTGGATGGAACAAGGTTTGGTGGGTTTCAGCTCTAGAGCAGCGTAACATTCACCAAATTAAGTCACTCAACCTCTGGGGGCTTTTTGTTTTATTCTTCATTTTGAAAATAACAGTATCTGCCCTGTGCACATCATAGAGCTACTCTGAGATGCCTTTTTAACATTTTATGAAATTGGAAGAGATGATAAAAAATTATGATATGATCTGTTGTTGGGAGAGTAAACAACCGATGGTTTCCAGACAACGACTTGGCAAAATATATTAAGGCATTGAAATATACATCTCCTTTAACCCAGCTAACCACTTCTGAGAACTTCTCCCGGGAAATGATGAGAGGGAGCTAAAGGAATTCTGAGCAAAGATGCTCACAGCCATATGTCAGTAATAGGGAAAATCTGGAAATAACACATGTCTAACAGAAATGTTTCGGTGCTTTAGCCAGTAAGCAACTCTTAAAATGATAAGTGCTTACTGAAAGAAAAAGACATTCTTCACATAGGGAGTTAAAAAAGCTTTAGAATCATAAGAGTATCATTTAATATTTTCCAAGCATATTCTGAAAGAGGGGCTTCACGATGGCCGACTGGAGCATCTGGCGCTCACCTCCTCCACAAAGAAGAACCGAAATAGCGAGTGGAGAACCACACTCTGAAGGGATAATCTAAGCGAGAACTCTGGAATTCAACTGAGAAGTAACAGGCAACACCGGAGGCAAGAGAGGAGAGGGAGATGGTGCAGCCTGTCGGCCAGGATAGGCGGGGAACCTGGAGGGGCTCCCCAGTGTGGGGAAAGAGTAAGTCAGAGACCCTCAGGGGTCTGCATCCCACCCCAGACCCCTGCAGTCCTAGCCAGGGCAGACCCCCTAGGCCCTCGCAGGCTGTGGCACTAATGCAGGGAGCTGCCTGGAGACCGCACGATGGCATGGATCCAGAGAGGGAGCTCACGCTGCCTCCCACACACCCTGAGTCCTAAGCAGCTTCCTCACAACGCCATTTTGAGCACACAGCCTGGACCACACTGCAGCCAGCCCAGCAGCCCCTGAGCTCCACACTGGCAGCCGCATTGACAACCCCACCTTGTAGCCACCACCATTGCTGCCTACTGCAACTGAGAACGAAGCGCGTGCCACTTGCAGCCACCCTGCCGCCCCAGTAGTGGGGCTGCTGAACATTTACAAGCGCGCTGAGGACAGGCTATCCTGCCCACAGCTGCTGAAGAGCATGCTCCCCAGCTGCCTGCCCAAAGCTGCTGCTCCCGAAAGCAGCCCCTTCCTCCCTCCAGCAACAGGGCTGCAGGGCAGCTGCTTCCACCTCCACCAGAGCACTGCCCTGGGGGCCTGGGGATCACCCAGCCCCCGCCTAGCACAGCCAGCCCTGCAAGCACCACCGTGGGGACCTGAGGACAGGCTTGCCCTGACCACCCCCACCAAGGAAACCAGACCCCTATCTCCCACCACATAGAGAAATCAACTCAAGATGGATTAAAGCCTTTAACATAGGACCTATTAGAACAAAACAAACAGAGGAAACATTTCAGGATCTTGGTCTCGGCCAAGGTTTTATGTCTAAGACCTCAAAAGTATAGTAATAGAAACAGAAACAGACAAATGGGACTCTATGAAACTGAAAAGCTTTTGCACAGCAAAGGAAACAACAGAATAAAGAGAAGCCTGTTGAATGGGAGAAAATATTTGTAAACTATTCATCTGACAAAAAACGAATATCTGGAATATACAAAAAACTCTAACAATTCAATGTAAAAAAAAAAAACCCAAATAATCCAATTAAAAAGTGAGCATAGGACATGAATAAACATTTCTCAAAAGAAGACGTGCAAATGACCAACAGGTATATGAGAAACGCTCAAAGCCAGTAATCACCAGGGAAATGCAAATGAAACCACCATGAGATGAGATGTCATAGTATACCAGTCAGAATGGCTAGCATTAAAAAGAAAAAAATAACAAGATACTGGCACAGATTTGAAGAAAAACTCTTATCCAATGTTGGTGGGAGGATAAGTTAGTACAGCTACTATGGAAAACAGTAGGAAGATTTCTCAAAAAACTAAAAATAGATCTACCCTACGATCCAGCAGCCCCACTTCTGGGCATTTACCCAAAGGAAAGGACATCAGTATATCATAAAGGATAACTGCATCTCCATGACTATCACAGCACTATTCACAACAGCAAATATATAGGATCAACCCAAGTGTCCAACAATGGGTGAATGGGTAAAAACATGTGGAATACTATTCAGCCATAAAAAGTAATGAAATGCTGTCGTTTGCAGGAACATGAATGGAACTGGAAGTCATTATGCTAAGTGACATAGGCCAGGCACAGACAGGCAAATACCACATGTTCTCACTCACATATAGGAGCTAAAAAAGTTGATCTCCTGGAGGTAGAGAGTAAAATGACAGATACTAGAAGCTGAGAAGAGTGTGTGAGTGATAAGGATGAGGACGAGATACAGAGAGGTTGGTTAATGGGTACAAACATACAGTAAGGTAGAATGAATAAGTTCTAATGTTCAGTAGCCGAGTAGGGTGACTGTAGGTAACAACAATGGAGTATAAGTTTCAAAATAGCTAGAAGAGAGCTCTTAAAGTGTTCCCAACACATGGAAACGATAAATACTTGAGGTGATGGACATCCTGAGCACCCTGACTGGATCATTACACATCCTAGGCATGCAGTCAAATATCACAGGTACCCAATAAATATGTACAAACAGTATGTATCAATAGAAAGTAAAAAAAAAAAATAAGAATTTGAAGGATATACCTGAAAATATTATAATAGTATTCCCCTAGTTGGAATGTGTGATCATACAGATCTTATATATTTTTTGCAATGAGTTTATGTCTTTATTTGGGTAGAAACGTATACAGAAATATCTCTACAATATTTCTGTTAAAGTAGACAGCCCCACCCAGTAAGGAATTCCCTTTCTGCTATTCCAGATGGACAGTTGTGTAGGTACCTTTTAAAATCACCTTCTATGTCAGGGAGCTCCCTTCCTCCCAGGGCAGCACTCTGTTCCCAGAGGTTTCTTCCTTGTCACCTACATTTGTAGTCTCCCTGTGTTGCCGTGCTTCCATCTCCCTGACATACTGGTGCTGCTCTGCTATGGCTCTGCCTTTCCCCCGGCTCCTGGCAGGCAGGCAGGGGTGGCTCGCCCAGCGTCACACTGCAAGCTGACCTCTCTGACCCTCCCAGTCTGTCTCTGTCAAGCTGAGCTTGGACATTGCTTTGAGCACCTGAAGTCCCTTGACTCATTTTATCCTCAGACCTCATCTGTGCAGTCACATGCTCACCAGTGGCTGTCCAGCCACAGACAGCTTAGCCACCTTGACTGCAGTTTTGGGGGGAGTCAGAGGCACATCTGGTCCTTCCCAAAGTCTGTGCACAAAGTAGACCTCCTCTGGTGTGCCTGTCCCCCTGGTCCCCATCCTTATTGGGTGTGCACCCCATTAGCCTCCCTCTTCCACCTTCTATATCTAGTCATCCTTCATCCCTCCTCTTTTCTCCCACATGTATGTTCTTCCCAGGCATCCATAATCTAGTCACCGCCCTCCATTGCTAATAATCTCTCTTTCCTCTCACCAGCAATTAGATTAAAAGACCAGCTGTCCACACCTGGTCACTCTGATCCACTGTAATCTGGTTTCAGTCTCCAGTATCCTACTGAAGCCAGTTAGGTCCTTAGTAAAGGCATGTTTCAATAGATATTCCTAGAGAGAACAGGGAAGCTTGGTCAACGGTGTGCAAGTCCTGTGTGAGATGTGTGTCCCTGTATTAGGCCATTCCTGCATTGCTGTAAGGAAACACCTGAGACTGGGTAAAACAGAAAGGTTTAATTAGCCCACAATTCTGCAGGCTGTACAAGCATGGCACCTGCATCTGCTCAGCTTCCGGGGTGGCCTCAGGGAGGTTTTAGTCATGGCAGAAGGTGAAGCGGGAGCAGGCACGTCACATGGTGACAGCAGGAGTTACAGAGAGAGTGTGGGCAGGCGTCACACACTTTTAAACAACCAGATCGCCTGTGAACTCACTCATCACCAAGCCCATGTGGTGCTAAGCCATTCCTGAGGGCTCCACCCTCATGACCCAATACCTCCCCCACCAACCCCAGGCCCCACCTCTAATAATAGGAATCACATTTCAACATAAGATTTGGTGGGGACACAGACCCAAGCCCTCTCTCCTTGGAGATGTCCAGTGACATGGCATACTGAGATTATTAGGACGTCCCGTCCAGAGGAAATCTGCTAAGCTCTGCGTGACCATTTCTCAGCTGACCTTGTCTACAGAGCACTTTCAGCCCTCGGGACATGCATTGCCATCATGCAGATGGGACTGCCCCTCAGGACCCAGCCTGAAGACAGAGCTTTGGCTGCACCAGCCCCACCGTGGACCTCTCCTGCTTCAAGTTTTCTTGCTCCTGGGGTTGTCCAATGAGGTCTCCTTCCTCTCTCAAGACTCAGCTCACGTGTCTCACTCTCTGCGAGGCTGAGCAGGCGCCTTCCCTGGGACATGCACCCTTTCTTCATGGAGCCCTTTGCTTGAGCCCCTGTGACCACAGATGGAGCTCTCCTTGGCAATGACCCATGCTTTTGCCCTGACCCTGGCTGCCAGGTAGGGATGCACAGAGAACCACCAAGCATCCTGTGCCCGACCAATAATGAATGCAGGTGAAAAGGTAGAATGAAATGGCAGACGACCTTAGACAGTGTGAGGAAGAAAGCCAATGGAGCGAAAGGCACTGGGGGATTCTACTCCTCTCCATGATGACCTTCCCAGAGGCTTGTCCCCTTCACTTTCTGTCCCCCGTCCTTGGGATGGAACGCACGTATCTGCTTTCTGGACACACTCCTCTGTCACCGACCTTAGGTGCTTGCCCTGGTCTTGCAGGTGTGACATCAAGTACTGGTGTGCCTGCGGACATCTGAGGTGATGGGCAGGGAGCTGCCCATTTTGCCTGGGTTTTCCAGGTCATTGAAACACGGGGTCTCATTGTGTGTGTGTAGTATGACTTCCTGATTTACAAACCCAACTGCGTGTGGAAGGGAGGTCTTAATTCTAATGGGGGTGGGAACATCCTAATGGCTGGGTCTGAGGCTTTTGAACAGATTAGCAAATACAGCTGGGCTCTCAGCCTGCAGACTTTTGAAGCACCAGGAAAAATCACACACCCACCACAATATCAAAGGTGCAGAGGAATCGCAGCAAGTCTGGTATTGCTTTTGAAACTCAGGTTTCCTGCAGTCCTCTGGCAGATGCCGTGGCTGCTCTGCCCAAAAGAGATGTCAGCTCCCTGGAGTGCTGGGTGGCCTGGGTGTCACCTGGGCAACCAGTACTTTCTCCACGGCCTGTATGAGGAGAGCCCGGAGCCTGTGCTGGTGGTGGGGAAGTGGAGTGGGGGAGGCTGGAAGCTCAGCCTCCGCAGAGCCTGTGTTTTTCATGTGGGCGTTCTCTCTTATGATACCCTCTTCTTTTTCTCAATGAATATTTATTAAGCATTGACTGGATGCCAAGTACAGTTCTCGGTGCTGGGTACACAGCTGTGAACAAGACAAGATGCCGTCCTCACTGGGCTTCTGTTCTGCCGCGGGAGAACATGATCCGTAACCAACAAGTGGAGATTGTGTGGGCTATTTATGAGAAACAACGTATTTCTAATAAAATATGTTTATATATATATAAGATATATGTTTATATATATAAGATATATATTTATTTACATATCACAGGGACAGGGCAAAGGAGACAAAAGTGACTGCATTTCCTGGTGATTTATAATTTGCAAAGACATTTCACTTTGCAGTGTCTCCTGACACTGCATTTATTTCTCTGATCTGGAAACTGCCCTCCCAGGTGCAGACGTCACCCTTCCTTAGGGATATATGCTGAGCTCTGAGCACCCTGGGGCCTCTGTGGGAGCCTGTCCAGGTCTGTGTTGTTGGGTGCTGCAGGGCTCACAGCATTTCGAGGGCAGGACAGGTGCACCTTTCATTCACTGGGACATGAAGGTAGGTGGGAGGCCTCTTCGTGCTTGGGGAGGCACATGATCAAGTGCTGCTGGTCCAGGCATGGGCACACAGAGGACGTGGAGGTGGCACGGGGTGTGGAGGAGGCCACTGACCCTAGCTTTGTTGGGGTGCTGCCCAGGTTAGTCAGCGGGAGCTTTGGGGAAGACAAGATACCTAAACTGGCAGCTCATCTTGCTTTAGACCAGAGTGAGTCTGTAGCTGGATGGCCCAGGATAGGTAAACAGGAACAGGGCAGCCCTCACAAGTGCACTCTGCTAGACAGCCCAGCCATCTCTGGGCACCAGCGTGTGGCTCTGGCCTCTTGCCTACCTGCCTAAAGCCTGCCATCACCTCTCTCTCTGTAACACCTCTGTGCACTGTGCACTTCTCCAAAGCCACAAGAAGAGCCTCTTAATGCTGAGAGGAAATAGCCAGGGCTTTTGGAAAAGGATTCAGCACATGTTCTCTACCCACATGGCTCCTGGCCGGTCCCTTCCTGCGTGTCCTGGCTCATTGCCATGACTCTCTCCACACCTGCGTGGGAAAAGCACTCAGCACCGTTTTATCTTATAGGAGCATTGAGTGTGTTTGTGTGTGTGCGCCATACCGTGTGGCCTGTGTGTACAGTATATGTAAGTGTGTGTGCAGGGCGTGTGCCTGCAGTGCATGTGCATGTGGGGTATATGTGTGTGGGGTGTTCATATGTGTTCTATAGTGTGAATCTGTGTGTGTGGTGTTGGTATGTGGTATGGTATGTGTGTGTAGTGTGAGTGTGTTTGTATGGTGTGTGGTACAGGTGTGGGGTATGGACTATCTTTGGGCTGTGATATGGTGTCTGTGTGTATGTGTGTGTGTGGTGTGGGGCATACATGTGTGTGTGGTGTGGTATGAGTATGCATTTATGTGTGGTATGTGTGTTGTATGTGTGTGTAGTGTGGTGTGTGGTATGTGGTGTAGTGAGTGTGCATTTGTGTGGCATGTGTGGTGTGGTATATGAGTGCATTTGTATGTACTGTGCATGTGTTTGTGGTGTGTGGTGTGTTGGGGGATGTATGTGCATTTGGGATGTGTGTCTTGGTGTTTCTGGTTGCTGGAATCAGGGAAGCCAAGCGAGAGACATTCTGACATTTCCAAATGGCAGCAGTGACTGGCTTACTAGGCTTCTTCCAACATTCAGAAAGATGAAAAGAGAAAAACTACACTCTGCAGGCCATTGTTGGTCAGAAACAATCCCATTCAAACCAATTGGTTTTGAAGCATTTTGCTTTTCTCTCCTATAAAATCCTCTAATTATTTTGAGTGAACATCTGTTACTTTGTTTGTATTTCGGTTGGACTGGAAGGCAGAGTAAGAATATTCTTTTCAAATGACTGTTTCATAGCCAAGCAAACATATAGACAGCCTCAAAGCCAGAAAAGGTGAAGAAACATAAAATATGAAGCTTAAATGGCTAAAAGAGATTGGGATTAACCAAAGTAGCATGTCAAACGATGGGGGAGTCACAGTCGTCTGAAATCCTCGACCACAGCCCCAAGTCCGTGGCGTTTCTCCCCCACGCTCCCCTGCACGTGCTGATTTCTGTAGCTTGGGACTCCCTGCGCTCTGTTCCTCTCAGCAGGCCCCGCTCCGCCTCCTCCCTGCAGCCTTCAGCTCTATACCCTCCGTGACACTGACTGGCCTTGGCCCCATTAAGCATCTTGTGGACCTGTGCAGGTGGCTTGTCATAATTCCATTATGTTTATGAGAACTATGGTTTAGTGTCAGCCCTTTCCTATTTTCCTTTATCTCTATAATTTGAAACAATCAGCAAAGAAAAGTGTCTGCAAACAAACACACACAGCCGGGCAGTCACGGTGAAGCTTCTTGTTGGGAATAATGCTCAAAATCTTAAGGAAATTGAACACTTAAACAAAGGATTCTTAGCAAAGCAATTTTACTTCTGTGCAGAAGAATGCTTCTCTTTGGCCAGTTGCCATGAGAGCACACCTGAACAAAGGGGCATAAGAGCCTTCATTCTTGATGCAAGTCCTGCCTCTGTACTTTTTCCTCATTGGCTGGGGTTGGGCCGTACAATCTAAACTAATCTTGGTTGGCTAAATACTTGAACTTTTCTTCAGATAAGGTGGGCATATAAGGGAGAGAGGGGAGAGGGGAAGGGATGTCTGCAATGACCTAGAGAGCTAGTCTTCTTTCCAAATAAGGAAAGGAATGTGAGCTGGTACTGATAAGCCTGATACTGTGGCGTGTCCGGGCATGCAACAAAGGCAGAAAAGAGAAAAAGGAAAAGGGGCGGGGTGGTACTATGAATTAAAGAATAAAGGATTGATCAGGCTATTTGAAGAGAAACCTCATCATATCCCACATTCTTAAAGGGGTTGTGGGCCGGCAAGCAGCGTGTTCCTTGACCAGCTATGGACAGAAGCAAAAACTCAATTGTCTTAGTTTGTTTTCTTTTGCTATATTAGGCCACTCTTGCATTGCTATAAAGAAATACTTGAGACTGGGTAATTTCTAAAGAAAAGAGGTTGAATTGGCTCACAGTTCTGTAGGATTACAGGAAGCATGGTGCTGGCATCTGCTTGGCTTCTGATGATACCCCAGGAAGCTTACAATCATGGCGGAAGGTAAAGGGAAAGCTAGCGTGTCACATGGCAGGAGCAGGAACAAGTGAGAGAGGGTGGGAGATGCCACACACACTTTTTTTTTTTTTTTTGAGATGGGTGTTTTTTCACTCTTGTTGCCCAGGCTGGAGTGCAATGGCGTGATCTCAGCTCACCGCAACCTCTGCCTCCCAAGTTCAAGCGATTCTCCTGCCTCAGCCTCCCGAGCAGCTGGGATTACAGGCATGTGCTACCACACCTGGATACCATCCACTTTTAAACAACTAGATCTCATGAGAACTCACTCACTATCACAAGAACAGCACCAAAAGGAGTGTGCTGAACCATTCATGAGAAATCCATGCTCCAACCCAATCACCTCCCCCCAGGCCCCATCTCCAACACTGGGGATCGCAATTCATCATGAGATTTGGGTGGGGATACATATCTGAAATATATCAGTTGCTTATAACAATATCTGAGACTGGGTAATTTATAAGAAAATAAATTTATTTCTTACTGTTCTGGAGGCCGGGAGTTCCATGGTTGAGGGGCTGCCTTTGGTAAGGGCTCCTTGCTGTGGGGACTCTCCGCAGTCTTGAGGGGGTGCAGGGTGTCATACGACACAGGGCTAAGTGTGCTAGGTAGGGTCTTTTTTTTCTTCTTCTTATAAAGCCCCACTTTCATGATAACCCATCAATCCACTAACCCATTAATCTGTTAATCCATCAATGGATTAATCCATTTGCAAGACCAGAGCCCTCATGATCCAGTCACCTCTCAATACTGCCACATTGGGGATTAAATTTTAACATGAGTTTTGGAGGGGCCAAACTTGCAAACCATAGCATTGATCTTCAGGAGACAATTTGAGGCAGGAATTGGCACTCTCTCTATGAAGGGCCAGAAAGCAAATATTTTAGGCTCTGCAGACCACACATGTCTCCATGGTGACCATTGATTCTGCTGCCACAGTGAGAAAGCATCATAGATGTAAATGAATGGGTGTGGACGTGTTCTTATAAAACTGTATTTGACACTGAAGTTTGAAGTTCATGTAATTTTTATGTGTCATGAAGTATTCTTCTTTTGATGGTTTTTCAACCATTTGAAAATGTGAAAACCATTCTTAGCTCGAAACTGCATGCCAACAGAGAGGGGCTGGATTTGGCCCTGAGGAGACATTTGCTGTGCACACTAGAGAAGCTGGGAATGCCTTGCCCGCAGCCCTCCCCAGGCGGCCCTAGCCCCTCATGGGTGGGGTGCTTTCTTCTCAGGTTCCAGACATACAGAGGGCCTCAGTACATGTTCAGAGAACACATGCGTGCTGAACCCTGAGCCTCTCCTGCCTTATCTCTCCCCAACCAGGAGCGATGCACCACCTTTCCCTCAAGCAACCTTCCCTTGTTCTTATTTTGGCCAGCCCCTTCCCTGTGGGCACACATGCAGGCTTTCAGGCTGTCCTGTGGGATCACTGCAGGCTCAGTGGGCTACTCACTTACTGGGCGTATTAGCCTAGGGGAAAACTTTAATTCAATTACATTTTTGCTTGTCTTAACCCAACTGTAGAAACCAAAGTTACACCTGCTCCAGGTAACATTTGCATTTTAGCAAATGTCTTTCAGGCCTTCACATCGGAGCTAGTGGCCAGGCTAATTAAGGGGTACTTTTTGATAGCTTTATCCACCCTTACAAAAATAAGCCGCTGAAGGTAGCTCCTGAGGCGTCTAGAAAGGTAAGCTCTTTTAGCCATTATACTTGGTTCAGTGCTCTTCTACCAACTGGCTGGCAGCAAAGTGAAAATCCAGGTGCTAATTATAGACCATTTCTATTTCTGCTGCCAAGAAATGGCTCATCTTTTCACGCTTCATGATGGGAGTGACGGACAACAAAATATTCCTCTCCAAAATACTGGGGATGGTTGAGCTAAAAGGGTTGAGGTGCAAGGCACATTCTGCCTTTTGCTGTGCTCTCTGCCTTTCTCACCTAAAGTCAGGCCCCTTTGCAACACTTGCTCACCAGCTCAGAAAGAAAGCTCAGAGATGGTGGCGCCAGAGGTTCTAGGAGCAGACTTCACTCTCCCCACAAATCTAACTTCTTGCATCTTCCTCCCTTTCGAAAACCTGGAGCAACTTTTGTCTTTGTCTTGTTGCTATATAGGAGTTAGGGCTCTTTGTTCCAATACTATTTAAGTAAAGCTCCCCGTCCTTGAGAGATAAGTACTTTTTGAACTCTCCAGCATGATGGGTGCAGCGCCCGTTAGTAAGCTTCTGTTGGTTTTTTGTATGTTATTCCAACTTTCGTTTTCAGGATAGTGTCTCAACTAAGAATGTAAAAAGGGAAGGAAAAGAAATTATATTTTCTCCCCTACAAGAGCATGGGCTTTTCTATAGATATTTGGCTAAAAAAAAAACCCAGATAATTCCAGCTGGTGTCCAGGGTCTTTGAAGCATCAGTGACCAAACCTGTGGCAGGTGCATCTAGTGCCGTTTCAACTGTTTCTGATGACCACCCTGTAAGTGTCCTGTGTAAAGGTGGAGGCATTGTCTACATGTGACCAGAGCTCTCACACATGAACGAGCCAGTGTATTGACATGATTCTTATTTATTTCTAAACACCATTATGATTCTCCTAGAGAGAACTGAACGGAGAGCATAGGCAGCATCTACCCAAAGCCACGACACTCTCATCCACTCACGTGGATGGGATTGTGTCTGTATGTGTGTGCTAGGATAGTCCCAGCTCTC
Organism: Homo sapiens; assembly: GCF_000001405.40. Taxonomy (NCBI): domain Eukaryota; kingdom Metazoa; phylum Chordata; class Mammalia; order Primates; family Hominidae; genus Homo; species Homo sapiens. Next base: position 27,691,709 of record NC_000015.10, on the reverse strand, counting down.
TGCCTTTTAACTCAGGGGCCAAAAGTGTTTCATTCATCAGGTGAGAAAGTGCCAAATCCTTGAAACAAGGTACACCCATGGCCAATTTCCAGACATTTGTTTAATGGGATGCTCTCTGTTCCTTTTTACATTAAGTTATTGTTCATGAGTTGTTTGTGTTTCCAGTGTTTGTCAAAGATTTTACTTATATGTAGTCCAATTCCTATTAGAAAGGGGAAGGAATTTGCTCAGGAAAACACCATGGCGATGCTTGGGATGCAGATGAGCTACAATGGCACGGTCAGCCACAGAGGAGGTCAGCCACGGAGGAGGTCAGCCATGAAAGAGGTCAGCACATAGGAGGTCAGCCACAGAGGAGGTCAGCCACAGAGGAGGTCAGCACAGAGGAGGTCAGCCACAGAGGAGCTCAGCCACATAGGAGGTTAGTGACAGAGGAGGTCAGCCGCAGAGGAGGTCAGCACAGAGGAGGTCATCCACAGAGGAGGTCATCCACAGAGAAGGTCAGCCACAGAGGAGGCAAATATATTTCTAGGGGAGGAGGGGATTGCAGAATTAATTTATTCTGTAATAAATCAGAAATTGGAGACAGTGGAAGAGAGGGAGGAAGAGAAAGAGATGATTAAGAGAGTTGAAATGGCATTTAGAAGAAGTGTGACCAGTGTGTAACATAGAAGAAGTATGACCAGTGTGTGATTTAATAGGTATCCCCAGCTCCCAGATCTGCTGTAAAGTATAAAAATTGACTACATACATCAAGGATTTAGGTGATTTTTCTTGTGATGGTGAAGGGGAAATTAAATAAAATCAAAGGAAAGGACAGCATTCCACACCTGGTGAGATAGAGCACAGAAGAGGCAGTGTGTGGTCGAGAACTCGGAGGGAGTTAGTGGGAGGGGAAACTGCAAGCTGGGTGTGTGCCTGGCATCTAAAGGTGGAGGGAAAGAGGCCCAGATTCCAGGTGCTGGCCGAGGATCACAGCAGAGCTGGCATTAGCAATCCACAGGTGTGTTGGGAAGAGTGGTGACATCTTTCCCCTGCAGCGGGAGTGGGCCAAGGAACCCACTGCCTGTCTTCCACTCCCAGGCAGAGGCTGGGCATTTGCTGGGCTGCGCTTTGGGAGCCCCTCTCTGCTGTGAGCTTCCTGACATCACTGCATGAGAAATGTCATCCGTCTCTTCTGGAGGAGTTAGGCTTGGCTGTCTGAAACCATCCTCCCCGACAGGAGGCAGCATTACTATTGGGATGGGCCGGGACTGGGCTTGTTTCCTTCCTGCCTCCCCAGCTTCCTTGCTCTCAGGCCCCATTCTCCAGGCTGCTGTCTTGCAGCTGGTCCAGGCCAGGGTATTGCCCAAGGTTGGCAGGGGATCAGCTGTCTCTATGGGACCCTAGGCACAGGTGTGCAGCCAGCACACCTCTATCCATGTCCCTACCCAAGGCTTGCTCACCTGGGACAGGTCTGTCCTTCCCCAAGTCTGTGAGAATTAAGAAATCTCCTAAACAAGAAAAATTCATCTTGGCTAGAGGAAGAGGAATCTGCACACCTGAGCAAGCATTCTAACTATCTGAGGGGGTAAAGCACGGATGAAATGACCAACTGCTATTCCAAATCCACAGAAAAGGTAGGGCAAATGAGTCCAAAGGCCTGAAAGAACAAGCCCCAGGGCAGAATGTGTTGACCAGAAAAGTAATTTTGTACTAAGGGAAGGCCTAGAGATCCTTTAGAACAAAGAAGAAGAACAATTGCCGTAGTATGTTCTAAGACGAAGATGTGAAAGTCTTGAGTATTGGAGGGCACTTTGCAAGGGCAGGGTTGTCAGTTTCAGTGTGGTCCTCATGGCAGGAGATGGCCAGAGGAGAAGACTCACAGAACACAGAGCAAGCGCCATGCAGGCACGGAGACTGCACACACTACAGCCCCCCACGGAGGACATCTCCCTTGCTTCCTAGCTGGGACATGATTCCTGCAGACTGGAAATATTTTCAAGAAACTTAAGGAGTAACATATGAATGTTGAAAAGGCTGCATCTTTGAATAGCTCCAGGTGACATGTGCAGTTGCAACTTACATTTTCTGGTAAGTTACAGGAACCCAGATTGTATCGTGCCTCCATATTCTGTCTGTATTGTTTTAGGGTTAGTGCAGCCCGAGGCCATCATGAGGCGGATTCCTGGGATTCACTTGGTTGTTTATTTTATTCACTGGCACTGAATCCCACTTAAATGCATAAAATCATCTTGAAACCTAACTCTCCTTTCCTCAAGCACTCCAGTGAATTTTTCTACTTAAAATTCATGAAGTAAGAATGAAAATGGTGCATTGCGTATTGGGAGTGCTCACTGAAGTCTGAGTGGACACTTGTAGTCAAGCCAGAGAAAAATTGGGAAGACAACGCTGTGACCATTGTGGATGGGAAGCCAACCTATCAGTCAATATAAGATTGGCAATGCTGCGGCAACAAGCAACCCAAACCCAGTGGCTCCATGGGGAAAACAAAAGGCATTTCTCACCCAAACAAAAGTTGTGTTGGGTTTGTGTGACTCTCTAAGATGCTGTTATCTCTGCAGTGATTCAGTGACCCTGTTATGACATTATCCGGAACATATGCCTTCCTCAGTCAATATGGTTGGCAAGAGATGGCATGGACTTGCAATCTCTATAGTTGGCAAGAACTATGCAGAAATGATGCACAGTACTTCGGCTCACACCTTATCTGTCAAAGCAAATCATATGACACAACAGAGTCTAAAAGAGGGAAAGAAGAAGAGCCTTGGCGTGTGCCTGGTGAGCATTACCTGATGCTGGTGAGCATTAGTGATGCCTACTGCACCTCGATAATACAGAGTCATGCTTGGGTGTAAAATGCCATGCAATCCTGATACCACTGTGTGAACTTAGGTCACTTCAGTTCCTAGGATGCTGAGCAGTATATTGAAGTGGGCAAGTCCTAAACTCGGATTGAAGTAGACGAAGGAAAAGTGATGGCTCCATCATCTATATTAACTGAGAGACTTCAGGCAAGTTACTTAACTTCTCTAGGCTTCCATTTCTAAAATATGTAATAAGGATGATAAAAATAGCATTTGCTCCTGAGGGTTCTCATGATGCTTAAATGAGATGGCGTGTAATGCCAGCCCCACTACCTTCACCCATCTAGCCCCAGGTCTCTGTATAGAGTGATGCAGCTGGTTAGGCTCTAGCCCAGTGATTTGTATTTCACATCTGTTACTTGAGAGACCCGAACTCTAGGAAGAACCAGAAATAAATTCTGAAAAAGGACCTTCATACTGGAAAATAGCAGGTGGCTTTTCTAGCTGGGAAATACATAGACAAATAGAACCACAATGGAAGATCACTGGGACAGTCTTGGAATCTTAGACTGTGAACCCCTGAAGGACAAGCTTGTATCCTTAGTATCTACAGGAGTGTCTGGAACTGGGAGGCCCATATCTGCCTCTGCCCTCGAGTCCCTCTCTGGACCTACTCTGCCTTCTCATTCTCCTGTTGACCCAAGTGTTAACCAGGAAACTTAATTTAATACCACTAGATGCTGACCATAAAGATAGCTGGTTTCTATTCTTCTAATGTGGAACCTGAATTTTGCTCACCAACCAGTCATTGCTTATGGCAGCTATAAACACTTAAAGCTTTTCACACACGGCAAATTCACCCATTTCCAAGGTGTTTATATGGACACCACGACATGCCAGGTGTGGGCTAGGGGCTCATGACATGGAGCAAAATCAATGACCCCACCTCACGGAATTCACAGCCTGGGGGAGGAAGCAGGTGTTTAAATAGAGGATAATACAGACAGAGATTGAGAAATTGTAACTATGATTCTCCAGTCTCCAGAACTGTAAGCAACACATTTCCGTTGCTTATAAGCTGCCCAGCTTATGGAATTTCGTTATAGGAACCCGAATGGACACAAGACACATATAACACTAGATACAGTGTGATTTGATTCAGTAGCATCTAGATTCTTCTGATCAGGCATGCCTGATAATGCACCTGTACATCCTGTAAACTGTTTCTGACAATGAGCCTTTAATTCACACATATGCACGTGTTTACAAATTATAAACATATGCTATTGTGACCAGATTTCTCATAAGCAGGAATGTCCCACTGAGTGAGTGGTCTTACCTCCCTGGGATCCAGCACTCCACTCTGGAGAACACTCCCCTAATAGTGTCCTGCCCAACTCCGTGTTATTAAACTAGATGGGAGGGGAGGGCATCTGCAGGGATTCTCTGGAAAAGAGGCAGAAGTTGGATTTCTCTCTGTGATTCCTGGGCTGGCCAGAAAAGGAAGGACAAGTAGACTCAATGGTCAGTAATGGCCAAAGACCAAAGTTCAGGGATGTATGTGAGGTCCAAGACCATGCTTCTGGCCAGATGGGAATGTGGTGGAGGTCCACACTGGTCATGCTGTGTGCTGAGAGCCCTGGGCTCTGTGGAGAGCAATGGGGTGGCCAGGCAGGGGGTGGCCAGCTCCCTGCACTCTTCCCATCAAAACAGTGTGTATCGATTTTACCTGTCGAACGTCTGCATTTGATGCAGTTCTCCCTGGCCAGACACAGTCTAAAGCCCCCGCCCCAGCTCTTGCGGCTGCCCCTGTCCACACCCCCTCCAGCCTCCCAAACTCCTCCAAGTCACGCCCACCTCACGAACACTTTGAGGTGTTTGAGTGAATTGACTGAACCTGCACCCATGCCAGGTAGGTCTATTGATCACTCCAGTTTTACTATTCCAAGCTCAACGCATCTGGCACACTGGACCAGGGGTAGGAGGGTCAGAGGGAAGCCCAGGTCCTCGTGCTCTTCCAGGGAGAGCGGGGCTGGGTGGCAGGCCTGGCCTCACAGCACCCTCCACGCTGGCAGGACCTGGCCACACCCCGTGTACTGGAAATTCACTGTAAGGGCCAAAGGAAAACTTCTGCCCTCTGAAGGTTTTCTGAAAATCAACTCACAAAAGACAGATTAGTAGAAGCAAAGATCTACAAAATTTTAACATGTACAGCATGGGGAGTCTCAGGAGAATGATCCCCCAGTAACCCAGCATGCTGCAGGAACCTATTTACCTTTTCTTATAGGGGAAGGGAAGCTGGGGGAATGAATAGGCGCAATACTCAGACAATGACTCATAAGAACGAGGGTTGTTTTATGCAGATAAATTCCTTCAGTTAGACTCTAAGAGCTTCCTTCGGGAGAATAGATGGTTAAGTCTGTCTAGGAGCAGGGAGGACTCCCAGTCTCTTCTCCTTTGATGGTTGATCTTTCTAGGTTATTTGATAAATCCCTAGGGAGGGGGTTTAAGACAATTGCATTGTTTGGAAAGAAGCTTTTTTGGTCAAATAAAGAAATTGCAGAGGGAGGCCCTCCCTGTGCTTAGGGATGGAGGACCAGACAAGGTTAGAGGGACTTTGGTTCTGAGGCAGCTTCTAAGGCCTCTCAGTGTCAAAGCACTGGTCCTCAGGGAATCACTTTCTCAGCCCAACACTGCCTTGGTGGATATCCTAGCTCTGCTTCTCAGTAACTTTCTAGCATCTCACAGTTTATGACCGGCTATGAGTGGCCTCTGAAAACACATTGAAAGTGCATAGAGAAGCCCCTCAAAGCCACCTGCAGTGGACGCTCCACTGCGTGCCAGTCTTAGGTGTCGCTGCAGAAAAGCACAAGAACTTGAGAGCCCTGTACGCTGACAAGAGTGATTTTCCTCCTGGAATAAAGGATTTCTTACCGAGAGCTAGCAGGGCGATGTGAGAAAGCACTATCTGCCAGGTTTGACAGCTAGGTAATTTCAAATTGGAATTTCAGATTTGGCCTTCACTTGTCTTTCCTTTGAAATTTCCATTGCATTTCCCAGACATTTATTGAGTCCACTTGTCAGCTTGGGTGAAAAATACTGCCTACCCATCACTTTCTGATTTTTCCTTTCAGCCAAGACTGAATGCCACTAATGGGCCATTACCTGAAGGTACCGTGAAGGGCGAGCTTGTCCTTGGGAAATAAACCTCTGGTGTGAATTATTCCACTTGCATCTGACCAGCGTCAACACTGATGGCCTGTGGAGTGGGTAGGTTTGTATCCACTCAACAGCCTAATTACATTCCATAAATGTTGGTAACCTTTCCTTTGCTATCTCCGCAAATGTAAGTATCTGTAGTTCCTGTTTCTCTTTTCAGCCTACAGAATATTATTATTTTTTCCCTTTCTTTACAAGCAAGAGCACAAATGAATTTACTAGAGCTGACTGGCTCCAGTTCCTTTGGAACAAATGCTAAGCATAACAGGATCAGACATAAGGAAAAAAATTTAAAAGGATGTTTGATAGAAATATTTTCAAAATTATGCTGTAAAAACCTAGGTGGAGTTCATAGTTATGGATATAATTTTGTCTGTAGAGGACAGGATCAAGTTTTACAGATGTGTTGATGAAAAGATTAAAACTCAGTAAAATTGAAGAGATGTATTCTAAGCCAAATATGAGTGACCTGTGGCCTGTGATACAGCCCTCAGGAGATGTTGAGAACACGTGCCCAAGGTGGTCAGGTTACAGCTCGGTTTTATATGCTTTAAAGAGACATAAAGCATCAGTCAGTACATGCAAGGTGTATATCGATTTGGTCTGAAAAGGCCGGAAAACCGGAAGTGGAGGATTCCAGGTCATAGGTAGATTCAAAGATTTTCTGATTGGCAGTTGGTTGAAACAGTTAAATTATTGTCTAAAGACTTAGAATCAATAGAAAGGAATGTCTGGGTCAAGATAAGGGGTTGTGGAGACCAAGGGTTTATCACGCAGATGAAGCCTCCAGGTAGCAGACTTCAGAGAGAGTAGATTGTGAATGTTTCTTATCAGACTTAAAGAGTCTGTCCTATCAGTAGTTCAAAAAAGGAGGAGGGTATAATGAGGCATGTCTGGCTTCCCCTTCCCCTTATGACCTGAACTAGTTTTTCAGGTTAACTTTGGAATGCCCTTGGCTGAGAAGAGGGGTCTGTTCCTATCGGGTGGCTTAGAATTTTATTTTTGGTTTACAGATGGGACTTAAACATATATACAGAAAATTGGTCTAGCATATGACTGTTTACTCCAATGTCACCTTTATTACATCTCATGCAACAGGACCTTCTTTTGCAGAGCCTAAGCTCAGTCCACAGCAGGGCATGCTGCATGATGCTTGGAAGCTGGGGGGTGTTGATTTCAAAGCTGCTTCCAGGAGAAAAACCACTTTTATGGGACAGAGTGTGAGTATTAGGGGAAAGATGGGTGGAAGTAGGCACAAAGAAGAAGACAGGCAGGCATAGGATACAGGTGAGGGCTTCGCAGATGCACGTCAACCAGGTGCAAAGCTGGTGAACTTTGTACAGGTCTGCCAGCTGAGGCCAGGGAGTTACAGGGAGTTAAATGTGGGGACACAGGTGTACACACGGGTTTATGTTCTAAACCTGAGTTTCTTGCAGGTAACAGTTTCTATGAATATGCTAGCACTTGGGAAAAACAGGAGGTCATGGTGGATTATATTTGTAGCCAGAATTTCTTGCAAGTAATTTAGTTTCTAAGAATACGTGCATTAACTTTGAAATAAAAACTGGGGATACAGATGAATATCATATACTAAGAAAACCTCAGGAATGAGAATTTTTATCTCTTTTCTTCCGTAGGTCCACCTGCTGTTCTTTCTCAGAGCAGATGTCAAAGCATCAAAACGAGCAATGTTGCGTTAGTTGGGGGTGGTTTGCACCTTCTAAACTGCCTCGCTTCCGCCTTTCCACCACCTCTTTCTAAAGCCTCCCTCCCCTCACACAAATAGCTGGCTTGGTAGTTGATAAGTAAAAAACTTGTAGTTACCTTGAAATTCATAAAGCAGAGGTGTCAGAGTTTACAAAAGACCATAAAACATATGGAAAATTCCTTTGATTCTTGGGACTTGTTATGCTCTATGAAGTTACCTGGAACACTGCATTGGCCCATACTGAACTATTGCTTCTTAGAGAAACACAGGGTCTGGTGCCTGCAAGTCTTTGGTCACAGAATTTTGTCAAGCAGTCAATGCATAACCGTTTTTGAGTGTGTTTCTATGGAAAGACACTATATTTAACCTAGAGATACTGTTGATTCATTAAGATTGAGCTCGCCTCCAACAGCGCTATAACTTGTGCCTGCATGAAGCTTGTCTGACACTTGTATTTTTTCCATGAGGCACATACCAGGCTTGAACTTAGGAACGCTAGCCAGCACTTCATCCCTATGTTTGGGGCCATTTTAAACAGAAAAATCACTACCAAAAAGCACAAAAGTGCGAGAAACAGGGCACCACACAGACCATGGAAAAGACATTTGTTTACAGCAGGAGACAAGAAAGCAGGCCTTGCGCTGCCTCAGCTGGGAACTTGCCCACTAGGCAATTCAAATTCTTTGCCACTTTGTGTGTGTCCTCAGAAGACTGTGAAAGTGCTGCCAGCATTGATTTTTGGGGCTACAAACACATCCTAGTGAGCAGGCCAATTTGCAAATATGGAGTCTGAATATAGTGCATATGACTATATTTATTACTTGCTACCTTAGTCTGAGCTGCTATGACAAAATACTGCTATAACAAAATACCTGAGGCTGGGTAATTTGCAAGAACAGAAATGTATCTCTCACAGCTCTGGGGGCTGTAAAGTCTGAGAAGCAGGTGCTGGAAGGTTTGGTGTCTGGTGAGGGCTGCTTCATCGATGGCCTCCTCTCTCAGCTGCATCCTCACAGGCTGGAAGGTGGAGGGGCAGAAAGGGCCTAAGCTGGTTCCCTCCAGCTCTTTCTAAAAAATAAGATGCTAACACACGCAGGGCTTAAAACCTAGATGGCAGGTTGATAGGTATAGCAAACCACTGTGGTACATGTATACCTATGTAACAAACCTGCACGTTCAGCACATGTACCTCAGAACTTAAAAGAAAAAATAATAAGGTGCTAATCCATGTTTGATGGTAGAATATTCAAGACTTAATCACTTCCCCAAAAGCCCCACTTCTTAATACCGCCATGATAGGAATTAAGTTTCAACCTGACTGATGGAGGGGACACCATCACTGAAACCAAAGCACTTGCTAACAACTGATCTTCCCAAAGAGTTTCCAAGAATGTAAGTTCTCTCAAGTGAGATACTCAACGCAAGGTAGTATTTTACTTTGGATGGGGTGGCCTATTTTCATCTCTTTTTCAGATTAGCAAATTCTATTTTAGCTCTCATAATTTGAATGGGAGCTGATCCCTCCCAGGGTCTCAGTGATTCAGCCTCTTTGCCGCACACTCATATTTCTGGCCTGAAATTCTTTTGAGGTTGAAGCGGATAGACTAGGTTTCCTCTCTTTTGATTGAAGGATGGAAAGGCTGATGACACACAGGCCAGGTGACAGCAGAGCAGCTCAGCACAAGGGCCGAGGCTGGCTGCAGCTCTGACGGGCATGTTCTGGACTTCAGCAAGTATGGAACCTCCCTGTGCCTCAGTTTATACACTTGTAAATGGGTGGATAATAATGGCACTGTCAATCAGGAATCCAGACTCAGGTAAGGAGAGACTTTATCCAAAAGGACCAATGCCATTGAGGGAGGGGCTGTTGCTGTGGGGGATGCTTCGTCCATCAGACCTGCAAGTGTGGCAAAGGCCAGAAAGAAAGGGATTTTCTTTAATAGGAAGGGGTAGGTATGGCTGGAAAGAACAGGATATGGTGGGAGGAGTGAGAGGGTGTTGTGATCCCACAATCGAGCAGGAAATGTTCTCAGTGGGCATGAAGGAGGGTGGTTCTGCCTCTGTGCCTAGGACAGAATCCTGACTACAGTTGGCCAAGTCAAATTATTGGACATTTTGTCCAGATTGGTGAGTGGGGACATAGTCCAGCTAATCATTTATGAGGGTCTTATCCCAGATAAACAAAGGGGCATTTGAGAGTCTCAGTGAAGTCACATGGGGAAGGGTAGATCTTTGCAGTAAGCCAGTTCCTGGGAACAAAAGGATGAGGGAGAGGCCAGGGGACTTCTTAACCATGAGGTTTCTAGGAGCGCAGAGAAAATTCAAACTTGTCATTGCCTACCTTAAAGGGATGTTTAGAGGATTTAAAATGGATACATGCAAAATGTTCATATTTCTAGGATATATTAAATTGATATAAGTGCTAGCTCTTATTATTATTGCTATAATACTAAGAAGCAAAGGCATGCGTAGATGAGCAATTCCGACGGGAGCAGTGCAGCGGGTGGGAGGAGGGGACCCTCCCTGGGGGCTGTGGCTCAGACACGTGGGTGAGCAAATGCACAACCCTGGGACATGCTGGGATGTCATGAGAACTCACTAATGGTCATCTGTAAAAAGGTGCTTTGTGAATAGACTCCACTAGACGGGCACTGCTCACTAGAATATTAGCAAATCCATTGCAACGAGCTCACTGCTGGGGTCCTGTCTCTTGTCTACCCGCCCGGCCAAAACAGCCCCTACTGCCCCCTGGCGGCAAGCCTGTGTACGAGGTGTGGGGAGGGGAAGCCACAACAGGTAGCAGTTGGGTCAGGGCACCTACAAGTCATTTTTATTCTTAAAGCTCATTTAAAGCATTTATGGTGTTCATTAAAATATATTTTGACAGCCTGGGCAACATAGCGAGACTTCATCTCTAATAAAAATAAAAAAAATTAACTCGATGTGGTGGTGCACGCCTATAGTCCCAGCTGCTCAGGAGGCTGAGGAAGGAGGATCACTTGAGCCTGGGGATTTGAAGCTTCAGTGAACTATGATCAGGCCACTGCGCTCCAGCCTGGGTAACAGAGCAAGATGCTCTCACCCCACCACCTCTCTCTCTCTCTTCTCTTTATATATATATGTGTGTATATATATATATGTGTGTGTGTGTGTGTGTATGTATGTGTATATATATATATATATATATATAGGCTCAAATTGGAGAAGAAAGTGCTAGAAATCCACACCACTTTCTTCTAATGGCATTGCATTTTGAGAGAGAATAGACCAGACACCTAGACTTTAGCAACATTCTCAAAGAACAAGCCATGGAAAGGCTGTGTGCGGAGGAGAAAGGACTTCTGTTTGGGTTATATTAGTCTATTAGAGGTCTGAGCACTGAACTTATAAAAACCTGACTTTTGAACTGAAAAAAAGGGAGCTTTTATCCATTCACTTCCACAAAAGTATTGCCTAGGGTAATCTATGCAATTCCTGCAGGATAAAGATTAGCCTGTAGGCCCAATTATCATAAATTCCTATTACCCCAACAGAAATGTGTTGAGTGCCTATTTTGCAGGCAAAACGTCTTCCCTTCTCTCCCTGGTGCTGCGTTCAGCACAGAACAACCGCATTTGGCAGCTTCACTCCGACAGAGGCCAGTGGCTCCTTAGAGAGCTGAGGTGTTCCGGAGGCGCGTGCACCAAGCTTCTGCTATTCACGCTCCTTGGTTCCTCGGAAAGAGAGCGTTCGGTTGGAGGAATCAGTGTGCTTTTTGCTTATTGACAGCCTTTCTTCTCTTCTGAATCACTATTTGAACTGAAGGTCATTGGAAGACATGCTTTTGGGAGGGATATTTGTTTGGAAAAACAGACATAGCTCAAACCCTGCAGGCTCTCTGAATCTTTTGGTCTTTGATGAGCGGGTGGCCTGCCAGGCAGCGGGTGTTCTGGCTGCTGTGTTTGTGCCATTTGTATTTGATCAGCTGCTGGGGCACTTCTCCCTCTGACTGTGTGTGCGTGGGGCAGCTCGATTGCTGTTTGGTGTGCCGGGCTCATGGTCTCTTGCCCTCTTGTCTTCTTTTTATAAGCAATTAGATAATCAGAGAGGATAGACGGATAGACTCCTCCCCTGAAAAGCTGGCTGTGTTCCCAGGCATCGGGTGAAAGGCTTGTCTTTGGCTGCCGACCCCCACCCCCCACCCCTTCCTGACTCTTCCCTTTGCTTCTCCCCAGCACATATGGATCTTCTCAGGAGGCCCTTCTCACCCAGGACAAACATAATCTAAATAAGAAAACCCACATCCCTTGACGGCTCTGGTGCTATAGAATTCATACTTTTATCTTTGCCATCTGTCTTACCTCTCAGGGTCTCAGTTTCATCATCCATAAAATAGGAATAATAGTAACAATAACCACTTCTTAGGGATGTTATGCTGATTTAATAAGATAGTGTAAGGAAAGGGCTTAGAAAAGAGTAAGCCCCCACTAAATGCTGGCTGATCACATTATCAGCGAAAGCAGTGCACCCCAGGAAGGCTTTCAGTCTCAAAGTGGACTGCTGCAGAGACATGGCCCCTTGATCTCTATCTCTGCTGGCGGGGCTGCAGGCCTTAGGTCAGAGGCCATGTTGAGGAGGGGGACAGAATCCCTGTCCTGCCACCCTCTTAAAACACCGCACACCTGGCCTCGCAGAGAGAGGGACATTGAAAAAGAGATTGTGAATATAAATTGCAGGTCAGGTGTTCCCCCAATATTTAGTGTCCATCCAAGTAATTGGGAGTTTTTTTTTTTTTTTAAATAGAAAGGCACAAACTCCTGGCCACAACCCCTGCTGCAGACGGAGGGAGTCTGGGGCCCCAGGAGGATCCGGATGCTGGTGCTGTCGGCTGTGGAGAGAAAAGACATGCTTGAGGAGAACTGTGCCCTGTCTATGGCTCAGCCTTCCAGGGTATCTAATTCTGGTTCTAAGGGAACTGTTTCACAACTTGCTAAGGTGCAGACAACTGACAGCAATGCAGAGAGATGACTCCATTGCAGCCAGGTGAGCTCAGTCCTGTGGAGGCTCTGCTGGCTACCTCCTCACGGCGGAAGGGCCCAGCGTGGTTCCATCTGCACATTCCCCTACCTATTCCAGACCTACACACGCATGGGTTGTCTGATTCTCCTTCCTTGTAACTAGTTGTAAGATCTTACTAGTTCTCTCATTGATAATGAATTAAATAAATTTCTTAACATGTTTTATTTGATGAATGTATGTGAATCATGATGTAGCCTTTTATGAAAGTTAATTTCTAACCATGCCCTGGCAACCCAGCTCAGGGTGTCAGCACTTGGCCTTCGTGGACACACCAGAACAGGTCTGTTTGAAGCTGTCACTTTGTGGATCAGTAAAGAATTCAGGAGAGAGTCCTGCTGTTGGTCAAGCGTGCTGATCCCCAGTCTCTGGGGCGCCAGCGTTCTGTAGCTCAGCAGCTGGGATATCCTCCTATTCAAGGTGTACATCTAAGTGCACAGAGAGGAGGGAGGAGAAGATGAGGACCGCAGAAGACAGCCAGCATCGAACTGCTGAAATACACCCAGCTTCACAGCAGGAGAGTCCATGCGGCTGGACTGACCCCTGACCTGAATTCAGTTCCAAAACACATGGCTTCTGTAAGATTGAGGAAAAGCCACCAACAGTTTGGGGTGTTCAGAGGATTAAACATTTTAATGAGTCTTGTCTTCTTGGTGGGCTGCTGGGAAGCTTGGCGAGTGGCTTCCCAGGATTCCCCAGCCAGGTCAGGGTGGGTTGTGATGAAGCTTAGAGGCCAGGATTCCTGCTCCCTGGCTGAGACCCCCAAAAGTCTCCAAGGTGAGGAGGATCCTGGGTTCACAGTGGAAGTTAGTGGAAGAAGGTTTGTGAGGAGAGTGTGGGCTTTGGAGCTGGGCCTTTGGCTGAGCCTTCAGCCTGAGTGTCTGCGGGCTCCTGTTTCGCGTGGGTGCTGTCCCTCTCTCGTGGGCATGTGATGATCAGTACCACTCCCAGAGCACACGGGTATGAAGTGTGTACGGCCAGCATGACTGTGGACAGGACCTACCTGACGAGGAAGCTAGTGAGTGGGGACTCCCCGACTCTGACCTTAACCTTAGATAGGCTGTTCTTCACAGGGGAGGAGACCCGGCATGGGTAACCACCACCCAACAGCAGAGGGCAGGAGGATCAAACTGCTTCCAGCAACGTGTGTCCAAAGAGGCTGCAGGAGAGGACACTGAGGCTCAGGGCAATTTGTTTGCCTGATTGTGAGATGTCGCTTGTTGATTTAAGACCCCATTCAAAAGTCATGTTTGGAATGGCTCTTGTCAATGCACAGGACATTGGGGAATCATGAAAAAGAACTGAGCTGAGAAAAATGTCAGGCTAAGAGAAAGTGGAGGAAGACAAACAAGAAGAATCCAGGGAGATGCTGATTGCACCTTAAGGGTTACCTCTGTGTGTTGGAGCGGACACAGGCTGGTGCAGACTCTGGTTCCCAGATCCATCACAGAGCCCATGAAGCAGAAGCAGAGGGGCATGTTGGCAGGTGCGAGGTGGGGCGGTGCTGAGCTGCCCAGGCTCCTCACGGTCAACCCCTCCCCGTCTAGGTAGGAGGTGGGATGCCCCAGGGCAGGGGGAGGTAGGAGTCATCCTAGGAGATTCTAGCGAGCCCATGAGCAGCTCTCCACAGCCCAGGCACAACGACCCTACAGGTGCTTTCATGTTCTTCTTCAAGCCACAAGATAAACACACAAGGCTTCTCAGAGTGCTGGGCAGGTCTCAGGCCTTGCGGGGCTGGAGGGAGCTGGAGTGGTGGGGTCTGGGGTCCACAGTGGCTGGAAGTAGCAGCTCAGGAACCTTCAGAAACCCTGGGAAGGGCAGCTGGCCACACAGAGCCAGCAGGTGTCCTTGGCATTTGCCTTACATTCTGGGAGAACAAAGGGCTGCGTCTTAATCCGGTGGGGAACTCAAGTGACAGGTTATCCCTGTCCAGCCTCTCTGTCCTAAGGGAGCATGTTCAGCATGAGTGACCCAGGACTCTGGGAACAGCTGGAATTCCATCCTCAGTCTCTGCTGGTCCTGGACCGAGGCCTGTCACCAGGTCACCAGGCCTCAGTGTCCAGGGTTGGGGCATCCCTGAGGAGGGTGGCCCTGAGTCAGCAGGTGTGCCGCAGTGCCTTCCGGGGCACTCAGCACTGAGAAGACGGACGGGCTCTGCAGGCACATCACCTGGAACTTGGCAAGGGAGCACTACAAGGGTTTGCGGTCAGCATGGATGTTGCTCTACTACTTCACTTAGCATTTGATGAGCGTATAGAATCCCCAACCCTTAGTGCTGGAAGCACCTTCAACAAATACAATTCCAACGTGCTCCCTTTGTGCATGAGGCTGGGAGCAGGCACAGGACTCTGTCAGCTGCTGGAGGACCGCTCTGAGCGTGTGCTGCCAGACTGCCTACTCAGAACCATGCAGGTCTTGTTCTAAAAATGATGGTCCCAGAATGCTGAAGAGTAATGATCTCAGGGACAGGGCTTTCCCTGTGTAAGTATGAGCAGCTTTTCTAAGTGTTTGGAGACCTGCTATTGCATCCTTACAGAGCTCTATCATGTATGGGGAGCAGGGGTATATAACTGATGAATTTTACAATTTAGCAAACTCAGAGGAAAATAACAATTATTGCTATTTACTAAGCGAGTGCTAGGTGTCCGGGACAGTTGTAGCACATTGTACTTTTTATTTATTTATTTTTATTTTTAGTTGAGATGTAATAATTGTACGTGTCTCTGGGGTGCATGGTGACGTTTCTATGCGTGTATACAATATGTAGTGATCAATGTGTAGTAATTAGCACATCCATCCCCTCGAACATTTTATCACTGCTTTGTGTTGTGAACATTCAAAAATCCTCGATTCTAGCTTTCAAAAATTTATAATAAATTATAATTAACCAAGTTCACCCTCCAGTGGTGCAGAGCAGCAGGACTCATGCCTTCCATCTGGCTGTGATTTGTATTTGTTAAGCAGCCTCTCCCACCCTCCCAGCTGTATTTATTATTTCTTATCCTCACACGGAAGCAGAACAGTGGGTACTATTTCCCTGGCTTGCACTGCCCTGCTTCACACCTATCCATGAGAAGTCCAGGCCTCCAGCAGCCATGGAATACGACTGCTCCCATTCACACGGTGCTGGGAATGAGGCATGAGGCACAGGCCAGGTTAGCCTCGAGGACTGGAACACGCAGCTCACACGTGGCCGAATCCGGAGCAAGCTCAGATGTTCATGTCACCTCTCAAGGTGTCTGTGACTTGTCAAGTTAGTGACAAAAGACCTGGGGCCCACAGCAACAAAAATACCCATTCTTGATGTAAATTCTACAGGGATCCCATGAGCCATGCAAACCCCTGACATATGCAAATGCAATTTAATAACAAACTCTGTTTGTCCTTTGTAAAAGATTCAGAAATGGAAAATGACCTTACTTCTCTACAAGTGAAGTCATAAGTGTGCATGGTCCTCTATTTGCTGAATGGTAATAAAATACATCTTCATCCTAAAGGCCTAGCCACTGCACAGTCTTTTCTGTGAATCCTGATGATTAAGCTTGGAGCCAAAACCCATTTGAGGACAGTCACACTTTGTCTTTGTTTTCCAAAGGGATAAAGCTTATTTGTGGAAACAGACCTTGATCCATTTATCCAGACTGCAGGCTACACAATTACTTTTCAGGTTGGAACGTTGTCTGTAAAGTGTTCTTAGAATTCTTCTCTGTCTCTATGTCGTGCTCTTGCGCATGTGCCTAGGAAGTGTGGTGGGAGACTGGCTGATGCGGTGCTGGAGAAGCAGCCATTGACAGTTCTCAGGGTATCACAGGCAGTGCCAGGACCAAGGGGCTCATGTGGAAGGAAGATGCTGTGGACTCTGTCAGGTACTTGGTACCACAATAATGCTGTGAGCCTGCCACCACCAAACCTCGGGCAGTTAACAACGTTTACTTTTCCCCTGCGTCTGAGGCCAGCCGAGTTCGGGATCTGCAGGTTGGGCTGGGCAGATGCATGTTCGAGCTTCTGCCACATCCATCTGCAAACATCTCATGGCCCAAAGTCATGGCCTGGAGCGGGCTCTGCTGTGCCCACAGAGGGGGAAGAGGAAAGGAAGGATGTGACAAAGGGTGTCTTAGACCATTCAACCTGCTATATCAGAACACCATAGATGGGGCTTCTTATAAACACCTGACATTTATTTCTCACAGTTCTGGAGGCTGGGAAGTCCTGCATCAGGGTGCCAGCCAGCAGACCTGGTATCTGGTGAGGGCCCATTTCATGGTTCCTAGAAAAGCTGCCTCCTCATGGCAGAAGGGCCAAGGCCACGCTCCTGCGACCTCTTTTATAAGGGCACTAATCCCCATTCATGAGGACACTAATCCTACCCTCAGGACCCATCACCTCCAAGTGGCCCCACTTCCTAACGCCATCAACTTGGGGGTTAAGATTTCCACATAGGAATTTTGCAGAGACACAAACATTCCATCCATGGCAAAGGGGAACCACAATCCACCGTGGCAGCAGGTTAAGCCCAAGGCAGAGGCATCTTAGAAAGTGTGTGCGGAGTCGGCTGACCACAAGTGATCAGAGGGAATGGGCAGCCGGGTTAACGCTGAGAACGGGCACCTGGCTGAGCATGGGGCTCTGCTTCACTCACTCAAGCACCAAGGCGGCCATCAGGGCTGGTCTCTGATGAACTCGGTTTCTCTGCCAAGGGAAAGGGCATCAAGATGACTTCTCAGTTCAAAAATAAAAAGCTTACACCTATTTTTTAGGCCAGAGGTTAGCAACATTTGCTTAAGTGGCTGGACAGAAAATATTTTAGGCCTTGTGGGCCAGCTGGTTTCTGCTGCCAGTGCCCAGGCGCTGTTGTCCCTTGTAAGCACCCATGGATGGTGCAGATACACATGCGTGTGACTGTATGCTGGCAAACTGCATGTACAGAAACAGGCGTCAGCCCGTGAGCCTGGTCTTAGTGACCTCTGTTCAGACCCAAAGATTTCAGAAGTAGGTCAAGCATGATGGCTCACGCCTGTAGTTCCAGCACTTTGGGAGGCCGAAGTGGGAGGATAACTTGAGCTCAGGAGTTTGAGACCAACCTGACAAACATAGTGAGACCTTGTCTCTGCAAAAAATTTTAAAAAGTAGCCAGGCATCGTGGCACTTGCCTGTAAGTCCCAGCTACTTACGAGGTTGAGGTAAGAGGATTGCCTGAACCTGGGAGGTTGGGGCTGTAGTGAGCTGTGATGACACCACTGCACTCCAGCCTGGGTGACAGAGTGAGACCCTGTCTCAAAAGGAAAAAAAAGGCTTCAGAAAAATGTACCTCTCCGACTGGGGGCAGGGGTAGCTCAGTAAGATCCTCCAAGCAGAGAAAGTGGAGGAAGATTCAAAGCCTGGAGAGTTCGGACTCTTGGGGGGATGGGCTCCTCTCCTGCCCCCAGGAGAGAGTCAAGGGTGATTTAGTTATGCCTAGGGTCTGGAAGCAGCGTGGGCCTTCAGAGCTGAAGACCTGCAGAGAGTCCCTCAGGGGAAGTGGACGCAGGTGATTAATGACAGCCACACATCTCTGAGAGAAGACATGTTGCAGCAAACAGGTGGGAGAGTCTCTTCCCCTCTGAGGTGGAGGCCTGGAAACACCCAGAAGGAAAGAAAGACCGACAATCTGGAATGTAAGCAGAAGCCTGAAAACACCCCAGTGTCCATGTAGCCCTGGAGGCGGTTTGATTGTTCCTCGTCACTGTTATTATTTACCATTTGATGGATGAGAAGATTGAAATAGAAACGACCTTTAATTACAGGAATGCGACTTATCATTTTTTTTTTTTTTTTTGCAAACAGGTATAGCTCTGTAAGTCTTATGAACCACAATGCCACCTGTTGATTGGAAAAGGGTGATCATGGGAGAGGGGAGGCTCATTTTAAGCGGTATCTCCAGGCTTCCACAGAGAAATGTCACCTTTCCGTGTGTTGAGTAAGCCTATGAGAAGGTTGGTGCATTCTGCATTGGGTGGGAAGATGTGTCTTTTCCCTGCATGTGCTGAGGAGGCCTCTGGGATGGGTAGATGGGCTGTCCGTGCAGTACAGGATCACCAGTGCATATGCGTGTATGTGCATGCATGTGCATGTGCATGTGTGTGTTTGTGCATGTGTGTGCATGCATGTGCATGTGTGTGTGTGGGCATGCATGTGCATGTGTGTGTATGGGCGTGCATGTGCATGTGTGTGGGGGCATGCATGTGCATGTGTGTGTTTGTGCATGTGTGTGTGTTTATGCATCTGTGTGCATGTGCATGCATGTGCATGCGTGTGCGTGTATGGGCATGCATGTGCATATGTGTGTGTGCGTGCGTGTGCATGTGCACGTGAGCACATGACCATGTGCTCTATTCAGTTTAGTATTTGCTCTATTCTTATTCTCTGACTTCCAGGAGAGCCCTGTACTTCCTCCATATGCACCCCCACGTACTCTCCCTCACTCTCAGCCTCGAGAAAGGTGAGCGATACTGGTCTGTCATGAAGGTTACCTGGATGAGAAACCGAATATACAAAGTGACAGGGCTGGACTATGTATAACAGTCCAGCTCTACAACCTCTGCAGCAACCAGGCCGGAAAGCCAGCCACAGCCTCTGCAGTCAGCAGCCAAGAACAGTCAGGGCTCTATTCACAACCGCCAGCTTCCCTGATTTTTGTACCCCACCCCCAACTCAGGACCTACTGGAGAAAGCCTGCCAATCGCACAGATGCCTGCTTCTAGCGGGCTGCCTCCAGCTTCCCCACACCAACAGCCCCCACTCGGGGTGCACCGGAATCCCTCCTTCTCTTTTTTCACAATTTGCCTTCCCACTCCTCTGCTTGCCTTTGAGTCTCTGACAAATGCAGGTGCTGAAGGCTGCTTCCCTTGGTCTCGAAAGCGCTGAATAAATAGCCTCTGCTTGTTCCATTTGGGTGGACTTTGTTTATTTCCACAAAAGGAACCACATGTTAGGGCTCTGGCCAGCAGCTGAAGGCGTGGGAGCCCAGGAAGGATGGGGCTGTCACTGTCCATCTCTCGCTGCTCTTTCTCTCATGCTTTTGGTTTGGGAAGTCGTGCACCAGGGATTTGGCTACCAAAAATTTGCAGAAAACTCTCTAATAAATAAATAGTCCTAATCACTGGTGATGCAACTATTGATAATGTAATACACCATGGAGCACATTTTCTATCTGTGTTTTTATTTTTTATCTATGTATCAAAATGTATTTTACGTTTTCATTTCTGATCATTTTTAGCCAGTCATGTATGATGATATTTGTAACATTGAGAAGATGAAACATCCTACTGCTATCAACCAATGACTGGCTGGAACAGCTGGAGTGCAGAGTTGAGATTCCTCATGTCTCTGGAATCAGAGACACCGAGCCCCGAGTCCTGGCCTGGCAGCTCACTGGGAGTGAGACCATGGGCATATTTCTTACCCTCTGCAATCCTGCATCCTCCTCGGTAAATATGCTTATAAAGTATACCTCCCTTGTGTGGTATTTATAAGAATTAACTAAAAATAGAGTGGGTAATACATAAAAAACTCATAATGTAGCAACAGCAGGTATTAGTTGCAGTTGTTATTATTATTATCATTGCCCTTGTGTTTGCAAAGAGTTGACTTAGTCATGGATGACTTCCCTGTGCTACTATGAAATGATGCTCTTTGTTTTTTTGTTTGTATTTTCTATGTGATGCAATTTTGGGATTTGTTTTTAGATGGTCTCAAGACCAATAATATCAAGAAGTTTTATGATTTGCAAAGCTGAAAATGGTTTTAGGCACATTTGGCAGTAATTGTTCCCCTCTGGAGTGTCTGGAGGTTACAGGGGGTGATGATGTCCCGCAGGGACTTTGGGGCAGCTCTTCCAAGATCTTCGCCCCACCCAGGTTCTGATGTGCAGATTCACCCTGCTTAGGGGAAGAAGAGTGAGACGGCTCAGTCCAAGCTGCTGCCTGCTTTTTGTGGACACACAATGCTGGCATGTTGTGGGGTCACTTGTCTGTGTCCTGAGGAGCCACGTAAGTCTGGAAAACACTGGCATGCTCTGGGCAGGAACTGGCCTTCCTCACAGTCCGTGTATGCTGGCAGCGCATTTCCTTAGAAGGTCAGTGGAAGAAAATGAACCAGAATCCCATAAAGCCTTATAGCTGCAAATAGCTCTTTTAGTTGAGAACACACGCTGGCTTGGAACGAGTCCCTGACACAGTCTATTCTCTGGGCCTTTCCCGTGACCCTCCACTGTTGACTTTGCCATTAATTATCTGGCTGAAGTACTGATGGTCTGTTTTCTCCACTATAAGGGTAATCTTACCCACTCAATTTCTGTACTGTAATCTTTGCAAGGGCGTCACTGTGTGTGGCCCACATTTAAGGGTGGGGAGTTAGGTTCCACGTGCTTGAGGGTGGAACAGCTACATAAATTATTGGGAACTTTCCTGCATAGGAAATTTGTCTTTTCTCCACCGTTAATTAATCTGTGTAATCCTTCATATCACTATGGCTCCTGGATATTTATTTTAAATATAATCCAACACCATTTTGTTGCTCAAATTGTTCCAGCTTTGGCCATTAAGAGCTCTCTTCCAGTTAGCTACTGTGTAGCTTTGACATAACTTCATCTTTTTTTTTTTTTTAAGTCTTTTAAAACTTTCTAGGGCTGCAAGGTGCTCCAGGCTCATTTGTACATTTCCTGCTCCAGGCCTATGGTCAGCCATTTTCCAAGGAGCCCTGGTTCCTTTTACTGGAGAACGCGATTAGAAACCAAGGTCTGGGCACTAGTTATGCTCATTCCTACTTAGGTGTCATTGACTCTGAGCCTTCTCAGCTGACAGAACAAGGGAATGTATGTGCACATACTAACCACATGCACACACACATTTATACACACTTTTGTAGCCGTTGGTATCTATACTGAAGTAAACACGAATTCATACTGATGTCGGTGACTCAAATCTGTTCCTACCCACATGGGTCATTCCAGGCTCCCCGCTGCTTATTGGTAACCTCCCTGCTCCACCCTCTGTCATCCATTTACTCAACTGCTCAGTGCAGTAGACATGTGCAGCAGAACTGCCAGCCTTTCATGCCAGTGAGTCAGTCCATAGTCCATCGCTTGTTTCCATAACCACGTGCCCCAGCGCTCTGTTTCTCCATATCCAGGACTCCATACAGCCCGACAAATTTCAAAAGAGGGCAGAGCATTATCAATACAACTACCTTCCAGGTCAGAAATGCGCTGATGAAAACCTCACGGTTCTTGGCAGTGGCAGTGGCCACTGCTTTCTATTTTGCTGAAAGTTTTCCCAAAGTAGTGATGCCAGTTTTTGGTGGCGCCCAGCACATATGAACAGCATCAGAGATTCATGTGGTGGAGACAGAATAGCTAATGAAGCAGTGTTCTGAGACATACAGAAGCCACCCAGAACAAAGAAGATGGAGTGAGAATAATTTGCTCAAATGACCAGGGTGTGTAAGTGTCCTGGGTCCTCAGTACATGTTGAATTGGCTGTAACAAGCCATCATTCAGAAAATTGCCACAAATATATCTTCTTTCCTTTTGAACCACTGTCCTCTCCATGTTTCACTTTTCTTTCAACAACTCTATCATTAATTCACAATTAATAAGATGGAATTTTTTAAACAAAATTGTAAGCCTATTAAAATCCATTTTTCTGGTAAGACGGTGCCTCAGTGAAATTATCATTTTGGAGGCTGTCAACCAAGGTGAGCTTCTTATGCAATGTCTCATGTCTGTGCCCAAGTCAGAACGTACTGCCTTCATCAGAGGACAATGGGGACCTGCTCGTGTAAATCCCATTGTTGGGGATCAAGGAGGGGTTCCTCAGTGTCGAGAGCAGCTCCAGGGAAACCACATCCCACTTAAGTCAGAGGAGAGTTGGTGAGGGCTGCAGAGCAAGTGATGACAAGCACTTTCCACAGTCAGTCCCCGTCCAGAGAGATGGCTGGCTAGAATCATAATGCTGATTCAAGGAGGATATTTAGATTTTCTCACTTACTTGATGGAGGACTGAGGTGAGGACTATGAATGGTCAGAATGTCACTTATTCCATACTAAAGGGCACATTACTCTTTTTGGATCAGTTAAGCACCCATTGTAGCTTATTCTGTGAACATTTACCCTCCTCGCTTGATTGAATTCTGCCCTTCCATGCGCTGGGTCACTACTCTGTGGTCTCACTCTGGTAATGAAGGGGGAATGCAACGGAAACTGCCTTTTGGGCTCTGTCATGCATCTCATCTCCCTTGGGAAAATCTGACTTTCCTTGATTACGCTGGGGCTGCCCACAGTGCCACACCCCACTTGGTCACACTGATCAGGGTGCTCCATTTCTATGGCCAACACGACCCAAGCCAGCCCAATCACAGTCTTGATAGTTTTCAAACTTAAGAGAGTGAAAATGGGCTTTGTCTTTAGGATCATCCTAAATTGGAGGCTGCTTGTGGCCACTGTGCCTGTGGAAGGAAAAAAAGCTAAGAGGGAATCTTAACAGAGAGAAGGAGAAATGAGAGTGAGCATCTTGGTAGGTTTGGGTCTCATTGGTTTGGGATGGTTGCTCCAGGAGAATCAGTGCTAGTTGCAAGTTCTCTACAAACTCTTCCCTTTAGCTTTGCTGATCTTGGCAATTAGGTCTTAAGCAAGTAGGGTTTTATTGTGACATTGTTTAATTATACATTTATACATATATGTATATATATATATACACACACACATATACATCTATACACACACAATCTGGAAACCATTTTTATTCATAGTATTAGACAAACAATGGATGACACCTGCGGTGTGCCAGGCACTGTGCGAGGCCCCAGGGGTGCAGTGATAAGGGAAGTATACAGAGTTTCTGCCCTTACAGAACTTATAAAGACCAGTGGGGGGCACGTTTTTAATTATAAAATCAACCCAACTACATAGCTCAAATACAAATTGTGTTTAGTGCTTGTGGTCTATTTACCTCAAAAGAAGTGTGTTCAGAGAAGTGTCTGTGAGTATGGATCTTATTTGGTGCTTCCAACCTGGAGTGAAAACACATCTGCAGTAATGACTTTGTGTTATGTTATCTTTATTTTCATGGTGTCTTTTAAAACTATCCATTGCTTGTTCTGAATACAAGCATGAATTAAATTCTAATGAATACTGACAACTATTTATTAAGGTTTTACTATGGCTTAAATTATATAACTATTCAGGGAGAAGATGCTTAGTATAAAATATTGAGTCAGGCAAAATTCTAATCCATATGATCTAATGAAATGAACATAAGTTTGCTATCCTCATTTTAATCAGTATCTTCTCTCCTGATTTTTTTCACATAGAAACGTTCATTACACTTACCACTTGTTTCTCATGGGTAGAATGCTGGGACAAAGATGTGACTTAGATCTCACAGACATGAGAATCATAGCTATTATTTACTTGTTATTATTCTTTAGCCATAAGCTACAACTAGTTATTTTTTAAGCTCATCTTGAATGTGCAAACCCAGTGTATACAGTGAGTAGTCACATAAGTTCTGTAATTCACCCGTACGATAATTTAATTTGTTTTAATACATGGCTACAGTCTACACTATGTCAGACCTTGTGCTGGTTGCTGTTGTTACACTTTGGAAACAGCCATATCTTCGGTTTTGGAAGACTAGTGGGGAAGGCAGCTGGTGATCTCGTCACGATAGATGAGATGAGAAGTGTGACATCCTGCCGGGGCATATTCCAGGTGGACAGCACTAGTGAAGGGAGCACACGAAGCCCTTGGAAATCGGAAGGCTGAAGCAAAAGCTTGGACTGAGAGTAGGAGGTAGGTAGCTAAGAATCAGGAAAAGACATTTTGTTAGAATAAACCTCTTTGTGAAGATCCATGGCTAGGGTTAGGGGGAAAGACAGTTGCCATAGCTGCGACAGACGAAAGGTGTGGAAGAGAGAAAGCTGAAGGGAGGCACTGGCCTTTGGGTCTGAGCTGAGTTAAAGATGTTAGATTCATCTTAAAAGCACATGCAGGGAGTTGATATCCTATATTCATTATCATATATGCATTCTAATTATATAATACATATAATTATATATAATTTTGAGTGTATATAATTTTTAGCTCCTCAGCTATGATCTCTTGACCATAACAATGGCAACAAGCAGTGTCTGACTGTGTTGAGGGTGTGTGAGGCTGAGGCTGAAACTGGATGGTGCCCACAGGGGATGGAAAACAGGCTTGGTTTCAAGGGAAAGTTATGAAAAGGGACCCACAGGGCAGGGAATTGTAGGGAGAGTAAAGGGTGACACCCATCTTTCTGGTGTCGGATGTGAGTAGGTGTATATGTATATATACACACATATATGTGTATAAGTGTACACATATGCAAAATCTGGACTTGCCAGCCTCCATAATTGTGAGTCAGTTCCTTAAAATAAATCTATATCTACATATCTATACCTATGCATATCTGTAGGTATCATATACATACATATGCGTAAGTATGTGTAAACATATACATATATATGTATATATACACACATGCCTGCATATATATGTGTGTAGATAGGTAGATAGATTTACTTTAAGAAATTAGCTCATGCACCTGTGGGGGCTGTTAAGTCCAAATTTTGAAAGGCAGGCTGGAGACCCAAGGATGAATGGATGCTTTGGCTCAGTCTGAAGGTAGACTGGAGGCAGAATTCCTTTTTCCTCGGAGGACCTCAGTCTGTTTCGTCTTAAGGCTTTCAGTTGATTGGATGAGGCCCATCCACATTACGGAAGGGAATCTGCTTTACT
Source organism: Homo sapiens (assembly GCF_000001405.40). Classification (NCBI taxonomy): domain Eukaryota; kingdom Metazoa; phylum Chordata; class Mammalia; order Primates; family Hominidae; genus Homo; species Homo sapiens. The sequence continues at coordinate 27,666,124 of NC_000015.10, read as the reverse complement.
CAAAGTTACAAATTTAAATGTTAGTCTCATCTAAAAAACACCTTTTCAGTGATATCTAGGCTACTGTTTGACCAAATATCTGGGCTCCATTGCCCAGATGGACTGCTGTGGTTTGGAAGTCCAGCTCAGGCCCCACTCCTGGAAACCAGCAGGGATCTCTCCTTGGCCAGTCCGGGATGAGCCTCAGGAGAGCATTTGAGATGCCAAACAGAGGGAAAAGTCACTACCACACCCTCTCGGATGAAAGACGGTCTGAGGAAGTAGAAAGATACTTCTTACACCTGGGGCCATTCAGTAGCAGACATTCAGATGTCTGATGACTGCAGCATCAGAGGGAACATGAAGACTTTGAAATAATGTCAAAGGGAAGGAAATGAAAAATAATGAAGGCCCTCTTCAAACAGAGTTAGGAGAAAGCAATAGTAATCATTACGGAAAATCAATTAGTCATCTGTTCGCTGTGTAAAATATAAAACACATTTATGTGGGAGACATGTATTACACATTCACATGCACATGCTCAGATAAGGAGTTTGTTTTGTTTAAAATAATGCTACCTTATAGTTACAGCAAGTTTAGATTTAATTGCTCTGTTTGGTACCGAACTCAGCTTGCATTCTGGTCAGCACTGCCTCTGAAGCTGCATTCCGGTGAGTTATGTGATGAAGTTACGTTAAAATGAATTTATTTGTTAGAATAAAATCTATCTAGCTATGAAGAAATATTTAGTTTGTGGAAGCAAATAATTTTACCGCATAGCATAGGGGGAGGTCACACAGACATTTTTTTTTTCTTATGCTCCCTGAAAAAGGGAGTAATCAGTAAAAACCCACAGCAAAAACACACCAGCCACAGATGAAGGCCAGGCGGATGTGGCCGGCAGCTTGCTGATGCTTATGTTTTTTCTGTTTTGCAGGAAGGAAGTTGCTTGTTATTTTGAATAAGCAAGCTTCATGAATAAAATGCTGACCTACTGTCTGCTCTCCACACTGCTACACTGGTTAGCACACTGTAATTGCAAAACACTTTGCTAGAGCCTTTTGCCGAATTTCCCTCAAAAGAGGCAAGTTTTGATTTTTTTTTTTTTTTGTCAAGCATATACCCTCCGATTTAGCTGTTCACCATCTTTGTAATCTACTGGGACTGTGATGTAACCTCTGGCATCTAAGATTCTTCAGGCTTGTTAATAACCACCAGCTACAGCTGAGAGAAAAGCAAGAATGCAAGGTTTGGATAGATAATGGCAGTGGAAGGAAGGAGCTGGGAAGATAATTAAAACAATGACATTCTAAGGTAGCTGAAGTTTCCCTTTTATTGAAAATATTTGAGAATCTTTAGGATCTCCAATTTTCTGCTCTCAGTAATTTTTCTCAACAAATTATTCCACTACTGCCTCACGGAAGCATAAACCACTGTCTCCAGTGCTTGGAGAAATCACAAAATTTCAAAAAACAGCCACAATCATTGTTTTCAAAAAATGTATGTTAAAATTAATTTATAGTTAAGTTTACTTTTTACCCTTTATATCAGAAGAGGCCATTTATTATTTATTTATTTCAGAATTATTTCTTTCCTATTTTTATTGTATGTATTTATCATGTACAACATGATGTTTTGAAGTAAGTATACATTGTGGAATGGCTAAATCAAGCTAAGCATATGCATTACCTCACATACTTATCTTTTTTTTGTGGTGAGAACACTTAACATCTACTCTCATGTTTGAGTTCCTTATGTATGTTAGATATTAACTCCTTATCAGATATAGTTTGAAAATACTTTCTACCTTTTGTTGTCTGTGTTGGCAATTTTCAAGAATACAATACATTGTTATTAACTATAGTCATCACATTGTACAATCGGGTCTCTTGAATTTATTCCTTCTGTCTAACTGAAATTTTGTATCCTTTGACCAACATCTCTCTAATCCCATTCTACTCTCTACATCTATGAGTTCAGCTTTGTCTATTATACACACAAGTGAGATCGTGTAGTGTTTGCCTTTCTCTTCCTGGCTTATTTCAATCCTGCAGTTCCATCCATGTTGTCACAAATGATAAGATTTTCTTCTTTATAAAGGCTGTATAGTTCTTCATCATGTAGATGCACCACATTTTAAAAAATCCTTTCATCCATTGGTGGACACTGAGATTATTTCCATATCTTGGTTTGGAACAGGAATTAAAGGAAATTAAAGAATGTGTAAGCAGAAACTCAGCTGCATGTAAGAAAACCCAGTTCCCCCCCAGAAAAAGAAAGAGCTGGAGTCCTTTAAAAATTAACTGCCTGTTTTTCTGTGGCTAGTGAGCCTTATCTCTCCTCCTTTCCCAGGCATTGTGAAGACCCTGTTTCTCTAGCTGTGCAGCTGCAAGGTCACTCGACAGATAAACTCAAGTTGTAAAACATGTTTTTCCTTGAAAAGTAAGAAATGATGTAATGGATGTCTCAATTAATTGAATAACTGTCTTTGTTTCTCGCTCCTGTAATATGCTTCCTCCTGCACAGATCTCCCCCTGCCCCACGAAATGCTTAAAAGGTAACTTAACTTTTTGTTCAGGGCTCAGTCCCTTGGATGTTAAACCAACTGGGCCGGTGCACCTAAATAATAAATATCCCCCTGAACCTCATCAGTCTCTCTGATTCCTTGTCAATCCCACTACAGGTTATTGTGAACAATACTAAAATCAACATGGAATTGTAGACATCTCTTCAACATACTGATGTCAATTCCTTTGGATATATACCAGTCGTGGGATTGTTGGATCATATGGTAGTTCTATTTTTAATTGTTGAAGAAACTTCATACTGTTTTCTATAACAGTTGTACTAATTTATGTTCCCACCAACAGTATGCAAAGGTTCCCTTTTCTCTATATACTTGACAGTGACAGAGCAGGGGCACTGTCATCTTGGACAAACACTGTCACTTTAAGTTCCAGCTCCATTTTTAGCCTCATGAATTTCAAGGAAATCACTTCTCTTCTAACAGCAAGCAGCCAGAAAGAGAGACAGTAAAACACAGATAAGACAGCTGGAGCACAGAGGGAGAGGGGAAAGTCTTTTGAGTAACTGCCAAACTTCACACTCATACAATGGGCCCCAGTAAAACAGTGGGCCCTAATAAGCACATTCCTTTCCCTTTAGGTGCACTAAGATAGGAAAGCCAAAATCAGACTTGGAGGGTATGCCTGTAGCTTCAGGAAGATGTATGGGAACAGACAAAAACTCTCTCTCCAAGATAAGTATGACAAAGAGGCACAGAAACAGTCCAAGCCTCTGATAAGCTCTCCTGCCCTGAACCCTTAAAAACTCTTAGTCTGTAAGAGAGAGTGCCTCTGACCTAACTAGGCCAGAAGCCCCTCTCAGGTTGATTCTTCAAAATAAAGCTGCCTTTGACTGTTAAGCCACTATTTGTGTTTCTTTCCTCTTTCTTTAGTTCTTACAGACAGCACTGGTTGTCTTCCCTTTTTAAAATAATAGAAAATGTAACAAGTGTGAGGTGATATCTCATTATGGTTTCAATTTGCATTTCTCTGAAGATTAGTGATGTTGATCATTTTTTCAAATACTTTTTGGCCATTTGTATGTCTTCTTTTAAGAAATGTCTATTCAGATCCTTTGCCACTTTTAAAAAATCAGGTTATTTGTTTTCTTGCTATTGAGTTGTTTGAGTCTCTTATGTATTTTGGATATTAACTCCTTATCGGATATGGTTTGGAAATACTTTCTCCCTTTTGTTTTCTATTCTCCTTATGGTTTTCTCTTCACTATTGTTTCCTTGGTTCTGCAGAAGATTTTTAGTTTGATGTAATCCCACTTGTCTATTTCACTTCATTGCCTGTGCTTTGGGGTCAAATAAAAAAACAATCATCATGCAGACCAATGTTGTGTAGCTTTCTGTCTATGTTTTCTTCTAGTGGTTTTAAAGCTTCAGGTCTTATGTTTAAGTCTTTAGTCCATTTTGAGTTGATTTGTATATAGTGTGAAACAAGTGTCTAATTTCATTCTTCTGCATGTAGATATCCAGTTTTCCCAACACCATTTATTGAAGAGACTGTCCTTTCCCCACTGTATGTTTGCAACAGTTTTGCCAGAAATTAATAATTAATTGCCTGTAAATGTGTGGATTTATTTCTGGGCTCTCCCATTCTGTTTCATTTATCTATGTTTCTGTGTGTGTGTGTGTGTGTGTGTGTGTGTGTGTGTGTTCTTTTTTTGTGACAAGGTTTTGCTCTGTTGCTCAGGCTAGAATGCGGTGGCTGAATAACGGCTCACTGTAGCCTCAACCTCCCAGACTCAGCTGATCCTCCTGCCTCAGCCTCCTGAGTAGCTGGGACTACAGGTGCACACTGTCATACCTGGCTTTTGTGTCTGTTTTTATACCAGTACCATGCTGTTTTGATTACTATAGTTTCATAGCATACTTTGAAGTAGGTGGTGTGATGTCTCTAGCTTTGATCTATTTGCTCAAGATTTCTTTGGCTGTTCAGGATATTTTGTGGTTCCATAAGATTTTTAGGATTTTTTCTATTTCTGTAATAAATATCATTAGAATTTTAATAAAGATCGCACTGAATCTGTAGATTGCTTTGGATAGTATAGGCATTTTGCCAATATACATTATTCCAATCCGTGAACATGGAATATTCTTTCATTTATTTGTGTCTTCTAGAAGAAGCCATTTAGATTTTTTAAAAGTTGGACTGTTTCGAAATGTTGAGTTTAAGTAAAATGGCTTTATATGCAGGCTATAGGAATATTTGCAAATAAAAGCCACATAATTTACTTGTAATAACCAACTTGGATATTATCTGCTGTAGATGCTAGGAATGGCCTACACAGTGTCAGTGACCAAGGGCAGAAGCAGGACCAAGGGGAGAAGATGAGCTCCAGGCTTTTTGTCATATGAGTCCATAAGAGGGAGGGCAATGAAATTAAGCTGCTAAGATTGTGGAAAAATGAAGAACTCAAAACAATCTAACTTACATTGTGAATACACAAATGTGTTGAAAACTGATCGTATACACAGAGTTTAAATATGTTTCCCATTAAAGTTAGATTAGTTCATGTCAACCAATGCTCATTGACATCACTCTTCCAGGTAAGGCACTTAAATCCAGGAGGAGCACAGTGCAGCATGTCCCAGCTCCAGCCTTTGCAGATCCTGAGTCTGTCTGTGGGAGGGAGTGGGGCATTAATGGAATCTAACATTAGTCAGCAGCTGCTGCCCTTTGAGGATGGCCTGAAAATTGTACCAGTTCCTCCTATGTCAGCAAGAGAGGTTAGAAAACCATCTAGACAGAGGCAGGGTGCTGGGGTGTGTGTGTGTGTGTGTGTGTGTGTGTGTGTGTCTGCTCAAGTCTTGGCTGGCTTAGAAAGCATTGTCTTTTTGTTGGCATGAGGAGTGTGGGGAGGAGGGCAAGTGAGGGAAATTGACCAAAAAGAACCCAGAGTTTTTTGGAGAAAAAGGCTTACATTGGAGACTCCAGTTCTCTCATATAAAAATCCACATTAGGAAACCCCGTGAGAGAGGATCCCTGGTGGTTTTAAAGGGATTCTGCTGGCAGGAAAGAAGGGCAAGGCACCTGGAGGGAACGTCCTCCAGAGGGAGGAGAGGCAACATACAGGTGATCACTGGGACCCCCATTCTGAGATTTAGGGAAAAGCGAGGGCAGAATCTGGAGAAGGCAGGGGCAGCTGCTGCAGATGGCCTTCATCTGTGGGGTCAGGAGCACCCTCAATCTAAAAGTTGTCCATCTGGAAAGAGCCATTGTTGCCACCCATGCTGGGGAGTAATGGTCAGCGGGTTGAATTTTTTTCTACCCAGCGGTCATCTCAGTGCAGACTCTAACCAGCTTAGTTCCCTCCCCCGGTGATTCTGGAAGTGCCCACGTCCTTGGAAGTGGTGGCCTTCCTCCTGTGAGTGCACCTCTGTCTTCATTAGCTGCACAGGGATGAGCCCCCTTGGGTGGGTAGGCAATAAAGAAAAAACTAATTACAACTGAGCAATGACTGCTACCATAGTTTGTTGTATATGAATGTAGTTTCCTTAAAAATCCAAAGTTGGAACCATGTTTATTAATTTTGAAAAAAGAGAGCACGTATAATTTTATCCTTAATTGGGTAATTAAGTTCTCACTAACTAAGCAGAGTCTGTCAAGAGGAGATGAGGGATACTTAAATAAATCCTTTGAGAACAACATTAAGAATCACTTTTCGTCTCTGTTCCCATCTCTACTCTTTTGTAAATCTGTTACGATGCTGGTCTGTCTGTGGTGGGAATATCCTCATGTAAAAATCAGACTAATGTACTCATACATTTTTAGGTCACACAATTGAGCGGCATTACTTGGCTCCTTGTCCTAAGAAGACTGCTTTGGGCCTGTGATGTGAGAGGAAACACAGCCTTTCCCTTTAGAAACTTGGATGCGACAGGCCCAATGTAAGTGTGCATGCCTGGAGTTTCCCTAAACAGATGGTACCTTACATGGAGACAGTGTGTAGTCCTGCCTGAGGTACAGAAATCAGGTGTAGGTCACTCTGCTTGCCCTGCAATGACTTTCTCTCTTCCTTTCTCTATTATATTGATAAAGAGAAATACATATATGTGTGTGTACATATATGTGCATATGTATATATGTGTGTATATATTAATATGCATGTGTGAATATAGATACATATACATATGTATATGATACATACACATGTAAATATGTATACATATACACATATGTATATGATACATACACATGTAAATATGTATACATATACACAATATATAAATATATATAAACCCCATGAGAGAGGATCCTAAGTGCTTTTAAAGGGATTCTGCTAGCAGGAAAGGAGGGCAAGGTGTCTGGACGTCTGGAGGGAAAGTCCTCCGGAGGGAGAAGAGGCAGCATACAGGTGATTGCTGGGAGCCCCTATTCTGAGATTCAGGGAAAAGCAAGGGCAGAATCTGGAGAAGGCAGGGGCAGCTGCTGCAGATGGCCTTCATCTGTGGGGTCAGGAGCACCCTCAAGCTAATCTATGTACATATTAATACATATGTGTGAATATATAGATACATGTATACATATGTATATGATACATATACATGTAAATATGTATGCATATACACATATATAAATATATGCACATATGTATCATATACATTATCTACATATACACACATATATTAATATATATGCACACACATATATGAAAGAAGAATATATTTCCTTCTTTCTTTTTTCTTTTTTTTTTGACTATTTTCCAGTTTTCCAGATTACTTGGCTAGCTTGACTGCAGAGGAGAGTTAATTTGTTTGCTTTTCTGGTGGTGAATTGGTTTCTGAGTTGTACCTGTCTTTCTTACTGTTAGACAATAACCATGAAGCCAGACTTCAGACCTCTGGGACTGGGTTGGCCCCCACCCCACTTGCCTAGATGGTTCCAGAATTGCCTGGACCAAGATCAATTCCTTTGTCTCACAGCTGCTTAAACTTGAGAACACCTTTTAGTACCACAAGATATCACTGTTTCTTTATTTCCTTTAGGAAGAATATTTTTAAAATGCTATTTTTCTGCATATTTAATAATGAGAGCCACATAAAAATAAGAATAAGAATGCAAGTAGAGAAGGCACAGAGGGTGGCATAGATTGCGGGGTGGATGCCTGGTCTGGGCTTCACCTGTGCACTCTACCCCTCTGACTGTGAAATAGTGAAGGAGAGGGAGTCGTCCTGGATGAAGCCGTCCATGGTGATGGGATTGTGCCTGCAGGCTACTTAAGGCCCTTGTTTAGAGTGATGAAGAAATTACTTCTAAAAATAGACATACAGGTTGTCAGAATCGGCAATCTACGTTGGAAAGAAATGAAGTGAGAGTCCCGATAAATATTATGAGCAAAACCACATGAATCTTAGAGCTAATCATTGAAATAAAAAACTTTTTGGAAATCGTCTTTTTGGAGATTTTGCCATACTATTGGCTTACAGCCCTTTCATTTTGTTTTGTTTTGTTTCATTTTATTTAAAAATCCATTTATTTTGCTGAGCTGAATACCACGATCTCCTGGTAGAGGTAACAGGGAGAGAAGGGCAGCCTGGGTCTCCTCCGGAGGCAGCCATGGGCGCGTGTTTTAAGCCTGCCGGGGATCTTCTCAGCTCTGCTCCTGCGTTTATGCCGCTGCTTCATCAACAGAGGACATTACATATCGATTCTCTAGTAGGAAATGAGAGGCTTTCGTTTACACCAATGCTACTTTCCTTTACCATTATAAGTTCAGGCAGTCATTAGTGCCCTTAAATCGTAAACACGAACCTCCATGTTTTATCCCAACAGTGCCGAGCATTCTCTACTGGCCTCGTGTGAAAATGGAGAAAGAGGTTCATGCCCTTATTCTTCTTCCATTCCACTTCACATTCACCTCAAGATGAATGTTTATTATATGTTTGTTCTTCTAGACACACATATTTACATCTGCGGTGTTTTGTCAAAGCAAGCCAGATAAGAGCATTCCGACGATTATCACTGTGCAGCTATTGCTAACAGCAGAGCCGGGAGTGCGCCTGGGTTCCAGCTCCTCTCCTGTGGGCCAGGGTCTTGGCGCTTGAGGTGCTGGAAGGAGAATGTTCCAGCCCAGATGGTTTCTTCTTTCACTGCGTCCCATCAATAGCTCACAGTCTAGCAATTTCTAAGTATTTTTTGGCCTTTCGCATTTTCTCTCCTATAACCTGCCTCTGGTTTTTCTTTGGAAATTTTTCTATTGGGTTGATTTATTTTCCTTATTCATGTTATATATTCTTTATGTAACCTGATTGTTACGTATTCCTCGTGCCTCATTAATTATTCATTTTTTAAGAAATCAGACTATTCTTCAAAGACTAGTGGTACTTTCCTTCCTGAAAGTCATACAGATGGTCTTCTCACTTTTCTTCTACATAATTTTTATTTTCATGTTAACTCTGTAATTAATCTGGAATTTACTCTTTAGATGATGTGAGTCAGGAATCTCACTTCATTTTCTCTCCAGATGGGTAGCCAATTTATCTCTATTTACTGAACAATCTTTCCTTCATGATTTTAGATGACATCTTTATCATATTCATATCAAATTCCCGAATTAATCATAATTCTATTTTTGAGCTATCATGTTCCACTGATCTATGTCAATACTGAGAGGTGACAACATGCTGGCAGCCCCCGCAGCCCTCGCTCTCGGCACCTCCTCGGCCTTGGCACCCACTCTGGCCACACTTGAGGAGCCCTCCAGCCCGCGCTGCACTGTGGGAGCCCCTTTCTGGGCTGGCCGAGGCCGGAGCCGGCTCCCTCAGCTTGCAAGGAGGTATGGAGGTAGATGCCTGGGAGGGAACCTGGGCTGCGCGCGGCACTTGCGGGCCAGCGCGAGTTCCGGGTGGGCGTGGGCCCAGCGGCCCTGCACTTGGAGCGGCCAGTGGGCCCACAAGCCCCGGGCAGTGAGGGGGCTTAGCACCTGGGCCAGCAGCTGCTGTGTTCAATTTCTCGCTGGGCCTTAGCTGCCTCCCCATGGGGCAAGGCTCAGGACCTGCAGCCTGCCATGCCCGAGCCACCCCCAACTCTGTGGGCTCCTGTGCTGCCCGAGCCTCCCCAATGAGTGCCGCCCCCTGCTCCGTGGCACCCAGTCCCATCGACCACCCAAGGGCTGAGGAGCGCGGGTGCAGGATGCGGGACTGGCAGGCAGCTCCACCTGTGGCCCAGGTGTGGGATCTACTGGGTGAAGCCAGCTGTGCTTGAGTCTGGTGGGGACTTGGAGAACATTTATGTTCAGCTAAGGGCTTGTAAATACACCAATCAGCACCCTGTGTCTAGCCCAGGGTTTGTGAATGCATCAATGGATACTCGTATCTAGCTACTCTGGTGGGGACTTGGAGAACCTTTATGTCTAGCTAAAGGATTGTAAATACACCAATCGGCACTCTGTATCTAGCTCAAGGTTTGTAAACACACCAATGAGCACCCCGTCTAGCTCAAGGATTGTAAACGCACCAATCAGCACCCTGTCAAAATGGACCAATCAGCTCTCTGTAAAGTGGACCAATTGGCTCTCTGTAAAATGGACCAATCAGCAGAATGTGGGTGGGGCCAGATAAGAGAATAAAAGCAGGCTGCCGGAGCCAGCAGTGGCACACAATTCTGCTCCTCTTTCTCCGTGTGAAAGGTTTGTTCTTTGTTTCTTTGCAATAAATTTGGTTGCTGCTCATTGTTTGGGTCCATGCTGTTTTTATGAGTTGTAACACTCACTGTGAAGGTCTGCAGAAGGTCTGAAGCCAGTGAGACCATGAACCTACCAGAAGGAAGAAACTCTGGAAGCATCTGAACATCAGAGGGAACAAACTAGACACGAATTAAGAGCTGTAACATTCACCATAAGGGTTGGCAGCTTCATTCTTGAAGTCAGTGAGACCAAGAACCCATCAGTTCTGGATGCAGTATTATATTGTTTAATTTGTATAGCTCTGTAATAGATTTCTATATAAGGAAATTAAGTTAGCCTGCTTTGTTTTAATTTTTTATTTTAAATTGACAATTATCTGTACTTGTGGGGCACAATGTGATGTTTTCACTCATGTATAAATTATAGAAATATTTAATCTGGTTAACATATCCATTGTCTTACCCAATTATTACTTGTTGTGGTGAAAATGTTATAAATCTGTTTTAACGAGTTCGAAGTATAGAATACATTATTGCTAGCTGTGGTCACCATGCAATAGATCACTAAAGCTTATTTCTTTAGCATAACTGCAACTTTGTACCCTTTGATCAACATCTTCCTTTTCCCCATTCCATCTCCTCTACCCCAGCTGCTAGTAACTACCTTTCTATTATGTTTCTGCAAGGTCAGCTTTTTTAGATTCCACAAGTGAGATTATACTGTATTTGTCTTTCTGTGCCAAGTTTATTTCACTTAGCATAATTTTTCCAGTTCCATTCATGTTGTTGCAAATGACAGGATTTCCTTCTTTTTGAAGGCTATATGGTAGGCCGTTGTATGCATATACCAGATTTTCTGTATCCATTCATCCGTTGATGGACACTTAGGTTTTTCCACATCTTGTCTATTGTGAATAATGCTGAGATCACCCTGAGAGTGTAGATATCTCTTTGACATGATGATTTCAATTCCTTTGGATATATACTTAAAAGTGGAATTGCTGTATCATATGGTCATTCTATTTTTAGTTTTTTAAGGAACCTCCATGCTATTTTCTAAAATGGCTGCCCTAACTTACATTCCCACCAACAGCGTACAAGGGTTCTGTTTTTAGCATTACCCTGATACCAAATTCAGACAAGGACACTGTAAGAAAAGAAATATACAGGCCAATATTTCTGATGAACACAGATGCAAAATTCCTCAACAGAATACCAGCAAACCCAATTCAATAGCACCTTAAAAAGACTGTTCACCATGGTCATGGGGATTTATTCCAGAGATGCAAGGATGGTTCAACATACATAAGTCAATAAATGTGATACACTGTATTAACAAAATTAAGAACAAAAAACACATGATTATCTTAAAAGATGCAGGAAAAGCATTTGACAAAATTTAATCTTCATTCATGTTAACAACTCTCAAAAAATAGGCATGGAAGGAATTTATCTTAACCCAATAAAAGCCATGTATGACAAGTCCATAGTTAACATAATACTCAATGGCGAAAAGTTGAAAGCTTTTCCTCTAAGATGAGGAAAAAAGCAAGGAAGCCCACTCTTTCCACTTCTCTTCAACACAGTACTGGAAGCCCTAGTGCCGGGCCACTCAAGTAAGAAAAATAAATAAAAGACATTCATACAGGAAAGGAAGAAGTGAAAGTTTCTGTTTGCAGATGACATAATCTTGTGTTTAGAAAACTTTAAGACTCCACCAAAAACTATTAGAACTGATGAACAAATTCATTAAGGTTGCAGGTTAAAAAATCAACATACAAAAATAAGTAGCATTTTTGTACACTAACAATGAACTATCCAAAAATGAACAATCTCATTTACAATAGCATCAAAAAAGATAAAATAGGAATAAACTTAATCAAGAGGGGTGAAAAGTCTGTACAATGAAAATTATAAAATGTTGATGAACAAAATTAAAGAAGACACAAATAAATGGAAAGCTATCCCATGTTTATGAATTGGAAGAATTGACATTGTTAAAATGTTCATACTATCCAAAGCAAGCTGCAGATTCAATGCATTTTTAATAAAAATTCCAATGTCATTTTTCACAGAAATAGGAAAACAGACCATAAAATTTGTATGGAAATAAAAAAGACCCTGAATAGCCAAAGCAATCTTGAACAAAAAGCACAAACCTGCAGGCATATTGTTTTAATTTACAATGTTGGTTTAGCTATTCTAGCACACACTCTATACATATATGTTTTAGAATTAGTTCATCAATTTCCATGAAAGATCCTGTAGGGATTTAACCTGGAGTTGCATTGATTTTGCAGATTAGTTTGGGGAGAAATGACATCTTTCGTCTATATTGCCTCTCCCTGTCCATGAACATAATTGCGTGCTTCATTCACTCAGTTATTCCTAGGTGCCTTCTAGTAAAGTCTTCTAATTTTCTCCATAAAAATTTTCGCATTAGCATATTGAAATTTTGAGAAGAAGAAGAAACAAATGCTAAGAAGTCATTCACAAAATTTATTTTCGTATGCAAGTGGTAACTATGACAATGTAGTAGCTTTGGTCATTTAAGGAAGTGGATTGTTGGGGATTTCTTGAAGGATAATTAGTCTTCAACTTGAGGAGTGAAAATATTTGGTCACTTATAATATGTTACCTAACACCTTCCTATGACAGGGATCACGTTTATTCATTTAAGACAGAAACCTTCCCAGTCTAATGTTGAGGCTGTCCTAAAGTCAGTGTATTACACTTGATAATTTCCATTCACGCTGAATCTAACAAGACTATCTTATTTGTATCTTTTTCACAACAAAGCTTTCCCAAAGAGTGGTCCTATATCTGTTCTTTTCCTTGTTAAAAAATGGAATCCTGTGTGGAATTTTTCTGCTAGGTTTGGTTCCATTTGTGAGATTTTACTTAATAAACTGATAAGCACGTAAGTGCCAGACACTAATTCTAAGTGCTGCAAAATACACGAAAACCCATTTCATCCTTAAAACAAGCCTGGGAGGCAAGTACTTTTATGATCTCCATTTTGCAAGTGTGGCAGCTGAGGGACCAGAGATCCGAGAACTTCTTTGAGGTCACACAGACAGAAAGTGATGAAGTGAAGCCTCACGCAGCAGGCAGGCCACCACCTCTGCGTGCTGCCTCAATCCCTGAAACGCGGCACATAGTGGAGGACATGGTGAAATGCCTGAGAATTTTTTTTTCATTTACAGAATAGAAGAGTATATTGATGCTCTTAGGATTTTGAAACTAGAAGAGATCAAAGCACAGATCCTATGCAGTAGCTTCTTTGTTCTATGGCCAAGGCTGTCATCCCCAAAAGAATGCATGGCTGCCCAAGGGAAACAACGGGATCTATTTGTATTTTATGTAGATTAATTGGATTTTTAAGAAATAATTGGGTAAATGCAATATAATGAAAGTATAACAAGACACATGCTGATAAATGACAGGAACTTTTTAGAACACTATTTATGTTAAAAATGTCAGAAGATGGGATTAATTAAGGGAAATGGCCAAAACTGTTATCATGTGGAGTCTAAGGAAGGTACACCTGGAAAATGACTTTTGTTATAGAGGAGGATATGGAACATATTTAGAAATTATACAAAATATAGATGCTAAGAAGTCAATTAAATATATTTTGTTAATTTTTTCTCAAATGTATTCATTACCTTTGTTTGGATTTTGAAAGAGTATTCTTTTATTTTTGAGTCATATCTTTTTTTAAAAAAACTTAGGGTATGTACAAATGAGTTTCTTTCTATGTCAATCTTAATATATCCCGCAGAAGAAATTTTATATTTAAGAATAACATTGAATGCTGTTTGATTTATTGATTCAGATATTTACTCTGAGGAAGACTGTACCAGGCACTGAACTATAAGAGCCCAAAATGAATTTAGTAAAGAACTTGATGAAATTATATTTGTATGGGTATATGGGTGGTTCTTTTTGGCTTTCATTATTATTTTTAATTGATATATAATAGTTGTACATATGCATGGGGTACAGAGTAATTTTTTTTTTGAGATGGAGTCTCACTCTGTCACCCAGGCTGGAGTGCAGTGGCACAATCTTGGCTCACTGCAACCTCTGCCTCCTGAGTTGAAGCAATTCTCCTGCCTCAGTCTCCTGAGTAGCTGGGATTACAGGCACATGCCGTCACACCTGGCTAATTTTTGAATTTTTTTTTTTTTTTTTTTAGTAGAGATGGGGTTTTCCCATGTTGGCCAGGCTGATCTTGAACTCCTGACCTCAGGTGATCCACCTGCCTTGGCCTCCTCCCCAAAGGCTGGGATTACAGGAGTGAGCCACTACGCCCAGCCCCAGAGTAATATTTTGACACGTGTGTACAGTGTGTAATGATCAAATCACAGTAAACAGTACTTCCATCACCTTGAACATTCATCATTTATGTGTATTGGGAATATTCAAAATCCTCTCTTCTATTTGAAAAAAGTCAATCAATTGTTGATTATAGTCACCCTCTAGTGCTCTAGAACACTAGCAATGATTCTTCCTATCTGTGCTTTTGAACTCATTAACTAAACAAAGGATATTGTTTATACATCAGCTTTTATCACCTATTAAGATTATAATGATTAACATAATTTACAAATTACATAACATTGAAAATCAATGGCCTGAGGCTCCTAAATATATGTACATAGTCTATCATATAATGTGATTTTAAAAAGAAAATCATATTTCAGCTATCACTATATATATATAAAACTTACACTCATTTAAAAAAACTATTATCAATTAATTTTCTCTATTTTATATTATAAAATGTATCATGTTTTTAATTGTGGTAAAATATACATAAGATTTACTACCTGAACCATTTGTAAGTGTACAGATGAGTGACAAGTGACATTAAGTGCATTCACAGTGTTGTGCAGTGCCACTGCCATCCACCTCCAGAACTCTGATCATCCTGAGCTGAAACTCTGTACCCATTCAACAACTCCCTGTCTCCTCCCCTGCCAGCTTCTGGCAATCACCATTCCACTTTCTGTATGTATGAATTTGACTGTTCTAGGTACCTCATATAAGCATACAGTATTTGTCTTTTTGTGACTGGCTTATTTCACTTTGCATAATGTCCTTAGCATAAAACATAAAACATACCATTCACGGTATAACATGTTTCAGGATTTCCTTCCTTTTTAAGGCTAAATAACATTCCATTGTCTGTTATGCCACATTTTGTTTATCTATTTATCTGTTAATGGACATTTGGGTTGCTTCCATCTTTTGGCTACTGTGAATAATGCTAATATTGGAACCATCCTTATAAGCTTTATTAAGTTAATACGGGAAGAAGAGGAATGGGGGGGGTCATGTAGGGGAACGAGAATAAACCCAGCTGGCAGCATACTCAGCATCAATCACTAGGTCAGCTGCTTTCTGACCTGCTTCCTTATAGCTGTTTACTGCCTGTTGCCCCAGAATCATATAGACCCTGTAACAAAATTACCATTCCCCTTAACTGCTCTATAAATAACTTGAACATTATGAAATGCTAAGTTTTCCCTTTGAGGGCATTCCTTTGGGTCTTTCATACAGATGAAACTACTGATGCCAGCTGGTCTGAAGGGCCCCATGGGAGCTCACTCACCAAAAAAAATGCAGTTTCTGCATCCTGATGATTTCATTCTCCTTACCCCAACCAATTAATGACCCCAATTTTCCAGCCCCTTGCCCTCCATGATCCCCTTAAAAACCCTAGCGCAGAACTCCTCAATGAGACAGATTTGAGGGTCCTTCCTGTCTCCTCACTCAGCCTCCCTATGATCATTAAACTCTTTCTCTGCTGCAAACCCTGCTCTCTCGGTGTATTGGTGTCTTACTGTGCAGTGGGCATATGGGCCTGTTGGTCCTGTAACAATATGAAGACTGGTGTACAAATGTTTCTTTAGGCCCCTACTTTTGTGTCTTTTGGGTATATACCTAGAAGTGGAATTGCTGGATCATAAGATAATTCTCTTTTTAATTTTTTTTGGAACCACCATACTGCTTTTCATGGCTGCTGCTCCATTTTACATTCCCACAAACAATGCATGAGGATTCCAATTTCTCCATGTCCTTACCAACACTGCTATTTTCTACTTTTTTTTTTTTGTATAGTAGCCATCCTAATGAATGTGACGTGTTATCTCTTTGTGGTTTTATAAAATATATTATTTCAATCATCTTTGTTTCCTAGCTACCAGACACTCTTAGAAATACTAAAGAAGATAATTCTATAAAATCATTGCATCTTAGCTAGTGTCTTAATGATAGCTTGAAATTCTCTTATTGAGCTAGGCCTTGATTCTAATTGTTTATTCAATTATCATCTAAAGCTCCAGGAGTTCTACCCAGTTTTCTTGGCCCAGTGAACCAGACAGTGCTGAGCATTGGGGTAGGCAGAGGGTAAGTTAATGTAGAGTCCACTTCACAAGATGTCCTGTAAGTGTAAGAAGTGATCTCCACTGTTATTTTAGATCACATTTTTGCCTTGGTTCTCTTTAAACAGTCAAAACCAATGGCATACGGATCTCTCGCTGCAGCCTTAGGAAGAGACTATACTGTAATTAATTTTAAAAGAAAATCCAAGTGGGCTTATGAATCCATGTGTTTTAAATTGACTAGCATGTTGTGAATAGATTCAGCTCCCTAATCTTGAGTTCAGAGCACCCAGGATATATTAGCTAGATTAATAAAAAAGATGCCTGGCCAGGCGTGGCATTTCACACCTGTAATCCCAGCACCTTGGGAGGCTGAGGCAGATGGATCTCCTGAGGTCAGCAGTTTGACACTAGCCTGGCTAACATGGTGACTCAGTCTCTAATAAAAATACAAAAAAGTTAGCAGTGGCATGCACCTGTAGTCCCAGCTATTTGGGAGGCTGAGGCTGGAGAATTGCTTGAACTTGGGAGGTGGAGGTTGCAGTGAGCTGAGATTGTGCCAGTGCACTCCAGCCTGGGCAACAGAGTGAGACTCCATCTCAAAAAAAAAAAAAATGTCTGCCCAAAATGTGGCATATATTATTCTGAAGATTTGTATATGTAGGGTTTAGGAAAGTTGTTTTAATGTATACTTTTCAATCTCAGGTTTTAAAAGAGACTGTCATGAAATGCTGACTGGTTTTGAAATGTTTGCCAATAATTACTTGAGCTCTATGGATTATTATATCTGTATTCAGTAAGTTAGGAAAACCAAAGGGCAGAAAGTGGTGAAGGAGAATAAGCCATAGATATTTACTTTTTGTTCTATGTGCTGTTTCCGTTTTATGATTTCAAAAATAAAAGTACCAAAAATAAACACAGTGTATGTGGCTGATGCACTGTTTTCTTGAAATGACAATCACAAATGTCATGCTGATTGCCAGGAAGACAACAGCTGTTCTGAATCTGCACATCCTTATCCACTCTGCAGCTGTCACTCAGGCCTCGGGGGGCGTGCAGGGGAGTCCTGAGTTCTCCTGCCCTCCTGAGTAATAATGGCTGCATAGTAGGGAGGGCAGAGAGCTACAGGTTTTAGATTCGTTGGTATTAAAGATTGTATTTTTCTGTTAAAAAATCTGTTTTTATAATAATGTGAATATTCAATTTTACAAAACAGTGTGTATTACCTAGGTGATACTAGAGCTATTTTTTTTCTTTTTCTTTTCCTTTTTTTTTTTTTTTTTGAGATGGAGTCTCGCTCTGTTGCCAGGCTAGAGTGCAGTGGCACGATCTTGGCTCACTGCAACCTCTGCCTCCTGGGTTCAAGTGATTCTCCTGCCTCAGCCTCCCGAGCAGCTGGGACTACAGGTGTGCACCACCACGCCCAGCTAATTTTTGTATTTTTAGTAGAGACGGGGTTTCACAATGTTGGCCAGGATCGTCTCAATCTCTTGACTTAGTGATCTGCCTGCCTCGGCCTTCTAAAGTGCTGGGATTACAGGCGTGAGCCACCGCACCTGGCCTAGCTTTTTTCTTCTTTCTACTTTATCTTGGAAAGTAAGAGAAATGATTAGATCCTAAGTAAAATGCCATTTTTCCCAGGGGAAGTGAAAGTTGGGCCTGACCTCCTCCATGCCCACTTCAGAGCCTCCAGGATCATTTGGTACCATGGTAAGTGCCAGGAACAGTTAGGGAAGTCAGAGATGGAGACTTAATTTCAGTCTGGCCATTATGTACCAGGCACTCACATCTGTTTCCCCATCAATAATCCAGGAACAGTAACAGTATTGAAGAAGGTGTGGTGGGAGACAGAGGGAGGGTGGAGGCCTTTCCTTCAGTGGGCACTTGGCAAACACTGTTTTCTTGTGTATTTGGGGAGACCCACTGTCCTCTGCAGTACTCTTACCCACAGGGACCTGCTGTGCTAGGCGTCCTTCCTGCCTGGCTCTCTTTCTCTCTCCCAGGCCTTCCCAACCCCTTCTTTTCCTGAGACCTCCCCCTTCGGGGACATGGTCCTTGACTATAGTCGCACAGCAGTCACAAATGAGCAGAGCAGAGTGCAGACACTGACCCGGGGCTTGAGTGACTCTGAGTGACAGCAGTGGTTCCAAGGCCTCTGTTCACTTTCCCGTCTTTATAGTCACAGCAAACACAGAGCATTCCTGGGTGTGATATTTCCCCTCTCCAAGCTGCTGTGTCTGTGAGGACAGGACCCTCAAAGCACCTTGTTCAGTTCCGGACACTGGATGCTCAATTAATAAAAAATTGTGATTGGATTAATAAGGATGTCTGGTTTTGTAAGAGTTAAAGGGGAAGTGGAGTTCAAAAATGTTAAAATACTTTTTTCCCCCTTTGGCCAAAGCCCTGCTTCTAATACCCAAGAAATCCATCTGGCCATGTTTCTATGCAGGATGCTTTTGTTAAGGCTGAGTCCTAATCTTGAAAAAATAGAGTAGGAGAAATAGACACATATTTAGGTGAACAAATATTAAAGGTGTGAAGTCCTGGGTTCAGGTCCCGGGTCTCTAGCTCTAGGTCTTCCACATACATCTTTGTGATCATAAATAAGTCAAGAAAACTTCCTAAGCATATGTTTGCAAATTGAAGCAAGAACAGTGGTCTGGGAGGGTGGTTTTACTGCTTCAAAGAGATGATGCAGAGTGAAGCCTTTTGGAGTGTGAAGCATTGCAGATGAATGTGAGGGATGATTAAGGGTATCAATCAAGGGCCCTGCTCCTGACAGGAAGATATGACCTGAGGCGAGAGGTTTGCTGTGGCCATAATCCTCATTCTGTGACTCTGTGACTGAAGGAACATTTCAGCTCAGCAGGAAGCCAGAGTATTATCCACATGGCCGGTGGCGGGGACTGTGAGGCCGACCACCACGAAGGGCTTGATTTGTTAAGATCTGGGTTTCTGATGAATCATTGAAGGGAGCTGGAACCACATTGGGTACGAAGAGCTCTATTATTTCATGAAAGTCTTGGATGCACCCATGATTTCCCGCACACAGGTGCATTTAAGATTTTATTAATCTTAAAATAGGTATTTATTAGTTTTTCCCTTGTCTTTGTACATAAAGGACTGTGTTCTAAATTGGAAAAAGCTAATATGCACTTAATGAGATTGCTTGGGGGATTGCACACCATGCCATGAAATGTTTTAATGGAGTGTTCAAGCGAGTCAGCCGTAAGATCTCTCACTTCTCTCTAATTGAGAAAGCTATCAGGTGCAAACAAACATGAAGACTGCAAAAAACGAACAAGAACAGGAAGAAAACTGCATTATATTCGATGAAAGCATCTTATACACTGAGGTATTTGTTGGGATGCCAGGAGTGTTTAGATAAATGCTCATAAGAGAATCATGTATTGCTGACCTGTATTCAAATAAACACCTTTGATTGATTGATTTGTGATTGTATTTTTTCCAATTTTTTTGTCCTCAGCCCTTTGTAATCACCTCTAAATATTTTTGGGAGTTTTAAGGAGATGATGTGACAGAAAAGATCAGAGAGAGAATTCCATGCGTATTTTTAAACAGCATCTGCAGTGGGTCATACAAGTGCTGACTCCCGCCTTGAGCAGCACAAGGCACTTGGCACATATACAGAGAACCCCAGGTGGGGCCATCTACAGGGTCCTTGTCTCATTGTGATGCGTTAGGGTTGAAAGCCATTTCTCTTTGCTCACAGACTTTCTTCTCAAAGGAATTACATTTTTGTGCAACTGGCCATTGATCTAAAGATTAAAAGAAAAATAAAAGCACTAATCTTGAAATTGTTAAAGGTACAAAAATAGTTCCTGCAGGAGAGACACACTGGCCATAATACTTCTTGAACATTGAAAATTAATCCTACAAACTCCAGCTGGGAGCTCAACTGGTTTCTGTGCACAGAGAACTCACATCTTCAGGGATCAAGTTCAAACTGCTTGCATTTATTATGCAAATTTATATTGTGGCCTTGGCCTTGATTTACAAAGAAGAGGAGTTTGCTAATTAAAACAAAAGTCTTAGTGAGAAAGCAGGGCCAATTAAATTTATATACAGCAAATGAAACATCCATGTCTAGTTATATCTTAAAAAAAAACCCCAACAATCCAGAATTCAAGAATGTTAAAATATGACATGGAAAACTCCGTACACCTTTGAGACAAATTACACAACGATCAGCTTCACACTGAGCACATCCACCCTGTTCCCAGCATGGCCACTCTTCCTCTTGACACCTCACTTTCTCCATCAGCCACACCATGGTCAGCCCTCAATACCTGAGGCTCAAAGCTCAGACCTATCTTTGATACCATATTTTCCCATCTCTCCAAATGTCAGCAGTTGCCTTAAGTCTATTCTCCTTTCGAGTTTTAAGAAAAATGATGAAAAGTTCTCAAAATACCACATGAACTTGAGGTGTTTGTAAATGAGGCTATTCAGAGCTCAAGCAAAAAATTGAAATGGTTTGATGATGACAACACCAAACAAGAGTTTGATTGAAGTGAAGCTTGAAAATTTATTTAATCGAGGTCCTGGTTTTACAGGAAATGACCAAATAAATTTTTTTAAATAAAAAAGAATAAAAGGCCAAAATGCCAGCCAGAGAGAGGTAAGAGCTAAGAAAGTGGGGCCAAAGGAGGTGAAGAGGGAGAGCTGGAAGTGATCTCAGGTCATAGGAAGAGCTGGGGTTTTAGGGAGGAGGAGCAAAGCTGCTGGCAGCCCACTGCCTCCTGGACAGAGAAGAGGGGTCCCTGAGGGGTGGCCACAGCCCAGGGAAGCAGGGCTCCCACTCACAGAATGACACATGTTGGTGCACCTCACTTGGCAGGAGGACCCCCACCAGGTCTCCCTGCTGAGGTGCTGAGAGACTCCCCAACAAGCTAGTATGAACATTCAAAATAAGACAAAAGAATTAGAAGAAAGCATACCCTAAAGATATGAGGGACTATCACATACCATGAGAGAGGGTCCCCTAGCAAAACAAACACAAGAATTGACACCTAAGGGGGCAGAGGTGACAGGCTCCACAGAAGACACATCCTGTTGTTCTCATGGACAGATGATCAGTGATGTTGAGCTTTTTTTCATATGTTTGTTGGCCACATAAATGTCTTCTTTTGAAAAGTGTCTGCTCATGTCCTTTGACAATGGGATTGTTTTTTTCTTGTAAATTTGTTTAAGTTCCTCATAGAGTCTGGTTATTAGACCTTTGTCAGATGGACAGATTACAAACATTTTCTCCCATTCTGTAGGTTGTCTGTTCACTCTAGTGATAGCTTCTTTTGCTCTGCAGCAGGTCTTTAGTTCAATTAGATCCCATTTGTCAATTTTTGCTTTTGCTGCAATTTCTTTTGATGTTTTCATCATGAAATCTTTGCCTGTGCCTATGTCCTGAATGGTATTGCCTAGATTTTCTTCTACAGTTTTTATTGTTTTAGATTTAACTCTTTAAATCATCTTTAGTTAATTTTTGTATAAGGTGTAAGTAAGGGGTCCAGTTTCAATTTTATTAAAAAGGGAACCCTTTCTCCATTGCTTGTTTTTGTCAGGTTTGTTGAAGATCAGATGGTCGTAGATCTATGGTCTTCTGTCTGAGATCTCTATTCTGTTCCATTGGTCTGTATGTCTGTTTTTGTACCAACACCATGCTGTTTTGGTTACTGTAGACTTGTAGTATAGTTTGACATTGGGTAGAGTGGTGCCTTCAGCTTTGCTCTTTTAGCTTAGGATTGTCTTGGTTATACGGGCTCATTTTTGCTTCCATACGAATTTTAAAGTAGTTTTTTTCTAATTCTGTGAAGAATGTCAATGGTAGTTTAATGGGAAGAGCACTGACTCTATAAATTACTTTGGGCAGTATGGCCATTTTCACGATGTTGATTCTTCCTATCCATGAGCATGGAATGTTTTTCCATTTGTTTGTGTCCTCTCTGTTTTCCTTGAGCAGTGGTTTGTACTTCTTCTCGAAGAGGTCCTTCCACTTCCCTTGTTAGCTGTATTCCTAGGTGTTTTATTCTGTTTGTATCAATTGTAAATGGCAGTTCATTCATGATTTCACTCTCTGCTTGTGTATTGTTGGTGTACAGAAATGCTTGCTATTTTTGCACATTGATTTTGTATCCTGAGACTTTGCTAAAGTTGTTTATCAGCTTAAGAAGCTTTTGGGCTGAGGTGATGGGATTTTCTAGATATAGGATCATGTCATCTGCAAACAGAGACAGTTTGACTTCCTCTCCTCCTATTCAAATATGTTTTATTTCTTTCTCTTGCCTCATTGCCCTTGCCAGGGCTTCCAATACTATGTTGAATAGGAGTGCTGTGAGAGGGCATCCTTGTCTTTGCTGGTTTTCAAGTTGACTGCTTCCAGCTTTGGCTGATTCATTAACATATTAACTATGGGTTAGTCATAAATAGCTCTTATTATTTTGAGGTAAGTTCCAGCAATACCTAGTTTATTGACAGTTTTTTTTTAACATGAAAGGATATTGAATTTTATTGAAGGCCGTTTCTTCTGCATCTATTGAGGTAATCATGTGGTTTTGTCTTTAGTTCTATTTATTACATTTATTGATTAACATATATTGAACCAGCCTTGCATTCCAGGGGTGAAGCCAACTTGATTATGGTGGACAAGCTTTTTGATTTGCTGCTGGATTCAATTTGCCAGTATTTTATTGAGAATTTTTGCATCAAAGTTTATCAGGGATATTGGCCTGCTGTTTTCCTTTTTTGTTGTATCTTTGCTAGGTTTTGGTATCAGGATGATGCTGGCCTCATAAGGAGAAGTCCCTCCTTTTCAGTAGTTTGGAATAATTTCAAAAGAAATGCTACCAGCTTCTCTTTGTACCTCCAGTAGAATTCAGCTGTAAATCCATCTGGTCCTGGGCTTCTTTTGGTTGGTAGGCTATTTATTACTGCCTCAATTTCAGAACTTGATATTGGTCTATTCAGGGATTCAACTTCTTCCTGGTTCAGTCTTGGGAGGAAGTATGTGTCCAGGAATGTATTTATTTCTTATAGATTTTCTAGTTTATTTGCATAGAGGTGTTTATAGTACTCTCTGATGGTTGTTTGTATTTCTGTAGGGTCAGTGGTGATATCCCTTTATCATTTTTTATTGTGCCTGTTTGATTCTTCTCTCTTTTCTTCTTTATTGGTCTAGTTAGCAGTCTATGTATTTGATTAATGTTTTCAAAAAAAGCAGCTCTTGGATTTATTGATTTTTTTAAAGGGTTTTTTGTGTCTGTGTCTCCTTCAGTTCCACTCTGATCTTGGTTATTGCTTGTCTTCTGCTAGCTTTGGGGTTTGTTTGCTCTTGGTTCTCTACAACATTTAGTTGTAATGTTGGGTGTCAATTTGAGATCTTTCTAGCTTTTTGATGTGGGCATTTAGTGCTATAAATTTCCTTCTTAGCTCTGCTTTAGCTATGTCCCAGAGATTCTAGTACATTGTCTCTTTGTTCTCATTGGTGTCAAAGCACTTCTTGATTTCTGCCTTTACTTCATTATTTACCCAGGAGTCATTCAGGAGCAGGTTGTTCAATTTTCATGTAGTTGTGTGTTTTTGAGTGAGTTTCTTAATCACAAGTTCTAATTTGATTGTGCTGTGGTCTGAGAGACTGTTTTCATTTCAGTTCTTTTGCATTTGCTGGAGTATTTTATTTCCAATGATGTGATTGATTTTAGAGTAAGTGTCATGTGGCGCCGAGAAGAATGTATATTCTGTTGTTTTTGGGTGGAGAATTCTGTAGATATTTATTAGGTTTACTTGATCCAGAGCTGTTCAGGTCCTGAATATCCTTGTTAATTTTCTGTCTTGATGATCTGTTTAATATTGACAGTGGGGTGTTAAAGTCTCCCACTATTATTGTGTGGGAGTCTAAATCTCTTTGTAGGTCTCTAAGAACTTGTTTTATGAATCTGGGTGTTCCTGTATTGGGTGCATATATATTTAGGATAATTAGCTCTACTTGTTGAATTGATCCCTTTACCATCACATAATGCTCTTGGTCTTTTTTGATCTTTGTTGGTTTAAAGTCTGTTTTGTCAGAAACTAGGATTGCAACCCATGCTTTTTTCTGCTTTTCATTTGCTTGGTAAATTTTCCTTCATTCCTTTATATTGAGCCTATGTGTGTCTTTGCATGTGAGACGGGTCTCTCGAATAGGGCACACTAATGGGTCTTGACTTTATCCAGCTTGCCATTCTGTGTCTTTTAATTGGGGCATTTAGCCCATTTACATTTAAGGTTAATATTGTTATGTGTCAGTTTGATCCTGTCATCATGATGCTAGCTGGTTATTTTGCAGATTTGTTGATGTAGTTGCTTCATAGTGTCATTGGTCTTTGTATTTCAGTGTGTTTTTGCAGTGCTGGTAATGGCTTTTCCTTTCCGTATTCAGTGCTTCCTTCAGGAGCTCTTGCAAGGCAGGCCTGTTGGTGGTGAATTCCCTCGCTTGTCTGAAAAGGACTTTATTTCTCCTTCACTTATGAAACTTAGTTTGGCCAGATATGAAATTCTGGGTTGGAAATTCCTTTCTTTAAGAATGTTGAATATTTGCCCCAATCTCTTCTGGCTTGTAGGGTTTCTGCTGAGAGGTCTGCTGTTACTCTGAAGGGCTTCCCTTTGTTGGTGACCTGGCTTTTCTCTCCGGCTGCCTTTAATATTTTTTCCTTCATTTTGACACTGGGGTTGATCTTCTCCTGGAGTATCTTACTGGGGTTTTCTGGATTTCCTGAATTTGAACGTTGGCCTGTCTTGTTAGGTTGGGGAAGTTCTCCTGGACGATATCCTGACGTATGTTTTCCAACTTGATTCCATTCTCCCTGTCTCTTTTAGGTACCCCAATCAGTTGTAGGTTCAGTCTTTTTACATAATCCCATAGTTCTTGGAGGTGTTGTTCATTCTTTTTCATTCTTTGTTCTCTAGTCTTGTCTGCCTGTCTTATTTCAGCAAGATAGTCTTCAAGCTCTGAAATAGTTTCCTCTGCTTGGTCTATTCAATTATTGTTACTTGTGATTGTATTGCAAAGTTCTCATATTGTGTCTTTCAGCTCCATCAGGTCATTTATGTTCTTCTTTAAACTCGTTATTCTGGTTAGCAGCTCCTGTAATGTTTTATCATGGTTCTTAGCTTCTTTGCATTAGGTTAGAACACGCTCCTTTAGTTCAGTGAAGTTCCTTATTACCCACCTGCTGAAGCCTACTTCTATCAATTCATCCATCTCAGCCTCTGCCCAGTTCTGTGCTCTTCCTGGAGAGGTGTTGAGATCATTTGCACGAGAAGAGGCACTCTGGCTTTTTGAGTTTTCAGCATTTTTTTCTTATTTCTCATCTTTATGAGTTTATCTAGTTTTGATCTTTGAGGCTGCTGACCTTTGGATGGGGTTTTTGTGGGGATTTCTTTTGATGCTGCTGCTGTTGTTGCTTTTTGTTTGTTTTTCTTTTAATAGTCAAGCCTCTCTTCTGCAGGGCTGCTGTGGTTTGCTGGAGGTCCACTCCAGACCCTATTCACTTGGGTCCTTCCCGCATCTGGAGATGTCACCAGTGGAGGCTGCAGAACAGCAAAGGTGGCTGCCTGCTCCTTCCTCTGGGATCTCTGTTCCAGAGAGGTGCCGGCCTGATGCCAGTGGGAATGCTCCTGTATATGGTGTCCGGAAACCCCTGGCTCACCCAGTCAGGAGGCACGGGATCCGGGACTCGCTTAAAGAAGCACTCTGGCTGTCTCTTGGAGAGGGGGTGCACTGTGCTGGAGGGAATTCCACTCGTCCGGACTGGCTGGGTTCCTCAGAGCCAGCAGGGGGAAAAACTAAGTCTGCTGGTCCTTGGAGACCACGGCCACCCCTTTCCCCAGGAGCTCAGTCCCAGGGAGGTCAAAGTTCTGTCCCTAAACCCCTGGTTGGAGTTGCTGAAATTCCCGCATGGAGGCCCCGCCCAGTGAGGAGGGATGGGTCAGGGTCCTGCCTAAAGAGGCACTCTGGCCATGATCTGCCACAGCCGCTGTGCTGGCTGTGGGGAATTCCTCCCGGGTCCATACCATCCAGTCTCCCTGGTGCTGGCAGGGGAAAAACAGCTGACTGGAGCTGCAGTGATGGCAGCCGCCCCTCCCCAGGTAGCTCAGTGACCTTAGGCAGCAGCAGATGCAGAAGCGGTGGTGATGGCCGCCCCTCCCCGGGAAGCTCAGTGGTCTTAGGCAGCAGCAGATGCAGAAGGAGTGATGGGTCTTAGGCAGCAGCAGATGCAGAAGCAGTGATGATGGCCACCCCTCCCTGGGAAGCTCAGTGGTCTTAGGCAGCAGCAGATGCAGAAGCAGTGATGACGGTCGCCCCTCCCCCGAGGGGCTCAGTGGTCTTTGGCAGCCGCAGAGGCAGATGCAGTGATAATGGCGCCTGCCCCTCCCCCGTCTTAGGCAGTCTCCAGCCAAGTGGCCGCTGAGAATCTGCACAGCTCTGTGCTTGGAACCTAAGGCCCTGGTGGCGTGGGCTCACTAGGCGGAACCCCTGATCCGCGGGTTGCACAGATCCGTGGAAAAAAGTTTTCCGGGCTGGGTAGTGCAGGTCACTCACTGCCTCCCTTGGCTGAGGGTGGGAGTTTCCCTTTCCCTATGTGGCTCCTAGTGGGGCCATTGCACCACCGTGCTTTTCCTCGCTCTCTGTGGGTCGCACCAACTGCCTAGTCATTCCTGGTGATAGAATCTGGATACCTCGGTTGCCGGTGCAGGATTTGCACACTGTTTTTGTTCTTTTCCATGGGAACCTCGCATCGCAGCTGTTTCTAGTCAGCCGTCTTAGCCCCTCCTCCTTGGTGATTTTATTGTTGACTTTTAGAATTTACATTTCATTCTTTAGCATAGTTTGGAGTTCTATGCTCCACTTCAGAATATTTTTAAGTTCTTTTGATATTTTAATTTTAGTTAATTGAAAGCTAGTATCTCGTAACTCAATTTCCTAAATCCCTTGGGTGTTTTTTTTATTTCTCTTGATTCTCTTGGATTAGTGACATATTTGATATTTCTGTATGCCTAATTGTATTTCTTTATTGTTTCTTTACTTGTTACTTTTCGTTTGGTTATAATTTCAGACTTACAAAGAAGCTGTAATTAGAGTACAAAGAACTGAATAGCCATCACACAGACTCGCCATTTTGCCCCAGTTGTTTCATTATTTTCCTGCTCTTTCTTCATGTGTGTATGGTGTGTGTCATGACATAATTTTATCCTATGTACTTTGTATATGCTTTTTTTTTTTTTTTTTTTTGAGATGGGGTCTCGCTCTGTCACCCAGGCTGGAGTGCAGTGGCGCAATCTTGGCTCTGCAGCCTCCGCCTCCTAGGTTCAAGCAATTCTCCCACCTCAGCCTCCCCAGTAGCTGGGATTTCAGAGGCATGCCACCACACCTGGCTAATTTTTGCATTTTTAGTAGAGACAGGGTTTCACCATGTTAGCCAGGCTGGTCTCGAACTCCTGACCTCAGGTGATCTACCCACCTCAGCCTCCCAAAGTCCTGGGATTACAGACGGGAGCCACTGCACCTGGCTGGTATATGCTTTTTCCTAAAGCTTGGAACTCCTATTACAACTAAGAAGGAGTAGCGGAGTTAGTCCCCTAGTCAACCTTACACACACTTTATGCCAGAACATTGAAATAAATGTATTAATATGTGTTTACAGGGCTACTGTAAAAATGACCACGAAATGAAAAGTGGGATAAATCTTCCAGGATGGATAACTGAGAATGCATCTTTACTGGCTTCCACATTCAGCTGTGGAATTGAGTATAGAGTAGAAAGTCAGAAAAGCATGTGCATTGATTTTTCTTTTAAAATGTTCTTCGTGCCTGAAACTAAGGTTGTGTCTATGTCGGTTAGCTGAATAGCAATAGCTAGGTAATAGCGTTTACTTTTGCTCATAGTGATGCTGTGATTTTTTAAAATCATGGTCAATTAGCTTTCCTGACTGACTTGACAGTGGAGAGGGTTGCTCTTAAAGTGGCATGGGATTATGAACAAAAAGGAATGGAATCTAAATCAGGGCTAGTTGATAACGTGGGCAGTATTGACACCAACCAAGTATTTCCTGACAAGTTTTATAAGATAAAACAATTAAGTCAGTATATTAAATTGTCCTTTTGCATTCACCCAGTTTTTCTTTCTTATAACCAAGAAACTATGGAAATATGAAATAAAACAGCTTTCTGAGGCTGTGGTCTGTCCCTGTGGTCTGACACTTGTGTCTCTCTTAGGCTGGCTCTGAGCTACATTTTCCCCTCACCACACAGCTCCAGCAGAACCTTCTGAGATTAACCGTTAAGCATGAAGACAAATGTGCAAATGTGTATCAGTATTACCTACTTTAAAGTCAAGGAGAAGGAGTTTAAACACTGAAGTGAGTATAAAATGTATACACTGTGCACAAACTGTAACTGGACTAAGTATACTCATTACATGCCCCTGAATATCTTGGAAATCTCTTCATCCCAAAGGTACACAGCAAGCTACTGTATAAAAGCAGGAATATGTCATTTATCTTTGAATTTTGAAAATCAGAGTGTAGCATGAATTTTTGTTTCAAACGAGTTTTATCAAGAATATGTGCATAAAATTGTTAAAGAAATAAAGATTAACTTCAATCAATTAAAATGTAAGGTTCAATGAAGCAAAAAAATATTTTTAATAAAGTTAAAAAAAACCTGTGATGAGTTTTGAAGTGCTGTTTTGAATTCAATTGCAATCTCTATAACCTATGCAGTCTCCATAGGGGGCCTCTTTGTGCTCTCTCCATCGCCTTCCTTCCTTCTGTTTTCCTTTCTCTCTTTGGCTTCCTTCCCACAGACCTTTTTTCCTTCTTTGATTCCTCAAACATGAATTAGTCACTTAAAATATCCCAGGTCCCTGGGCAGGAAGGGTGTATCTGTGTTATAGGTGGGGTTGGGGGGGGGTAGATAGAGAAGATTAAACAAAAATGAGAAGGAAAATTAAAAGGCGAGTTCAATAATCTGTCATCACAGAGATGCCTGGCAGTGTGGAATATGTTTGCCATAGAATGCTCAGTTTTCTAGCAACCCAAAGTCAAATATATAAGTGCCTTAGTGATTGCAATGAAAATTAGCAATGTTTTATAAAAATAAAAGTTACAGGCTGCCAAGAAATGTAAGTTAGTGTATAAAATTGAAAGTAAGTTTTCTTAAAGACAAATGAAATTGGCATTAACAAAAGACCCTCTGTTAATTGGTTAAATGTCCCACAAGGGCAAAGTTTGTCTGAATCCTCAGCCCTGTTGAGTATCTGACTTGGGCTGGGATTCCACTAACAATCACTGAAGGGGAGTTACATGGGGGGATATGGTACCCATGGAATACTTTTTTTAGTATTTTTAATAAGATAACTTTAAATTTTGCTTAGCTCATCAAACCATCATCTTTAGATTACTCAGTGTACATTGAAGAGGAAGTAAAAAGTGATTTAATTTCATTATAACTGAGATGCAGATCAGGAGGTAAATCTATTGTCAAAAAAATACACAAATTCAGCATGTAATCTTGAGTATGTTGCCTGTCAACGTGACAAGGAATGATAATTTTTTTTTTTTTGAGATCGAGTTTTGCTCTTGTCACCCAGAATGGAGTGCAATGGTGTGATCTCGGCTCACTGCAACCTCCACCTCCTGGGTTCGAGAGATTCTCCTGCCTCAGCCTTCTGAGTAGCTGGGATTACAGGCTTACACCATGATTCTCAGCTAATTTTTGTACTTTTAGTTGAGACAGGGTTTTACCATGTTGGCCAGGCTGGTCTCAAACTCCTGACCTTAGGTGATCCACCCACCTCTGCCTCCCAAAGTGCTGGGATTACAGGAATGAGCCCCTGTGCCTGGCCAGGAATGATAATTTTAAAAGCAGCAAAATGTTGGAGGTTTAGATATAGGAATCATGCATTTGACATGATGGAAGGAATACGAGAATTGGAAAACCAAGATCTAAGTGTCTTTTGGAATTGAAAATTTAAAACAGAACTTCTAAACTCTGAAACAATATTTATTCTGAGTGCAATGCTTTCTAGGTTCAATGCCCTCATTTTTTATTTTATTTCATTATAAAAATTCTAACCCAGGAGCCATAAGATAAAAAAATTATATATTTTTTACTTTATAAAACTTAAAGCTACAGTAGGCAAAAAACAAGATAAGTAAAATTTTAAAGATTAAACAACGGAGAGAAATAGTCGCAACTCATCTCAGAGAGCGCTCCATCCTTAGTGTGTAAAGATCCCCTAGAAATCAATAAGATGACAAAAATCCCATGCGGAATTGATCAAAGTATAGACAATTGAAGGAAATATAAATGACCGATGAATATATACTTATTAATTAATAAAGATATATGGCCCAAGAATATATAAAGATATATTAATGAATCAAAACTGTACAAAATGCCATACTAGTTTGAACAATAGAGTGTCAAAAACCCTAAAGTATGATAAACAATCTTTTTCACAGGCTACTGTGAAACAGGCACACTCATACTTTATAAGGGAGAACTTGGTAATATCTATCAAAAATGAACATATGTATATACATTGACCCAAAAATCCTACTTCTGGAAATTTATCCTAAGGTGCACCTATCTATAAAAGCATAAATACAAAATAATG
The DNA here is from genome assembly GCF_000001405.40 of Homo sapiens. Classification (NCBI taxonomy): domain Eukaryota; kingdom Metazoa; phylum Chordata; class Mammalia; order Primates; family Hominidae; genus Homo; species Homo sapiens. Next base: position 27,634,880 of record NC_000015.10, on the reverse strand, counting down.
CATTACAGTGTTATTTATAAGAGCAAATGACTGGTAACAGCCCAGATATCCATCAGTAAGAGCCAGGTTAAGTAAGTTATGGAACAATGATAATATGAAATGTCACACATTTAAAGAAAATGAGCATCTTCTGATATTAAAAGTACAAGGATGTTCAGGAAGTAACCATTAAAGGAAGCAAAGTGGGTAACATAGGACCCTTTTGGAAGAAAAAGAGGAAGAGGACAGGGAGGAAATGGTATTCACATTTGCTTAAAAAGTTCTAGGGAAAGTGGAAGAAAAATATATCAGTGGTTTCCTGTGGAAGGGTAGAAGGGGAAAAAACATTGAGGGTAAATGTTTCCTCCATATATCTTTACATTGACTTTTGAACTGTGTTATTTCCTACTGAAAGTTTTGATTAAATATTTTAGAAAATGAGAAGAGAAGTAAGATGGGACCAGTACTGAGTTAAATCAACAAAATGAATGTGTAGAGTCTTCTACCCCTACTCGAAATGAGCTCTCGGTGTCTCTTCATGCTATCTTACATCCAGTGATTAAACTATCCAAATAGAGTACATGATTCACAGCTGACATAACTATTTCTAGTTTAAAGAGAGGAGCAAGTCACCTCCAATAGTTAGGAATAGAAAGAAGATAATAAAATGTAGAGATCAGTCCTCTTAGCACCATTTTACAGTAGGCACAGGGATCTTTCTCATAAAATCACTCTGGGGTACATTGAGCAAAAGAAGCTGTTTGGAGAAAATGAAATTATATAAAATGGCTATGTGGCTCTCGCATGATCCAGTCAAGGCTGTACAATATTTTGGCTTCTCTCAGCCACATTGGAAGAAAGAGGATTTTCTTGGGCCGCACATAACATACACTAATGATAGCTGATGAGCTAAAGAAAGGAAATTGCAAAGAAAAAACCTCATAATGTTTTAAAGTTTACGAATTGGTGTTGGGCCACAATCACAAACGTCCTGGGCTGCATGCGGCCCATGGGCCACGGGCTGGATAAGCATGATCTAGTCTAACTAGATAGACTAGACTAACATAGCATATTAGAGATAGGTTTTAGTTGGTTAGAGGAATGAGAGGTTTGCCAGTCTTTCAGGCAAACCTTCATAATTATGGTGTTTCACTGCCAGGATTTTGAGAACTGCTAACCACAGCAGGTTTACAATCACATTCCTTCACAAGATGTATTTGAGTCCCAGAGTCTCTATTGTCATCATCCTGTTGTAAAAAGCAAGGCTGCTCACATGGACTGCGGGAGACATGGGTAGATACAAACCCTGTCTTGGATGATTATAGTTATTCTTTACCCCCTGGAGTCCCCTGTGTTTTCTCTAGCAGGGACTTGCTATAACTAGTATTGTTGTGAATATTCTTCCTGACTTTCATTCCACTTGTCATACTGAGGGGTCTGTGGCCACATTCCCTAGATTTGCATAAGTTCTTTACCCTATTTGGCCATTTAGAATAACCAAAATTTATTATTTCAAAACATTATCCCTTAAAAATAAATGTAAAAATGTAGCTAGGGCCAGGTGGTAGCTCACGCCTGTAATCCCAGCACTTTGGGAGGCCGAGGCGGTAGGATCACTTGAAGCAAGGAGTTTGAGAACAGCCTGGCCAACATGGCGAAATCCTGTCTCTACTGAAAATATAAAAATTAGCTGGGCATGGTGGCACATGCCTGTAGTCCCAGCTACTCGGGAGGCTGAGGCACAAGAATTGCTTGAACTTGGGAGGTAGAGACTGCAGTGAGCCGAGTTCACGCCGTTGCATTTCAGCCTGGGGCACAGAGCGAGACTCTCTGTCTCACAAACAAAAACAAGAAAAACCCTGAAGCTAGTCATTTGATATTGAACCAAGAATGAACCACGGCTAAGCCTGAAACTTGCGGGACCTGAAATCTAAATTTTTGATTAAGAATGTAGTGGAGGACGAAATTAATGTAGCATATTAGAGAAAATTCTCAACTTCCAAAGTTAAGGAAGAAACATAGAAATAATATCGTGAAATATTTCCGTGGCATGTAGTCCTCATCTTATTTTACATAATGTTTAATATTAATATTTCTTTCATTCTCCCTTACAAAACATAAAATTATATGCTAGTTTCTAGCCTGATAAGATTTTAAATACTCACTCTTCCATTCAATGCATAGGGAATTTTGATCAGGCTATTTAATAAATTAATGATATTATTTCTGATTTGTACATTTGAGTCTTAGTTATTTTTGATCAAAAATTGAACATTAGATTTATGCATGAGCACACACCTACCAACAATATTATGCTTTTTATGACACTATTCACTTCCTAAAGAATTTATGATTGTACTACATAAATAATAAGTATTAAGAAAGAATATATTAATACACTACCCTGTATTCTGATTTCCTTACTTAGTATTATCACTCTGTTTCTTCTTCTTAGCCTTGTCTAGGGCTCTGACACTATTCCTCACTCATTCTTGTTTTCATTAAACATTCACATGTCCTAGACACTGTTAAAGGATTCTGAAGGATTCTGAAGGATTCAGTGAGCAATCTACCTACCTTTACGGACCTTGAAATTCTAACTGACAAACATAAAGAGTAAATAAATAAATATAATATATTAATAAGGGCTATAAGAAAAAACAGAGGAAAATAAGAGGAAGGCATGTGGCGGGTAGTTACTGGAAGCTATTTTAGAACAATCGTCACACAAGACCTCTTTACAGCAATAACGTTTAAATGGAGAGCTGGAAGAAATACTGGCAAGGCACAAGATTGGGGAGAAGGCATTCCAAAGAGCACAGCAAGTGTGAAAAAGCTGAGATAGAAAGGAGCTTGCTGTGTTACAGGAATAGCAAGCAAGGCCGTGTAGACGGAAGGGTGTGAAACTCCATGGGAGTGGATATTTGTGCAACATAATATGGAACACCATGGCCTGATGAACCTGATTGAAACAGTATTCTGCATAGTCTATGGAGAATTACGAGTAGGAAGCGGGTGGTGGAAGGAGGAAGGACAGTTTGAAGGCCGCTGCACTGATACAGGTGACACCCAATGGGGCTTACGCTAGGGTGGTAGCAGGAGCAGTGGCAGGAAATACTCTGAGTCAGATGTGCTTGGGATTCAGAACCAGCCAAGGAGCCAACGGAATGTGTGTGTGAGGTGTGAGGGGAGCGGCCGCTGGAGCAGCCCCAGGGCTCAGCGGAAGATGCAAGTGGCAGCACTGGTTGAGATGGGGACTAGAAATGCTCTTTTGAAAATTTAAAATCCTGTTTCAGTCGTGTTCGGCCTGTACACATTTCTTTTATGAGCCCTGCTAAAGGGTCTTCGATATTATTAATTTTTCAGAGATCTAATTTTTAAATGTATTTTTCTACCATATGCCACCTTTTAATTCACTTTTACTTTTTATTATTTCATTCATTCAATTTAATTAAAGAGATTTAATTTGATCTTTTTCTAGTTTCCAGTTTCTGAGCTGTAATCTGAGATAACTGATTTTATAACTTCATTTTCAATAAAATACACGCACACTTTATAATATACAATTTTCAAGAATCGAGACAAACACAAAGATATTAATTGAATACATTAATGAATTACCAATGATTGATGAATGAGATCTGGAGATTAAAGAGAATAAATAAATAACTCAATTTTTAAAAGGGAGAAATAAAGATAAACAAGACCAAATTATTGTCCTCAAGAAATAAACTCTAGTACTAGAGTGAAACTGACAAGCAAGTAAATCATTATGATTAAAACAAAGATATGTAAAAGTGAATATAAGATCAAAGAGAAAAGTACTTTAATGGTCTTCAGAAAGGAAGTTTCCTTCATAACATCTATTTTAAAAATCCACTCAATTTTAATCTTTCATCAGCAAATATTTATTAAGCATGTACCGTGGTTTAGAAACTGCTAGCTGACAACTTGTGGTATTTGTATTATTGTTCCCAAATATTTGCTCCCTTTTCCTGTAAGAGCATTATACGTCTCCGCTCAGTTCTTCTGCTCCGTTTCCTCTGTCTTGGGAATGACCTATTCCAAGCACAGGCTTTATGTATTTATTTATTTACTTATTTATTTTTGAGAGGGGGTCTTGCTGTGTCACCCAGGCTGGCATGCAGTGGTGTGATCTCGGCTTACTGCAAGCTCCACTTCCCGGGTTCACGCCATTCTCCTGCCTCAGCCTCCCGAATAGCTGGGACTACAGGTGCCCACCACCACGCCCGGCTAATTTTTTGTATTTTTAGTAGAGACAGGGTTTCACCGTGTTAGCCAGGATGGTCTCGATCTCCTGACCTCATGATCCGCCCGCCTCAGCCTCCCAAAGTGCTGGGATTACAGGCATGAGCCGCCGTGCCCGGCCTTTTGTTTTTTGTATTTTTAGTAGAGATGGGGTTTCACCATGTTAGCCAGGATGGTCTTGATGTCCTGACCATGTGATCTGCGTGCCTTGCCCTCCCAAAGTGCTGGGATTACAGGGGTGAGCCACTGCGCCCAGCTAGGAGGGGCTTTTTAATCACGTTACTTACTTCAGCCTGGTCCCAGAGTGAGCAGACATGAATCAGATGTGCAGCCTCCAACAGACCACAGCCAACATGTAACATGGCGTTAAAGAGACTTTGTTGATGTAAGCCCCAAACCACCATCACCACTGACAATGACAACAGCCTTACTTTATTTTCTAATACGAGCAACTAAACTGTACATTTTCTTTTAAACAGAGTTCAATCATAGAGGCATAACCACTAGAAAATACATGCACAGCACACACAGACATCTCTCTCTCTGTCTCTCTCTCTCTCTCTCTCTCTCTGTGTGTGTGTGTGTGTGTGTGTGTGTGTGTGTGTGTGTGTGTGTGATTTGACCATACTCTGTCGTGGGAGCTGGTTAAACAGCATCACTTCTGATCTGATGCTGGAGCCTGCATTCCAAAGGGCAGGCAGGCAGGCAGGCAGCCGGTCCACAAAGGGAGTTGGGTGTCAGTGGGAGAGCTCAAGAGCAAGCTGAAACAACAGGCACAGGCCGGGGCCCCATGAGGATGACCCGAACCCCAGTCTGTTCTTTCTGTTTTTGTTCATCATGGGTACTGTCCTGCAGAAGCCAGGGCACTTTGTCATGGAGCTGAATACACATTTGGTGCAGGAGTCAGAGAAGCTGGAGGACCACCTAGGGAAGGGAAAGCAATTGCTGGCCCAGTGCTGCTTCAGGACAATGAGGTGCCTCTGCATATCAGCAACAGCAGGCCTGAGCCACCAAAAGGGTGCTTCTTTTGTGCCCGTGTTGACTAAGGAGAAACATACAGGGAAGGAAATTCTGATCAAGGTAGACACCTTACAGGTTGCAAAGTTACCCCAAGCTGCATCCCACTAACTTTGATATACTGTTCTTTGATAATCATTCAGTTTGAAATAGTTTTCCCTTGTGAATTCTTTTTGGAATAAGGGTTATTTAGAAATGTGTGCACGCGTGTGTGTGTGTCAGAGAGAGAGAGTTTTAATTTCCAAGTATAGGGATACTTTTAGCTACCTGATTTAATCTTACTTGTCTTTAGTGTCTAGTTGTGGTCAGATAACATATTCCTTAAATTTCATTTATTTGGTGTTTATTGTGATATATTTTATGCCTTGACAAAGGTTGGTTTTGGTTAATGCTCCACGTACACATGAAAAAACTGTGTTTTCTGCAAGAGTTGGTTGTACTCTTCTGTAAATGTAAATTAGGTCAACTTAGTTGATAGTGCTATACAAGTCTCCTATATACTTATTGCTTCATTTTTTCTATTTGTTTTATCAATGATTAAGAAAGAGGTATTTAAATATGCATCTATGATTGTGGACCTGCTTGTATCTCACTTTAGTTTATAATTTTTAAAACTCTGTTATTTGCTTAATAAATATTTATAATTTTATACATTTTTGATGAAATGCCCCTTTTATCATTAGGAAATATCAATTTTCATTTCTTTGAATATTCTTTGTCCTAAAGTGTATTTTGTCTGATACAAGTATAATAACCTATATAAGCTTTCTTATGGTTTCTGTATACATGGTATATATTTCTCATTCTTTTTATTTTAACCATTTTGTGTATTTATATTTAAGGTGTATTTCATATAAATTTTAATCATTGGATCTTGCATTTTTATCCAGTATGACAACCCCAGCCTTTTACTTCGATTTTTGTCCATTGACATTTAATGTTGTTACTGATATGGGTACATTTAATTCTCATATTTTGTCATTCGTTTTCTATTTTCCTTTCTCTTTTTGTTCCTTTATTGATGCTTTTCTAACTTCTCTGGTTAATCCATTATTTTTGTAGCTTCTTAGCTGTACATCCATTTACTATTTTTTTCTAATGGCAAACAATTTGCCAAAGTGTATAATTAATGTCTATATTGTGCTCTCTCTCATTTTATACCTGGGACTTTACACTTTCTATGTTTTCTTACTTTTTTTCCCTAACATTGTTCTATCCCTGCTTTCCACGTCTCACTTCACTTCTACCCAGTTTACACCATATTGTTCCTATTTTATAATCTGGTAATCATAAAATGGTGTAATTCCATTCACTTTCTTCCTTTCTTGTTTTTTCTTCTATTTTTTCCTATAATTTTTATTCAATATTCACTAGAAGCCTGTCCTAACATTGTTATGGATTTGATTTCAATTGTCAGTTGTCTTTTAAGAAAATTATAAGAAAAAGTTGTCATTTTATATTGATTTAACTTATTGTTTCCCATTTCCAGTACTCTTTTTTTCCTTCCTGCAGATTGAAGTTTTTCTTCTTCCTGAAAAATCTCTCTTAGCATTTTTTTTTTGTACCAGGTTTGCTGGTAATGTATTTTGTCAACTTCCATTTATCTGAAAATTTCTCTATTTTCTTTTTGTTTCTGAAGGATATTTTAATTGGATATGGAATTCTGAGTTAATGATCACTTTTCTTTAATAGGTTAAATAAGTTATTCTATTGTTTCCTAGCTTCCATTGCTTCTAAGAAGAAGTCAGCTGTGATTCCTTTGATGCATGTTTTCTCCCTGGTAATTTCAAGATTTTCTCCTTTTCTCTTCTTTCTTTCCTTCTTCTCTCTCTCCTTTCTTATTCTCTCTCTTTCTTTTGCTTTCTCTCTTTTTTCTTTCTTTCCTTCCTTCCTTCTTGCTTACATGAAAACATAAGCCCCAAATGAGAAAATAATGAAAATAGCTCAGAAAGTGACATTGTATGCTATACTGTTTCTATTGTTTTACATGTCCCTAGGTTCTGCTCTTTTTTCTTCAACTTCTCTCTTCTTCAGAATGAAAGGTTTTCCATTCATCTGTATTCAAATTTATTGACTTTTTTTTGTTATCCCCAACCTGTGGTTAAGTTTATTAAATGAATTTTTAAAAAATTTTAAATATTGTCTTTTTTGATTGAAGAAGTTTAAATAGGTATTTTTTTCATAATATTCATTTCTTTCCTGAGATGATCTCAGGACCATTTCTACTGACTGCTTTATTTATTTGCTATTTTACTATGGGCTACATATTTCTGTTTCTTTGCATTGCTAGTAATTGTTAATTATAGCCAGATATTTTGCATATGTTGTAGACTCTAATTTTTTAAGAAAATTCTTTCAAGAATTTTTATGTTGAATTACAAAGCAGTTCAGTTACTGGCTGGTATCCTCAAACTTTTGTTGACTTAGTTTTATGCTTTGTTAGTAGAAAACCTGTGGAAAGACTAAAGAATTTCCCTGAAGTATTTCCAAAATTCCCTTATCTTGATGGAATTCAGCCTCCAAATCGTCTCCCTTATGGATCTTGTCCATTTCATTATTACATTTTGTTAAGATGGTTTCAGACTCTAGAGCAGTCTTCAAACTATGTTCCTTATCTTAAGGCATTTACTTGCTGATGTTACTGCTTGATGATCAGTATATTAGCAAAATATTGACAAGGTCACTGCATTGAGGCTGTGCCAGAACTCCAATATCTTCCAACATTGCTAGACTCATAGTATCACCATTACTTTTTCAGTCCCATAGCAACTGCTCTCTGGTAGCCTTGGGATATCTTGTATATCCCAGCTTTCAACCAAGGACTCATAATGACCTTCACACAGGCCTTTCACCATTCCCTTGTGTAGTTCCATCTTCTCACTACTGTGTCCGGTGTCTGCCTCTATTCTGATTCTTGCATCCTCCATTCAGCATAACTAACATGCTTTGCTTGGATTTTAGCTTTTGCACCAGGTTCAGAAATTTGTCCCCAGGCAGAAAACTGGACTGATCATGAGCTCGCATCTAAAGTTTACTTTCTTTCATATTTTTTTTCGGGTTTTCTGGTTGTTTTTCATGTAGAGTAAGTCTAGTATAAGTTACTCCATTATAGGTAATAGCAGAAGTCTTGACCATTTTCTGATTTTAGTATTATTCCATTCTACATATTCTGAAATTTTGAATTAGATTTTATCTTTATCCCATGAGTTTAAGAGAGGATTTTCTTTTTCCATTGATGGTGGCCTTTTTTTTGACAGGGTTGGGGGGGCACTGAAAGTTAAACTATCATTTTATCGTTTTGTAATCAGAAAATGTCTTTGCCATTTCTACTTTTAGAATTTATTGAGGTTCATTTGTTTGTGGCCTACTATTTGCATGTTTTCTGACAGTTTCATGAGCATTTGAAAAAAAAGCTTATTTGTGTTTACAGGATAAAGCATTAATCACATAGCAATAATAACTACCTAATTATCTGATTTAGGTCTTCTATAATTACCTTTTTTAATCCACTTGAACAGCTATTCATTGAAAGAAGCAAAATACAGTCACTTATTTTTAATTTTTTTCTATTTCACTTTATATCTTCTATAGTTTTTGAACTATGAACATTAATGAATGTTGTTTGGCTCATGACTATTAATCTTCACTGTAAATCGCACAGTCTAGCACTATGAAGTGTTGCCTTTGTTTCACTTCAGTGTTCTTTTTAAATCGTATTCAAGTATTTAAAGTATTAGAATAAAAAAATAAAAACTATCCCTTGCTTTCTTTTTATTTTCCTGGAATACCTTTGCTCATTTATTTAAGTCCATGTTTTCTTTGAAGTTATTTTTATGTGTATATGTGTCCTATTTCTGATAAATAGGAGATATGAATTTTTGTTGTAGTGATTAGCTAATTATTACTTGGAAACATACTATCATTAGGTTCTTACTTCTTTAATTTGGTGTTTCTTAATAGGAGTCCTACTGGCTTTTATGGAAAGAAACATTTGTCATTGTGCAAGAATGTCACATGCATTGCAAGATATTTAGCATTCTTTTCCTTCACCAGTAAATGTCAGTACTAAACCCCAGTTATTGTGATTATCAAAAACATCCCTGTGTATAATCAAATTTCTCTAAGGGAGTAGTATTCTTGGTTAAGAAATATTCCCTTAGAAAACATGTAGCAATTTCTTCCTTTACTCCCATCATCTATTTTGCTGGTTTAAACACATATTTGCTATATTTTTTACTCTCAACTATATTTATGACTCTATTATTGTTTTATCAGCTGACTATTAAAAGTGAGGAAGCCATACTACATTCCATGTTCTTTGCTCCTTTCCCTCATCACTTTTGTTAATTATATTATTTCTACACTATTAAGGTTAAGAACATTGTGTTGTGTTCTAGAACCATAACCCTTATTACAATTGTTTTTATCTCAGTATCATAAATATTAATATATTCTATTCAATGCCCATGCCTGTCTTTTTGCCCTAATTTTTCAAGTTATCTCTTGGGTATAACACTCAAAAAGTACTCAAGAAAATACTATTTCCCAGAGTAGTTTACCTTTATATTTGAAAGACAGTTTGCTGGATAGAAACTGTCTGAGTTATATTTTTTAGAAATTCTGCAGGTGTTTCTTCACTCTGCCCCACTGTTGCTATGGACAGTTTGCTGGATAGAAACTGTCTGGGTTATATTTTTTAGAAATTCTGCAGGTGTTTCTTCACTCTGCCTCGCTGTTGCTATGGACAGTTTGCTGGACAGAAACTGTCTGAGTTGTATTTTTTAGAAATTCTGCAGGTGTTTCTTCACTCTGCCCCACTGTTGCTATGGACAGTTTGCTGGATAGAAACTGTCTGGGTTATATTTTTTAGAAATTCTGCAGGTGTTTCTTCACTCTGCCTCGCTGTTGCTATGGACAGTTTGCTGGACAGAAACTGTCTGGGTTATATTTTTTAGAAATTCTGCAGGTATTTCTTCACTCTGCCCCACTGTTGCTATGGAAGTCTGAGGTTTTGCTTTGTTTTTCTTTGCTTTAACTTCTCTGTTTAGAGGCTTCTTATCTTTGAATTTGCATAGCATTGATTTTATCTATCTTAAGATGGACTTTTCTAGGTTATTATTTTTCCTGGACAAGGTGTATCCTTTAATTTGTAGACACGCATTTTATTTCTCTTGAATTATTTCTTTTAGTATTTGTTTAGTTTCATGTATTTTTTTAGCATGACTTTATTGATGAACATATTTAGTCCCTAAGTGTCATATTTATTATTTGTTCTAATCTTTTTAATCTGTTCATTTACACTTCATTGGTTTGCTTTCCTCATTTCTGTTCTCTGTGTCAAGGGAGGCGACATTGTCTGTAAAGGGTTGGTGGGTAAATGTAGGCTTTGTAGACACGTGCGGTCTCTGCATGCATTTCTCTTTGTTTTTTATTTGTTTTTATGAATGATTTGAAGCCATTCATTGCTCATGGGCCCCACAGCAGCTGGGCGAGTGGATTTGCTCCCCAGGCTGTGCTTGCTGAGCCTTGCTCTGCATTTTTAGCAGCGACTCTGTTTTGCATTCGCCAGTTTCATTTTCCTTTATGGGATAAATTTAGTTTCTTTTTAAAACTTCTTAAATGAGTGCTGCCAACTTAACACTGCATATCGTTTTGTTTTCTTTCCATTTCTTTCCTGAACTTTAAAAAAAAATTTGTTCTGTGCAGGTGATTAATTCACTCTGCTTTTAAACTTCAGAGCTTATGTTTCATAATTATTATTAATTCTGTGGAAACATTTTTTTGGTGAGATTTTTCAACTGCCATTTGGTGGCCCAGTTCCTCCCCACCGCCTCTCTCGTTCTTGTAGAACATCTGTGTAGATTATTTTCTAGGACCTCTATGCTTGCCCATATTTGAGGAAGGGCCACATTTGCAGGGCCTATTCCCAGGGTACAACACAAAGGAGAGGAAACAGAATTGTATTTCAGTCTAGCAGGGATTGTCCTTATTACCTTATTATTGTTGTTTGTTTGTTTGTGCATGTGAGATTGTAGTCTTTATTTCCTCCAAGCTAGTAGGAATAGACACCTATGATACTGATACTAAGAGTGTCTCTTCTCACCTGCTAAGGGGACTTTCTCTGTGCCTCCCTATTTAGATTTCTTCCTCTCCTCATATTAAGCCCAGGACAGTTCTTGCTGGCAGCCTGTGCTTCCATCCCAGCTGGGCAGACGTAGGTTTAGGTGTTTCACCCTTGTCACCGAGACAGGCACTCTACAAACGTCTCTGCAGCTCTGTAGCTCAAGGCCCGCCTCCACGCCTTCCCTCCGTCGGTCTGACCGCCTTCCCTCTGTCTGATCGCCTTCCCTCTGTCTTCGCTCCTGGCTGCTCCTCAGCATATTTTCTGGTGTTCAGGTTTTGCTCCTTCTTTGAAGGCAGAGATTGTGACTTTGCTTCTTGATCTCCTTATCACTTTTAAGAAATTCCCAGATAATAAAAAATAGAAACTGCTTTATGCTCCTGTCTTCTATCTGGAATACTCCTTAACCATTTTAACACAACTCATTTTACTACTGTCTACAGATTGTCCTGTTCTTTCACTTCCTGGGTGTGTGATTCCACTGTTACTTTCCTTGGGTTCATGGCTATTGTTTTGGGCAGCAGTTGTTTTTCCTGAATTTTGGAAGTTTCCTTATAGCATGGCTTGATTTAATTTTGCCAGAACTCTAAATGATCAGCTGGCTAATCTCCAGCCTTTATGCCATTTGCTCACTTTGCAATTCTTGTGTTACATGAGCACTATAAATCTGGTCTCAAAATCCCCTGTAGGTTTAGAATGAAATGTATTGCTTATGATTTTTTTCCTAGCCCACAGGAAGATGAAAAACTTCCACTGGCATTTTATTCTGTTAGCTGATGGTATTTCTAGATTCCATTTTATGAAAATGTGCAACCCTTTGAGGTTGCTAGGTATAAAATGCCTGATTATGGGCAGTTTAACTTGCAGTACTAGGAAAGGCAGGAGAAGGGAGAAAATTGGTTTTAAAGCAGAACTGCAATTAAACAGTTCCTAAAACAGATCTGCAATTAAATAGTCTTTCTGCTCATTCTTTCCCTTCAGCTTCCCCTGGGTAAGGCTATACCAATTACTCACATCTCCTGGACTCACATTCAGACTCAGTGGCTCAGGGCTTTCATAGCTGAAGGGTTGTGATAAAACAGTTCACAGGTTTAATTTTACTACTGTGAAGAAAGTAGAATGGCAAATAAATCACCAAAGGAAAGGCTAAGCATTCAGGAGCTTTATTTTGTAATTATGGTGTCTGAAAAACATTTTGCAGCTTTATGCTACTTAATATCAGAAACTAGAGGAATTCTGCTTCTGTGGATTAAGGAAGTGTCTGAAACCTGGAGGTTCAATTGTATCACACTATCATAGTGGAATTACCCATTCTATCTTTACGGTAATATATGCAAATGAGATTTTACATTGAACCTGAGAAAATTTAAAATTTTCTACATGGAAATGAAAAAAACAAAGGCATAGGAAGACCTAAACATAGATTAACATGTGTATGGACCTCAGTTATAACTAAATCACTTACAGCACTAAAATGATTATTTCATTAGATTGAGGTCTATTTTTATTGGCTTAATGATGACTTCTGCATACCCCTTTGGACATTTTACAAATGCACTAGTAAATTGAGCTGTGTAGGAGGCCCTTTGATGATGCTTATAAAAGATTGCCTCTATGTTTGCATTCAAGCCTTTTAAGTAGTTCAATAACAATTAAGACTCAAGGCAATTTTGAGGCACAGAGAACAGTTATTTCATTTGTATGTCTATAAATTTTCTTTCTTTTTCTTTTTCCTCACTTCTGCTAGCATTACCAAAACTATTTTGTTACATTTTTGCATCCAAGGGAGCAGAATACAAGAAAAATAATTTATTCACCATGTCTCTGCTGAAACATTTTCACAGAGAAAGCAGGGGACACGGAGTGTAGAATGGTGATCTTCATGGTCTCGACTTCATAGCCTGGGCAGTCAGTTAGTGGAGGCATTGCTTGCATACCACAGAGAGACATTCCCATTCTAGAGCCTGAAAGAATCTGATGGAACTTCTGGAGCAGGAGGATGGAGACATCTAAGGTCTTCACAGTAGATTGTCTTTTTATACCTAGAAAGGAAATAATCATATTCTGTGAGTCACTGCTCCATTGTGTCATCACAACTGGATACAGTGACACTTGATTGGAGGAGGTATAAATGAAGGGATAGGATTCATAAGCTGTATTTTTACATTTTAAATTTTTGATACATTCATAATGTTTTACCTATTTATAGGGTGCGTGTGGTATTTTGTTACATGCATGGAATTTGTAATGATGATGTCAGGGTATTTGAGGTGGCCATCACTTTGAGTATTTACCATTTCTATGTGCTGGGAACAGTTCAAGTCCTCTCGCAGCAATTTTGAAATATACAGTACATTGTTGTTAACCATAGTCACTCCACTCTGCTGTTGAACAATATAATTTAAAATGATTCCAAGTAATCTCCATGGACTTATTTAAAACGGAACTAAAGCAACTTAGTTGGTAGGAGAAAAGCAGCATGATGAGAACCAGCATTAGTGGGTTAAGTAGGAAGCCACACAATGGGCCATTTGGAAACACAGTTGTTTCCTTTGACAATCATCATGTTTACTTGCTGAGCAAATTTTGTTTGATTTTTAATGTAATGATCTAAAACTCAAGTACTATTCCGGAGATAGAAACAGAAAGCAAGGTTATTTATTAATCCTATTAATCGGGGTTTTTTTTTTCACCCAAGGTGGTTTGCTTTAGAGGCAAATGTTATTCAACCAAAGGGATGTTTTCAGAAGGTCTGAAAATTTTGTTCTTACTATTTGACCATAACTTGAATCATTTGGCAAGTTTCAGGAGGCTTAGAATTTTTGTTAGAAGGAATACAAATCTAATTAGGATTTCCCAAGGAAACCAGAGATATGCTGCCTATGTTATTGCCTGGTCATATTGCATTCACTCAATTGCTGTACATCATCTGTCTTACTTATAGTGTTGTAAATTACTTGAGGAAAGAAACAATGTTGCGACGTTCTTTGCTATCTCTTCATGCACTTCATAGTGTATAGCACAGAGTAAGTTTTCAATAAACTTTAAAAAAATAAAATAACGAATGAGTGAATATAAAAGTGTTTCATATAAATTAAAGAGCAGCCATCTTTCTACTATAGCATTAAAATGGGAAGTCTTTCCTAGTACTCTTGGGAATTTTAATCTCTCTTCACAGTAGTCAACTGTGCAAAGGAGAGAATATTCAATAAGACTCCGTAGTTCTTCACACTGAAGAATCTTTTCTTTCACATAGAAAAGATCACCTAGATTTTAGGTACTGCTATTACATGTAATACTATTGGTTTCTTATTTAACATGCTATTTTAAGAAAAAGCTTTTGAAAAAAAAATTTAACCTGTAAAATGGGAGACCGTTTGATTGCAGCTGTGCCCATGTTTGGTATTTCAATACCAGCACCTGGTGGGTCAGAAGGAGATGACACATCTAGCTGTAAGCTGAAGTTTGTATGGTGCGCCGAGGAGGGATTCTGAAGGTGTATAATTTCAGAATGAGTTTATTTTACCCTGAAGGAGAAAACTGAAGATTCCAAGAGGAAAGTAATGCTGTGGCTTTGCTAATTAAGCCGTATGTGCAGAGTTGGACTTGAAGAAAGTGTGGGCAGCAAGGAAGTTGTTCCTCAAAATAAATATATGAGAGAGAGAGAGAGAGCAACCAACTATTTTAGTTGTTGTTCCCTCCAAATTAAGTTAATTGTTGCTAACAAATGTGGCACCTGCTTACTCACTACATAAGGCACTCTATAAAATAAAAATATATGCTTCCAACCTTTGAGAAGTAAAAAAGAAAGATTCTAGAAGGATCCTTAGAATAGGGCGACCCGAACACAGATGACAACGTTCTCTCTCTTGCTTCTCCCTGCGGGCAGATTCAACACGGGAACCAGTGTGGCATCTGGGAGGGCTTGGATTGGGAATGGGGATCTGAAGGTTCATTTGAATCCACTGAAAGGGAGAGCAGGTGCAGGAGATGGTATTTGAAGTACTGGTGGGGATAGAGAAAAGTGACAAAGAGCAAGTGAGTGACAGAGAGCCGCCTGTGCCTGTGCCGGGGGCTGGGGTGGAAACGGCCACGCGGCTGCTCCCCTCCACCTCAGCACAGGGCTTGGTTTGCAGAGAGAGGCGGACCTGCCTGGAGCGTTCCTCCAAGGCTCTCCTGGAGGGCAAACTGGAGTAGGGGGGAAGTCTCATGAAGAGGTTTACTGCAAGATGCAATCATTGAACTGTATAGCCTGTTTCTTTTTTGTTGGTATATTTTATAATAAAAATGTTTATAAAAGAAAAATGAAGAGTTATGGCAGATTACGCTCCTAATATGACATAGAGCAATTTGTAATGTTACAAATATGATTTGCTTATAATGAGCAAATCAACTCTTTATGGAAATGTATGTTTTAAAATTGGATGTAAATGTCTGAAATTTTATTTCCAAAATAATTTGAGTTGATAAAAAGTCTTGGTTAGCTGCCAGTCTTCTGCGCTTCCCTAATATCCTATATGTCTAGCGTGGCACTTATTACATTGTCTAATAATTAATTGTTATAAATAAACTTTTAATTTTAGCACACTTTAGTATTTACAGAAAAGTTGAAATATTAGAGAGGTTTTTATAGTCTACATCCAATTTCCCCTATTACCAACATCTAACATTAGTTTGAAACATTCGTCACAACCAATGAACCAATACTGATACGTTATTATTAACTAAGTCTATGTGCTGTTTGGGTTACCTTAGTTTTTACACAATGTTCTTTTCCTATCTTAAAATCTCATTTAGGATAACACATTACATTGAGTCACTTTGTCTTCTTGGGCACTGTTAGACTTCATAATTTCTTAGACTTTCCTTGTCTTTGAAGACCTTGACAGTTTTGAGGAGTATTAGACAAAATTTTTTTTTTTTTTGAGACGGAGTCTTGCTCTGTCGCCCAGGCTGGAGTGCAGTGGTGTGATCTCGGCTCACTGCAAGCTCCCCCTCCCGGATTGACGCCATTCTCCTGCCTCAGCCTCCTGAGTAGCTGGGACTACAGGTGCCCGCCACCACACCTGGCTAATATTTTGTATTTTTAGTAGAGACGGGTTTCACCATGTTAGCCAGGATGGTCTCGATCTCCTGACCTCATGATCCGCCTGCCTCGGCCTCCTAAAGTGCTGGGATTACAGGTGTGAGCCACCACACCCCACCTTAGACAAATGTTTTATAGGATGTTCCTCAATTTGAGTTTGTCTGATTCCTTTACTTATGAGTACAATGAGGTTATGGGTTGTATGGCGGGAGACCACAGAGGTGAGCTGTCACTCTCTTCCCATCCTGTCAGGGATACACATGGTCATTGGGACTGGTTGCTGCTGATGCTGCCCTGAATTACCTGGCTGGCGTGGTGTTTGCCAGGTTTTTCCATTGTGAGCTTACCTGCCCCCAGCCTTTCCATACCGTATGCCATGAAATGAATGCCCTATGCAAAGTCCAAACTAAAAGGGTGGGGAGTCATGCTCCTCTTCCTTGATGGGAGAGTATCTATATAAATCATTTGAAATTCTGCACAAGCCAATGAGCTATTTCCCCCATTTATTTATTTATTTCCTCACTTATGTATATCAAGATGGACTTTTGAATGTTTATTTTATACTTTTGGCTATAATCGAATACTACGTTATTTTGTTGCTCAAATTGTTCAGATTTGATTCCCATTGAAAGGTCATTCTGGATGGCTCCTGTGTTATCTTGACAAAACATATCATTTTGTGCTTGAGCACTTTCTTGCCTTCTGGAACTGCATGATACTGCAGGCTTATCTTGTATATTTTGGCAAAAGGAATCAACAACTAAGTTCTAGGTGCTAGGTGTGCTTGTTGCTGCTAGGGTGCTGTTGCTCCTAAGTCATCTCAGCAGAAAGCACACATCTGTGTACTAACACATTTACACATATGCATCTATAATTATTTCTAGGTGTACCCATCTGTATGGATATTAAGCAAAACGAGTTCATAATGATGTCACCAACTCTAATCTAGGACATATAACTTGTTCTAGGTCTTCTTTGTTAATCTGTAACCACCCACACCAACAGTGAGAAACTTGGCTCCCTTGCCACCACCCTTCTACTGATTTATTCAACCCCTGTATATAAATACAACAGTTTTAGAATTGTTAACCTGTACTCCTACGAGAAACGACTTTGCCAACTAGAGTACAGTGCTTATGGCAGTTTATTTTGTCTTTCATCTCATAGTCATCACTCATATTCAGATTTGCTTAGGTCAGCAACTCTTCTCCACATCCTCTTCAGGGAGGTTATGGCATACATTTTAAATATATTTTGATTCTTTTGTTACAGTCTGCATTCAATTCTGGTGTTCCCTGCCAGTCGAGTTGACTTTGATATCATTTGTATGCACAGAAGTTTCCTCTTTGTGTTATAAAGTTCTATGGGTTTTTACAAGTGGATAGTGTCACATATCCAACAATAAAGTCCCACACAAAATAGTTTCGTAGCCCTACACATCCCCTGTGCTTTAAATATTTATATTCGGTTCTCCCCAATTGTTAGGCCCCTAAATACTGAACTGCTTTCTGTCTCCACAAGTTTCCCTTTTTCAAGATATCATATAAATGGAATCATACAATATGTGGCATTTTCAGACTGGTTGCTTCTATTTAGCAGTTTGCATTTAAGAGTCATTCATGGTTTTTTAAATTGCATGGATTGTTATTTCTTTTTTCTTTTAAATCACTGAATAGTACTTCTGCATTGTATGTATATACCACAGTTTGTTTATCCATTTACTTGCTGACGGACATTTTGGTAGTTTCCAGGTTGGTGATTATGAATAAAGCTGCTATAAACATCAGTGTGCAGAGTTTTATTTACAGTCTAACTGTGTGGACTGCAGTTGCTGGATTATATGATAAAACTTTGTTTAGCTTTCCAAGAAACTCTTAGAGTCCTTCAAAAAAGACTGTAACATTTTGTATTCCACCAGCAATGAATGAAACTTCCTGTTACTCTGAATCTTGACAAGCAACTGGTATTGCCAGTTTTTTAAATACAAAATTTAACTGTTATATGTACAGGAGTAATCCATTGCTGTTTTAATTTTTATTTCTTTAATGAGAAATTATGTTGAGTTGCTTTCCATCTGCTTGTTTGCCATCTATATATATATATATTATTTGAGGAGTTTTTTTTTTTTTTTTGAGGTTTTTCTCTGTCGCCCAGGCTGGAGTGCAATGGCATGATCTCGGCTCACTACAACCTCCGTATCCTGGGTTCAAGCGATTCTCCTGCCTCAGCCTCCCGAGTAGCTGGGAATATAAAAGTACCTGCAAAAAATTGCTCAGCTAATTTTTGTATTTTTAGTAGAGATGAGGTTTCACCATGTTGGCCAGGCTGGTCTCAAACCCTTGACCTCAGGTGATCCACCTGCCTTAGCCTCCCAAAGTGCTAGGATTACAGGCTTGAGTCACTGGGCCTGGTCTTTGATGAGTTTTTGTTCGGATCTTTTGCCCAGAATTTAACTGGGTTGCTTGTTCAGTTGGTTGAGTTTTAAAAATTCTTTGTATAATGTGGATATGGGTCAGATATGTGGTTTGAAAATATTATCTCCTAGTCTATGGCTTATCTTTTCATTTTCTTAACAGTGTCTTTCAAAAAGCAAAAGTTTTAAATTAAGTTCCAACTATTAAATTTTTTCTTCATTGATCATGCTTTTGGCATTCTGTCTAAAACTTCATCACAGAAAGTAAGGTCACACGAATTCTTCTCTCTTTTCTTTTAGAATTTCTATAGCTTTATATTTTACATATAAGTATACAATCAACTTTGAGTAAATTTTTGTCTAAGATGTTAGGTCATTGTCTAGGTTTATCTTTTTGCATTCAGACATCCAATTGTGCAGGCAGCATTTGTGAGAAGACTATCTTTTATCACCGAGTTACATTTGTATCTCTGTCAAAAATCAAATGGCTATATTTTCTTGGGTCTACTTCTAAGCTCTCTGTTCCACTGCTGTATTTTAAAATTATTTTCCCAATACCATAGTGTCTTGGTTGATGTAGTTTTATACTAAGTCTTGATCAGATAGTTTTAGTCTTCCAACTTTGTTCTTTTTTCAGTATTGTGTTGGCTATTCTCAGTCCTTTGTGTTTCTAAATAATTTTAGAATACGTTTTGTGATGTCTACAAAACCCAAAACATCCTGGGATTTAGAAGGAATTGGGTTGAGTCAGTAGGTTAAGTTGGGGGAGCATTAACATTTTAATATAGTAAGTCTTTGAATATAGACTATCTCTCCATTTATTTATATCTTTGTTTGCCTTTACTAGGGTTTTGTTGTTTTCTGTATAGAGATCTTATAAACATTTTCTTAAATTTATACTCCAGTATTTCTTTTTGGTGTTATTATACGTGTTTTTAAACATTTCAAATTCTAAAAGCATTAATTTCTCTCCATTAAGAATATTAATTACAAGTTTAAAAAAAACTCATCATTATGTTAAGGAAATTCCCTTCTATTCATAGTTTGCTAGTTTTGTTCATAAAAAAGTATTGAATTTTGTTGAATTTTTAATGGATTAATTAATATAATCACATAATTTTTAAAATTTAGCCTGATAAAATGATGAGTTACATTGATTAACTTAAAAGTAAAGAACAAGCTTTGTGCCCTTGGCATGAACTTTGTTTGATTGTGATGTGTTATCCTTTTCAAGTATTGCTTAAGCTGTATTGCTAATATTTTATTAAGAATTTTTGTGTCTATGTTCATTAGAGATTGGTCTATAGTTTTCTCTTTTTTTGTAATGGCTTTATCTGGTTTTGTCATTAGGACATTTCAGTGTTCAAAAAATAAATTGGCAATTGTTTCCTCTTCTATTTTCTGGAAAAAACTGTGGTGATTTTGTATTGCTTCTTCCTTAAATATTTGCTTAAATTTCCCAAGTGAAAGAAAATGAGCCTAATGATTTATTTTTGAAAGGTCTTAAACTACTAATTACATTTCTTTAATAGATAAATGGCTATTAATGTTATCTTTCTGATAGCATAAGTTTTGATAATTTGTATATTTCAAGGAATTGGTATACTTTATCTACATTATCCAATTTGTGGTCAGAGAGTTTATCAATTATTTCCCTTATCATTTTCATGTCCATTGCATCCGTAGTGACAATTGGCAATTTGTGTCATCTTCTTGGTAAGCCCAGTTAGAGGTTTATTAATATTATTGATATTTTCAAAGAACTGCCTTAGCTCTCATTGATTTCATCTATTGTTTTTATGTTTTTAATTTAACTTATGTATTATCTGATTTTTATAATTTATTTTCTTCTATTTGCTTTAGGTTTAATTTGTTCTTGTTTCTTTTGTTTACTGATGTTAAAGCTTAGGTTATTCATTTTGGATATTTCTTGTTTATGCTCTAAAAACTTTATTGTTCTTTTCATTTTTATTTTAAATAAATAAATACAAGGCCAGACACAGTGGCTCACACCTGTAATCCCAGAACTTTGGGAGGCCGAGGTGGGTGGATCACCTGAAGTTGGGAGCTCGAGACCAGCCTGACCAACATGGAGAAATCCCATCTCTACTAAAAATACAAAAATTAGCTGAGTGTGGTGGTGCATGCCTGTAATCCCAGCCACTTGGGAGGCTGAAGCAGGAGAATCACTGGAACCCAGGAGGTGGAGGTTGTGGTGAGCCGAGATCGTGTCATTGCACCCCAGCATGGGGAACAAGAACAAAACTTCATCTCAAAAAAATAATTGATACAAAATAATTGTACATATCTATAGGGTACATAATAATGTTTCAATACATATAATGAATAGTGATTAGAGTAATTAGCATAGCCATCAGTCATCTCATTTATCATTTCCTTGTATTAAGAACATTCAATATTCTCTTATCTATTTGAAAAAATATATATTATTGTTAATTGCTGTATCTCATAAATATTGATGAGTTTATTTTCATTTCACTGAAAATTTTAAAAAATTTCGCTTGCAACGTCTTCCTTGACTTATAGGTTACTTAGAAGTATGTTATTTAATTTCTAAATATTTGAGGATTGTTGTGATGTCTTTTCATTACTGATTTCTAGTTTAATTCTGTTGTGGTCTGAGAATGTACTTTGTATAACTTCTATTTTAAATTTGTCAAGCCCAGAATATGGTCTATCATGATAAATATTCTATGCCTGCTTGAGAAGAATGTACAGCCTGCTGTTGTCAGATGGAGTGTTCTATAAATTTCTCTTATTGACAGTGTTGTTCAAGTCATCTATATCCTTACTGATTTTCTGCCTGCCTTATTTGTTCAATTATTGACAGAGAAGTTTTGAAGTTTCCAAATATAAAATAGATTTCTTCATTTTCCCTTTCAATTCTATTAGTTTTTGGCTTGTTAACATTTTAGTTATTTTAAAATATTAAAATATTAATTATTTTAATGCTCTGTTGTTAGATTAATTAACACTTTGGATTGTTGTCTTCTTGAAAATTGACTCCACCATTATGTAATGTCACTCTTTATCTCTGATATTCTTAGCTGTTCTGAAGTCTACTTTTTCCAAAATTAATATATCTAATTCATTTTTCTTTTGATTAGTGTTAGCATGGTACATCTTTCTCTTTTCCTTAACTTTTAACCTGTTTCTTCCAGACAATATATACTTGTTTTTATATTATTTACTTTGGCAATATCTATCTTTAAACTGGTGTCTTAATAGCAACCACATTTAAAGTGGTTGCTATTATAGTTGTATTAAAATATCGTCCTTATAACCATTTTGGATTTACTGCATTTGCTCTTTCTTTTTTTCTGTCTTCTCTAGCGTTGATTTTTTTTGATATCACCTCTCTTGGTATATACCATATATATATTTTTAAATATTTTAATTTTTAAAAGATGTTGAAGATTGACGCAGATTCTGCATTAGTGTTTTTATTGTAACTATATTTTAAAATCTTTCTAATTTTGGTTTGTATTTCCACTTTCCCAAAATGTTGTTTAATGCAAACTTTTCTCCAACTTTTCATGTGGAAGACCCCTTTAGATGTTGTTGTTCATTTTAGAATTATTGCACTGGGCCCAGAGAGTAATGGTGTTTTTAAAGTTCCTGCTTCGTAGAACTTACCATTTCTTTCTTTATGACTTAATATGTCAGAGTTCAGCAAACTACAAACCTTATTCCAGATTCATCCACTGACTGTTTTGTATGACTTGCGAACTAAAAAAGAATTTGTACATTTTTAAATAAAATTTTTAAATTAAAAGAATAGTATTTCAAGATGTGAAAGTATATGAAATTCAAATTTTAGTGTTTATGAATTAAATCTTTTTGGAACACCATCATATTCCTTTTTGTGTTATGTATGGCTGCTTTTGTGTGACAGCAGCAGAGTTGCAACAGTCTAGTAGTGCCTGTGAAGCCTGAAATATTTACTGCTTGGTCTTTTATAAAAAAGTGTGCTGATGCCTGTAACGTGAGTTTGGTTTTGGGGAATGTTATGTGTGTTTAAGAAAAAGTTGTATTTTCTTGTATCAAGGTGCAAAATTTGAGACAAAATTATGTTGTTTATGTATTATATCATTGCTGGTTTTTGTTCACTTGATCTGTCTCATTTTGAGGGTGGTATGGCAAAGTCTACTCTTGTTATTTTGTTTCTATCTGTGTATCCTTACATCTCCTACAAGTTTCTGCCTTGTATTGGTGGTTGCTGTGTTACTTGGTGCATAAATATTCATAATTATTATATTGTTATTGTGAATTACTGTTTTTAACATTAAAAGGTATCTCTGTGTGTGTGTGTGTGTGTGTGTGTGTGTTTGCGTGTGCATAGCCAGTACTTTTGGTTTGTATTGCAGTTTTTCTTCTTTCATGTTTATACCTTTTTTGGTTCCACTAGCTTGAAATAAATTCAACATTCTTTTACTTATATTTTATTTATTTTTCATTTAAATATAATTTCAAACATACAGAATAGGTTTAGGAATAGTACCAAGAAGCCCTGCTGGACATTGGCATTTGTTTTTCTACATATAAATAATCTAAAATCTGTCGTGCTTTCTTTCTCTTCAACTCATGATGAAGCTGTGAGGTTTAAATGGTGATATTTATTCTCCCTGTGATCTGTGTAGACTTTTTGAAAGATATATGGAGACCTTTTGATTTAAGCAGCCAAAATTACTCTGGGCTCCTCTAAGTTTCTAATTGTGTCCTTTTTAAGTTAAAAAAATACATAAAAATTTAAAGACCATATTAAGGCAAAATAATGAATATTATATTTATTATAATTCTGTTTTTAAGCAATTATTTAGATTTAGTTATGGCATGTATGAAATCTGTTTAATATTTAGATATTTAATTCAATTTAATCCATAAGTGCTATAAAATCTTATTTAGTAATTATTCCCACCTCCTTAGGATGAATTAAAAGCAGAATGTCAGTTTCACCACTTCAGATTTTACAAAGAAAACAAACATCAAAATCTTTTTCACAACATCTATGGCAACTTATTTTTGATCCAAACATAATAAAGAGAGAAAAAATAGCTACTCAAACTATCCAATGATCCTGCTAAGATGATATATTTTAAAGTAATATCAAAAAAGGCCATTCCTCATAAGTTTAAATCTGTGGAACATATGAAAATATTTACTTTCCCAGTAGTTGAAGATAAATTGGTTTTGAAATATGCCCTAGGTACTAATCCTTGAAAGATAGTCCCTTCCAAAAACGATGTGACTAAAATATTTTCTGAATTACATTCTGCTGTGAATCAAAACATTTGTGACATTTTATGAGTAAGTTTAAAGTAAATATCTGTTTGGTATCCTAAGTTCTTAGTTTAGTGATGCAGGCGTTGAACAGTGATTTTCCTACAGTATTATGACAAACCATTGCAGCATGACTACTCAAATTTATCATAATAATATTGTAACTATAATTAACTTTGATGTATTTCTTTCTTTCTTTTTTTCTTTCTTTTTTTTTTTTTTGAGACGGAGTCTCGCTCTGTCACCCTGGCTGGATGGAGTGCAGTGGCGCGATCTTGGCTCACTGCAAGCTCTGCCTCCTGGGTTCACACCATTCTCCTGCCTCAGCCTCCTGAGTAGCTGGGACTACAGGTGCCCGCCACCACGCCTGGCTAATTTTTTGTATTTTTAGTAGAGACGGGGTTTCACCGTGTTAACCAGGATGGTCTTGATCTCCTGACCTCGTGATCTGCCTGCCTCGGCCTCCCAAAGTGCTGGGATTACAGGTGTGAGCCACCGCGCCCAGCCCGTATTTATTTCTATATCCCAAAATTCATTTCATAAAAGTGACAGTTGGCTTTGGCTTTGTCCATGGAAATTTGATTTTTAACACATGGCTATTAAGAATATGCCAGAAACTGCTAAATGGTCCCCTTAACTTATCAGATTCGCGGCACCCGTTGTGCTGTCGTTGAATGTTGTCTTTGGAGGTGAGGATGAGTCCCCTCACGCTGAGGGCAGCTGTGGCATGGTGAGCACAGTGCCTGCTGGGTTGCTGGCCCAGAATGTGCTGAGGTGAGTCATCACACCTCTCTGAACCTGAATCTTCTCACCTGTCTACTGGTGGATTTGAATTTTAAAGACAGTTTATGATTTCATATCATCTAAAATTCTGTTCTTCTCCAATTGAACCAAAGCTTACACATTGTGGAAAGAGTTATCACAAAAGTTCCTATTATTATGCTTTTCTTTATCACAAACTTAGAATGAGCTATTGAATAATTAGTAAGAACTGGGTATATATTTGCTGCTTCCTTTGCTACAGTCTCTTTCATGTATCAGTAGTGACTTTAAATAATTACTATGAAAATATTCACTTGTTCACAATCAGTTAAGGTGAAAAAATTGAATATTTGTTTTTACTCATTAGAATGACAAAGATTAAATATCACTGGCATAATATTGAAGTGAGAATAGAAATTTTAATACCTGTTTGTGAAATGTGAATTTGTCAAATATTTATGTAAAAATCTGTATCAAAATAGAAAAATTTTACATTCTGAGCAACTAAGCAATTAGTTCATGGAAAAAATTGTTAAAATACAAAAAAAAAGAATTAGGAGCTTCCAGTTAGCTGATCACCTGGAGGTACCTGGAGGGTAGTACCTGGGGAGGGCACAGGAAATCCAGGCATCTTGCCCCGTATGTCACCCTCTGCATCTCTTCATCTGTGTCCTTGAAAACCCTGAGCCAGGAGTCATGGCAGCCAAACCCAAGCTCTACTACTTTCGTGGTAGTGAGAGGTGAAGGCAGCTGGCCTTCTGGGTCGGGTGGGGACTCCTAGAACTTTTCTGTATTACAAGAGGATTGTAAAATGCACCAATCAGCACTCTGTAGCTAGGATTGTAAAATGCACCAATCAGCACTCTGTGGCAAGCTAGACGTTCGTAAAATGTGCCAATCAGTGCTCTGTAAAAACGCACCAATCAGTGCTCTGTGGCTAGCTAGAGGTTTGTAAAATGGACCAATCAGCACTCTGTAAAATGGACCAATCAGCACTCTGTAAAATGGACCAATCAGCAGAATTTGGGCAGGGACAAATAAGGGAATAAAAGCTGGCCACCGCAGCCAGCAGCGCCAATCTGCCAGGGTCGTTTTCCATGTTGTGGAGGCTTTGTTCTTTGCTGTTTGCAATAAATCTTGCTGCTGCTCAGTGTTTGGGTCGGTGCCACCTTTGAGAACTGTAACACACATGGCAAAGGTCCGTGGCTCTATTCTTGAAGTCAGCCAGACCACAAATGCACTAGAAGGAGCTAACTACAGACACAGTAGGGGCAAGATGGAGTAGATCTGCTGGTGGTAGATGAAGTGGAGTTTGAAGAACGTCTTGAAACAAAAGAATGATGTAGAAAGTCACAAAAGGACGAAAGCCTGCATTTTGGCTAAGTGTCTTTGTTGAAGTTGGTGGAATGATGCTGACACAGAATAGAGCCATCCTCAGCTGCCTTGCTGCAAAGTCCATTTTACATGGGAAGGGCCTGGTATGCAGGGTGATGACACCCTGATGGTGGGGGTGCTGGCTGCATTCTGACTGCCCCAGGAAAAAGAGGAGCAACTTGTTTTCATTGTAAAGAAAGACAAAACCCGGGATTGGCCTGTCTTTGAAAGGACACAGGTAAGATTTTCTCATTGGCAACAAATTCAGCTGGGGGGACAAAACTGTTAGAATGTGTTTTAATGGTGGAAGAACTCAATACATCTGTTGTTTCTGACTTTCCTCTGCTAAAGTTGCTTATTTTATCTTTATTTTATTTCATTTTATTTCATATTTTTGAGACAGGGTCTTGCTCTGTTGCCCAAGCTGCAGCATAGTGGTGCAATCAGTTATAGCTTACTGTAAATTGTCACTCTTGGGCTCAGTCGTTTCTCCTGCTTCAGACTTCCAAAGCACTGGGATTACAGGTGTGAGCCACCACCCCCAGATAAAAAAGTTTCCCAGTAATAGTATCTGATTATGTTTTCTGTTCGAAGACTCACCTCTTTTGAAGCTAAACCGTGTGTTGACAATATCTTTCTGGAGTCAGCTCATTATTATAAATCCCTAATCACCATTTTAATGGCTACATAGTATTCTAATGTTTGTAGAAAGTGTAATTAACCTCTTAATGTTAAATATTGTTTGTGCATACAATGCTTGGGTTAACTAGAAGATGTTCGCTGAAAGGATAGAGCATTTTGCTTTGGTTCTATATGCATGATTTCAAATTTCTTTTACTTCTCTCAGTTGTGCTGGGCCATTAGTTATTGACAAATTGCACATATTCATGGGCTACATAGTGATGTTTCAATACATATAATGTATGGTGATCAGATCAGGGTGGTTAGCATATTGACCGTCTGAAACATCGATCACTTCTTTGTGATGGGAACATCCAATATTCTCCTTGTAGCCATTGGAAACTCTACATTATTGTTAACTATAGTCAACCTGCAGTGCTATAGAATGCTAGAACTGATTCCTCCTGCCTAGCTGTATTGGGCCATTATTATATTTAAAAATTTTAAAATAAATCCGTAAGTAGATCTTTACTTTGAGATTTAATACTGTTAGTTTACTAGATGTGTGCTGTTTATGGTGGAACCAAGAAGGGCAGGCTCCTGATGTCTTGGTTTCTCACAGTGACGAAAACAAATGATACGGCCGGGCGCGGTGGCTCACGCCTGTAATCCCAGCACTTTGGGAGGCTGAGGCGGGTGGATCATGAGGTCAGGAGATCGAGACCATCCTGGCTAACAAGGTGAAACCCCATCTCTACTAAAAATAAAAAAAATTAGCCGGGCGTGGTGGCAGGCGCCTGTAGTCCCAGCTACTCGGGAGGCTGAGGCAGGAGAATGGCGTGAACCCGGGAAGCGGAGCTTGCAGTGAGCCGAGATTGCGCCACTGCAGTCCGCAGTCCGGCCTGGGCGACAGAGCGAGACTCCGTCTCAAAAAAAAAAAAAAAAAAAAAAAACAACAAAAAAACAAATGATACTTAGGATAGTATGGTGGGCTGAAAGCAATTTTTTAAAGATGGAAAATAACATCAGAGGTGAAGTGTTAAGCTCTTTTTTCTCTCTCTCTCTTTTTTTTTACAATAATACCACCTTAGTAGAAATTTAGAACTAAGGTTAATAGACTTTCTGTATTTGATGATTTTATCTCTCATTGCAGTACTTCCTATAGGTGTTAAAATGAAAATTTCCTTAAAATAACAATACTGATAATGGCCACTCTTGTTAGAAATCTTTATTTAAAGCATTTTCTGAAGGTCATTTGGATGCTAATTTGTGTTACACAGAACAATAAGCAGGGCCAAGGGGAGTTCAGGGACACATTATTTTGGGTAATGATGCACTGAACAAATAGAAAGTATTTTTTTTTCTTTTTAAGAGGATTCTTACATGTCTCTTTAATGCTCATGAGCACTGAAAATCTCTAAAAGAAGCATATATTTTGGAGGGTTTCCCACATAGTTTGGCTATGCCCTTCCCCATTTTTGGAGGCTACTGAGAACAAGTGTTACAAAAAATCGGTTTGAGGAATGCTGCTGGGGGGCGGGTGTTGTGTATTGTGATGGTTAACATTGAGTATCAACTTGATTGGACTGAAGAATGCAAAATATTAATCCTGGGTGTGTCTGTGAGGGTGTTGCCAAAGGAGATTAACATTTGAGTCAGTGGACCTGGAGAGGCAGACCCACCCTCAATCTGGGTGGGCACCATCCAATCAGCTGCCAGTGCAGCCAGAATAAAAGCAGGCAGAAGAACGTCAAAAGACTAGACTGGTTTAGCCTCCCAGCCTACAGCCTTCTCCTGTGCTGGGTGCTTCCTGCTCTCTAACATTGGACTCCAAGTTCTTCAGCTTTCGGACTCGGACTGGCTTCCTTGCTCCTCAGCTTGCAGAGGGCCTATTGTGGGACCTCACCTTGTGATTGTGAGAGTCAGTACTCTTAATAAACTCCCGTTTACATATACATCTGTCCTATTAGTTCTGTCCCTCTAGAGAACCTTGGCTAATACGTGTATCTTGGAGCAATTCTCATGAACAGGCCCCTGATAATTTGCACCTAGTAGCGTTTCTCCATCTTGATCCTTGGGTTTTGAACCAGGTACATCTCTGTGGTGGAAGCTGCCCAGTGTGGTGCAGGATGTTCAACGGCATTCCTGTCCACTACCCTCCAGTTGTCAGGAGCATGCTCCCAGTTTTACAGCCCAAAATGTCTCCAGACATTGCCAAATGAGCTCCAGGTGGCAAAGCTGTCCTAGGTTGAGAACCACACAGACACTTGGGAAACAGATAGGTCCAATTTGGATCCACATACAGGGGAAGTCAAGTTTGGTTGAAAGACTCCTGAACTGTTGGGCAAAAAATGTGTTCCAGGCCAGACTCCTCTCTGTGTTTTAGAAGGTCAAATGGCTTCTATTATCTGAGATTCAACAATGTTCTCTAGCCGATGGGTATGGTAGCAATGGCTCCTATGACTGGGCCGTGAACAGGGCTGAGATCACAGTACATGTGACATCCTTTAAACCATAAAGTCAGACTTGAGACAGAAGATGATTGATTATTAAAGATGTTATCCTTAAATGATGCACAGGTTTAAGTTCTAAGGAAATTAATATCACATTGTGTTTTCTCCTCCTTGGGCTTGGCAGCCCAAGAATTCCATTTTGGAATTGAGATTCTCTTCTTAGTGCTGGCAAGATAAGGACAAATAACACATGCTCTAATAAATACAGCCTTGAATTTTGAAAGGAAAGGGAACCTTCAGGGATGATAGCTTTCAAACGGTGGAAAAGAGGATTGACCTCCAGCCATCCCCAAGGACATGACACTATTGCTAGGAATGTGTGCATAAATTAAGACTCATGTTAATTATTAGAATACAATCTGTTTGTGTTCAGAATTAGGTAAGATTGTCTGTCATGTTTCTGACATAATGCAAAATCATAAAGAATGATTGCCAGTGGGCAAAGACTCTGAGTGGGGATTGGAGAAGCAAAAACAATCCCACTAGACGAGAGACTATCTGAAACTCTAGGGAGGTATATGAGTTTTCACGTTTATAACAAGGGATCTGAATTGTTAAAAAATCTTTTAAGTTCCGCTTCCAAAAAATGGAGTAGAAATTCTGTTCTCTAGTCCTCCTCCTAAGGACAGTAAATATAAGAAGACTGAATGGTAAAGGAAGACAGATCAGTAAGGGAACTTGAAGAACAATAGCACACCAATGAGTTCCCTGAGCTTCATTTTACCTCTTGTATCCCAAGGCCATACCCTGGTGAAGCCAGCAACCCAGAAACCCCAATGAGCATAGAACACACACACACACACACACACACACACACACCTGCTGTCTCTAGCAAGAGGACCAGGAAAAAGGGGAACCTAGCAAGACAGAAAACATTAAGACAGTAAATGTTCTACTCCAGCCAACACCACAAACTATGGCCCTACCACAGCCCACACTAGCAAAAGCTTATGGGCAGCCTCCATTTCTACCTTCAAGAGGCTGTAATGGGGGGCCCCAATCCCCCACCATGGTGTGTCAAAGAAGGTCACATGGGGAGCTAGGGCACTGATCCTTTGCCAGCTGGAAATGAACATCCCCTACCCCACACAACCCGTACATGTACAGAATGTTGGTAGAGACCATGTAGGGGCTATAGCTACCACCTCATCTGTCAGTAATAAGGGATTCCCATGACACAAATGTTAGATCTTTTACTGGGCCCTTGCATAGGTTCCTAGGCACTGTTCATTTTTCTTCTCTTTTGTTTTCTCTGCTGTCTGCACTAGGTAATTCTATTGTTCTATCTTCAAGTTTTCTGATTCTCTCCTCGGTCTCCTCCATTCTGCCTTTGAATTCATTCACCAAGCTTCTTATTTTGGTTGTGTTTTTCAGTTCTGAGATTCTACTTAGTTTCTCTTTAAGCCTTCTCTTTTTTCGCTGAGGCTTTCTGTGTTTTTGTTTATGTGTGCTTCAAGCATGTTTACAACTGCTCATGGAAGTATTTTTATGATCCTGCGTTTTTCCTTTATCAGAAAGTTCTGACATCTCTGTCATCTCAGCCTTAGCATCAACTGGTGGTCTCTTCTTATTCAATATGGGATCTTCCAGGTTCTTAGTATGAAAAGTAATTTTCAATGGAAACCTAGACATATTCAGTGCCTTGAGTTGGGTCTGGGCCATCTGTAAAATTAATCTGTGGTATTCTTGATGGTTATGATGCTTAGCCAGATCTGGAACCATAATCTTGGTTCTTTGGGCCTTTCGAAGCTCTAAATCCATGAGATGGGGTGTTCATCATTTTCTTCCATGTCTTGCAAGTACCAATTTTATTTATAAGGCCCAGCTTTTTAGGTTTGCAATACTTAGAGTGTGTGACACATAGCAAATTCTCAAGGGAGACCTGTAATTGGTGAATTAATTCATCTCCCTCTGAGAGGCTCAGACAAGTAAGATAAAGGGTTGAGTGGATCCAGGATGAATCCCAGGGCCCTTCTTCCTTTGACTGTTGTCTTAGTCAATTCAGTGTTGTTATTATAGAATAGCTGAGGCTGGGTAATTTGTAAAGAAAAGAGGTTTATTTACCTCTTGATTCTGCAGGCTGGGAAGTTGAAGTGCATGGCCCTGGCTTCTGGCGAGGGCTTTTGTGCTGCATCACAATATGGCAGAGAAGGTCAAAGGGGAAGTGAACACTTGTGAGGAAGCAAAAACCAAGGGGAATCCTGGCTTTGTAACAACCCACTCTGGTGGGAGTTAATCCATTCTTAGGAAAACTGACCTGGTCTCATTATAGTGAGCATTCACTCACTACCATGAGAAGGTAGTAACATTCATAAGGGATCTGTCCCCATGACCCAAACGCCTCACACTAGGCCTGCAACCTCCCAACACCATCATATTAGGGATCCCATTTCAGCGTGGAGTTTGATGAGGACAAACTCAAACCACAGCACCTCCCTATGCTTCCATCTCTGCTACTGCCACTCCACTGTGGTCAGGGGGATGGAGGCAGATGAATAACAGGAGAAATAGTCTCCATTCACACACACACACACACACACACACACACACACACACACACAGAAAGAGGGAGAGAAAGAGACAGAGAGAAAATGGTGGCATTCATTCTGTTCATGCATTTTTAAAAAATTGCTGCACAAAGGAAAAAAATCTGTGGGGTTCTTTTTGTTGTTTTCATGCTGATTCTCTGAGGAGGGAAGCATGGTCTTAGAGCACAGGACTTTTGTCCAGACATGTCGATGGCAGAGCTCTGGCTCAGAAAAATAGTCCCCAGCTGACTCTGTGAAGTGCTTAACTGCACCTCCCACCTGTGTGTCTTTCTTTATAAATGCGTGTATTAAAACAGTTTTCAAAGATTAATTGTGTGGCATTTCAAAATTGAACATAAAATGTGAAGGGGTGGTTGCTGACTGTTTATTCACATTTAAAATGGCAATATTGCCTTTTTAGCCCACTTGTTCACTGGGCTGAAAGCTACAAATCTCCTTTTCTGAAGACAAGTAAGCTTGCTTCTCAAGAGGATCTGAAATGCTCCCTGGCATGAATATGTTCCACTGTTATGCAAAAGGGTTCCTTTTGAAACCAAGATGAATTTTAAAAAATGCAAATACAAATATATACCTGGAATTCAAAACAGAAATACAAGTCCAATATAAAAAAATTTAACGTCATAATATTTCACATACACACTTTATAATTGCATTTTCAAAGTTTACTTGGCTTGTCATGGATATTCATTCTTCCACTTAATTTTAGTATAAGTGTTTTCAGTTTCTCAAGAATTCCAGCTGTGAGTTTTTATTATTATGTTAAATTTATAGAATAATTTGAGAATAAATAACATTTTTATAACGTTAAGTAAAAGCTTAAGCCTTGAGGTGGCTTTGTGCTTCGTGGGCTTAGGGACAATTGACAAGTGTGGTATGTTCCAGGGAAACAGAAAACACTTTGCCTAAGTGTGCAGATTGACATTAGGGAGACCATAAATAGAGTTCAGTTCTTTCAATAAAGCCTCAGACAGAGCTTATGGAAACAGAAAGCTGCGACTATTCCTAACGCTTTCAAGTCTTCTTCACATCTCAGGAAGTCGCAGCTGGGCACACTCTGCTGTGCTGGAGAGAGCTCTTGCTGTCTCTGCCTGGCTCAACACCAAGGCTCAGTGCCTCGTGCACACAATACACATGCATACCCTATGTAAGCTCTCGCAGTCAGAGGCCACTCCTCTGCCTTCTCATTGTGCAAACATCCCCTTGTTTCCCATGCACCAAGTTAAGATGCCTCAGTGTCTGCCTCTTGCTGTCCTACCCTGAGGCCTCCGGGCACCCTGTCTTCCTCCTCTTAGGTAATTTTCTTCTTTCCCTGCGTCAGCCAGCCTCCCTGAGGGACCGCAGCTCCACTGCTTATGGTCAGTTTCCCTGATGCAACCACCCCGCATGGATCCACACCAGCTAACTCATGGCCCAGCTGGTGCACCTCCAGCTTGGGCTTCAGCCTTGCGGTTGTTTCAACCTGGTTTTGTCATGTCGGCCTTCTCACCACAGGACCTTTGCAGGTGCTGATCCTCCTTCCGTTCCCATCTGGCTGTGCTTCATTCTCTCTCACATCCTGAGGTCTCAGCTTGGACAGTGGCATCTTGCTGATCTCCCAGACAGGGTCCACCCTCTGATGGCAGGACTTCAGGGTCTTATATCTCTCTGTGTCAGTTGCCATTGTTGGGGTTGTACCTGTGTTTTTGTTATTATTTTATTGAGTCCATAAGTGATGGGCGATCTGAGGGCAGGAGCTGGGCTGCTCTGCTGGCCATCACGGATTCGGTGCCCAGCACACCCTGGGGAAGGTGCACAGTGCAGGCCACATGGCGCTCACATGGGAGTCCTGGTGTGCATGCCCCTGGGAAGAAGTCACCTTGGAATGCTTCCCCCACTCCCAACAGGAGGGCACTGACATTGCTCTGCATTCTTTTTTATGTATTGACTTTACTTTTGTCAGTGCATTGGGGTCTCTGCTGAGGTCCCCTTGCTTGAGGCCAAAAACCTCAGGACTCCTCTGAGACCCTCCTGGGGTCCCTCAGCTAGCCCCGCCCCTGCCAGGCCAGCTCCCTGTGAGCACATGTACATCCCTGTAATTGGCCTGTGAGCATGAATGTTGCTCCTTGCTTATGACAGTGTCCCTAGGCGTGTAGTAAGTACTCAGCTACCCCTGAGAAAGAAAATAAGAGTCAAGAGAAGGGACCTTCTGGGAGGCCGTTTGAAGCTGGTAACCAGCTGACAGCATTCCCTCTCCTGGACCAGGAGGCCAGGAAGTCTACCTGAGTAGAGGATGCCATCGGCCTACATCACAGGCAAGGAACCTGGAAATTCACAACTGTTCTTGGAGCTAAGAAAACTATCAGGCATGTCCAAGCTGGTTGGCTTCCTTCGGTATGGAAATGCTGTGCATATTACCCTAATCTTAAACTCTAATTTTTTAATTTTTATTTTTTGGGCTAAGCAACAGGAGTTAATTGCCTTCCAGTTCAGAGCCTGGAAGTCCAAGATCAAGTTGTTGCCAAGGTTGGTTCCTTCTGAGGGCTGCAAAGGCAAAACTGTCCCAGGCTTCCTTCCTAGTTTCCTTTTTGTTTTTTTTTTTGTTTGTTTTTAATTGATGCATAATATTTGTACATTTCTGTGGGAAATAGCATGATGTTTTGATACATGTATACGTTATGTCATGATCATAGTACTTAGCATAATCATTACCTCGACATTTTCTTTTGTGGTGAGAACATTCAGAATCTTCTTCTGTTGAAATACGCACGGTAACATTACTTTCTATAGTCACCGTGCTGTGCCATAGAACACTGGAACTTATTCCTCCCATCTTCCCATCTAACTGTACTTGTGTACGTGTTCACCAATCTCTCTCCCCATTGTCTCCTCTGCCTACCCTTCTCGGCCTCTGGTAACCCATATTCCACCCTGTCCGTCTATGAGCTCAATGTTTATAGATTCCACAAGTGAGTGAGGACATGGAGTGTTTCTCGTTCTGTGCCTGGCTTATTCCGCTTGACAGAATGTCCTCCTGGTTCATCCATGTTGCTGCAAATGACCAGATTTCATTCTTTTTAATGGCTGAGTAGTATCCATTGTGTAT
The DNA here is from genome assembly GCF_000001405.40 of Homo sapiens. NCBI lineage: Eukaryota > Metazoa > Chordata > Mammalia > Primates > Hominidae > Homo > Homo sapiens. The sequence goes on along the minus strand of NC_000015.10, from coordinate 27,599,793 downwards.
ACATGCCACATATACTCTATGTTGAAAGCTTTTTGTAAATACGAGCTAGCTGTAAACCATGTCTCTGGCGTCAGTCCCTCCTGGCGGCTGCTCCAAGGTGTTGGCCCTGATGTGCTGTGTTCCCTTCATGACACCGCAGGTGTCCAGAGGCTCACAGTGAGCGCGGGACATGTGCTGCATGTCAAGCCTTCTATTCCCATTATTGCTCCATTAGCTCTCTCTAGGTCCCCATGTACCCCCGTAGCTACTCCCCTTGTGTGGCACTTACCTTTTCATGGTCCGTTTTTACAGAGTTTTCCTTGGCTGCCAATGGGGAAGAAATACTGCATTTCCTTCCCTTGTTCACTTGGCTTGAGGCAGAGCACTGGCCTGTGGGAGCTGCCCTTCCCTCCCAGTCTTCTCTAATTGCCACTCCACCATGGCCTGGTGGAGTGTCAGGGAAAATGACATTCAAGGCGGCGGCAGCAGCACTCTCCTTTGCTTTTCCAATTAACACTGTACCGTTGCCTAGTGGAACAAGAGGGACATGAATCAAGGGCTTAGCACGTTGCCGGGCAGGCACGTGACCCTCTCTGCAGCAGCAAACTGATGACTGTGATTGGCTCTGGGCATGCTGGTCCTGCTTCTGACTGGAGGCATGAGGACTGTAGGAGCATGCATAGTGTTCAAAGGGGAAAGAGCCGTCTTTGACTGGCTCGTTTTAAGAAGCCAGTACTTGCTGAAACATTATTTTGCTCATTTTTGCTGGGCCCTGTTCCTTTGAGATCCATAAATAATCGTGATGTGGCTCTCATTCTATACTGACCGTTTCTGCTCCCCACTGGGAGGTGGAGTGTGGCAGCAGATTAGGTAACAGATTTTAGCCTTGGTGCCCAGGATAGTGATCCTCACTGAGCCCATCCTGGTCAGGCCTGCCTGATTGTTTCGGGCCCTCTGCTCACCCAGACACAGGCCATGAAAGCTTGGTTAATGATTGTCCAATTGAACCCTACTGCTGCAGCTGTACTGTGAATTCGAGGCCAATTTTCTTCCTGCTGTAGACGAAATGCTGATGAAATACGGACATTTTGCAAGGATATTGGTTTTATGCATCGTAGCAACAGCTTGAAAGATATTGGTTTTCTCTTCAATTCTAGCCTGCTCTGAATATAATTTGGCAAAGCCTTTCTCAAATGCACCCCTTTGTGTATGCAGTTAAATCTATAGTTATATCTGGAAAGCTTAAGTGTGGTTTAAGGCTCCAATTGGTATTATGTGCTGTCTTGACACGTGGTAAAATCAGGAGGAGCTTGTATGGCCTCACTGCAAGGTCCTCTCCCTATTCTTCTCCCATGGATAAGTTCTCAATGCTAGACAACCCAGCTTATCTCGGGGACCAGGCACCACCCTCCTCATCTCTGAGTAGCGGGCTTCAGCTCCCTGCAGCCCATGGAATTATTCAAACAAGCCCATCACATCCTCCCGTGGGAACTAGGGTCCCCTCACCCTCCTGTTACAACAAAGCCTGCCTCCCACAGCCCCTGGTGGTCCACTCTGTTCCCAAGAGAAACCTGCGTCTGGCTGTGCACGGCATGTGGTGTCTCCCATGCTCTGGGATGTGTGTGTGACTAATAAATTGCTGTCTGTCTCTTGTGTCCAGGGTTAGTGTCCTGGATCCAGCCATCCCCATAACCCTAGAATGGGAATCTCCCCCTTCATGAGGTAAGAAGTAGATGATCAAAAGGATGGCCCACCCATTCCCAAGGAGGCTTGGTCAGCTTTTACTAGCTTTTCTCGGCTATACAACCAATCCGTGATACAGTGAAGGCCTCCTGGGATGGGCCCACCAATGGCTGATGGACTTGTGCTTTGGCCTGCATGGCCTTGTCCTGTCTGTCAGGTGTTATCTCTTTCCCCCCATCGTAAAGCGCTCTCATCCCCAAGGCTAGGGTGCTAGTTAATGGACGCCACCCCAGTGTGATGTGCACCCAGGCTCATCCAGTGTGTGGCAGGCGATCAACACCTGCACGGGACTTAACATGTGTGTCCCTCCAAAACCTGTATGTTGAAATCCTAACCTCCAAGGTGATGGTATTAGGAGGTGGGGTCTTTGGGTGGTGATTAGGTCATGAGGATGAAGCCCCCAAAATGGAATTACTGCCCCTATGTCAGGAACAGAGAGCTCTGTGGCTCTGCCCACTGTGTGAGGACACAGTGAGAAGGTGCCATTCTGTGAACCAGGCAGTCCACACTCACCAGACACTGAATCTGCCAGCCCCTTGACTGTGAACTTCCCAGCCTCATGAACTATGAGGAATACATTTTTGTTGTTTGTAATCCCCTTGGTCTATTGCATTTTGTTACAGCAGCTGAATAGACTAAGACAGCACCCAAACCAGTCATCACTTGAGCCCCCCGTACCATGGTCTGGTTAAGCTCTCTGGGTGCACGTTTAGCCTCATGGCAGCTTTGAACAACATACGAACAGTGTCTGTGATTGTACACCCCACAACAGGCCGGGGAGGGCCCTTTGTGAGGTTTGAAGATGGACTGGAATCACCACTCCAGGGAGAGTTTAGTATGGCCCCCTGGTTGTTGTTCAGGTAAGACCCTGATGGTCTTCTGCTTCTCCTTCTATTGTTCCCGTTCTCCTGACCCCCAGGGATACTGAGGTGTACCTCCACGTCAGTGCATGGTCCAGCACTGATGATGAAAAAGGCTGGGGAGCATGTAGAGCATGTAGTAGCCAGCTGCTCTCTCAACCTTAAAGCCCCAGCCAGTGTGCCCAGGCTTTGTGCAGGATTGCTGCTCCCCAGCATGTCGAAGGGCTAACCGTGAGATCCGGGGACTGATGACCACCACCTGTGTCATAGATAAAAAGGTCTCACTGGATGCGGACCTCAAGCCCAGGGATATTGACTGACCTTCCTGGAGAAAGAAGTGGGCCATCAGGACCTCAGAGCTCTCCCATAACCACCCAGAAATCCTCAGTGCAAGTGATTTGGAGGAAGGCAGAAACCAAAAGCTGTGACAAAACCATTAAATTAATAGAAAGGTCCACAATTTAGTTCAATTGGAAATCTGACATTTTCTAAAAGAATGTATAAAGCAAGGCAATAGAAGGACACCATTGATTTTTGCACCACTACAACAGAAGTTCTTAGTTAATTTTAACATCTGCTAAAATGTACCAATTGACATGTTATGTACTTTTTAAAACCACCTGCTAAACTGTTTTCCACAGTGGTTACACCATTTCGTGTTTCCACCAGCAGTGTCCGAAGGATCCCATTCCTCTGCATCCTCACCAGCATTTGGTGTTGTCACTCTTTTTCATTTCTGTCATTCTGGTAGAGGTCCTGGCATCCAGCAGGAAGGAACAAGAGTCCCAGGTCCCCCTGAATGCCTATCTTTGCATTCACTGGCTCTGATCTAGTCATATGGTTATCCTTGAAGCAATTCAGTCTCCAGTCTTGGGTGCACATGGGCTGAGAGTCAAGGTGCATTTCTTTTCCCAGAGGAAAAGATGAATGTGATTCCCAGAAAATAAATGAATGCTGAAGGCCAAGGAACAAAACAAACAGAAAAACATGGGTTTTTTTCTTACCATACCCAGTTCACAGCCTCCCTCAGTGAGTGCTGTTGTAAAGGGCTTAGTCCCTAGTGGATGTGCTGAACCATACACAATCCTGGAATTGGGAAACACAGAATGCCCTGGCCGCTTGAGGTGCTGGGGTAGCTTCTGGGGAGGCAGGTGATAAGAACTTAGTCTAGCTTCTACCGTGGAGAAATCGTCAGGCCCGTCAGTGAGACAGAGCGGAGAACGGGCCCCAGGGAGGTGCTTTTTCATTTGATGATGAGGGTGCTGTCTGGAAGGGCTTCCTTCTAATGACAGATTGAATATGTGCAGCTGGAGTCTCTACACGCGTGTGATTGTCCAGGTACATTTCCCAACAGTTTCTTACATTGAAAAAATCATTTAAACTCCTAATATTCTCACCAGCTTTAGATCATCTTGTTCCTCTGAAGTTTTTAGTTTCTTTACTGATGTGGCCAAAAATAATGATGGATTCATATAGAGTGACCAATAGTTCATATGTTTTTGTCACTTTTAAGGGGATATGTTGTCATCATGTCTTCACCTGAAAATTACCTTCCTGAGAGATTGTTTAGAAAAATTCAAGCTCCAGATTCTGGCCAGAAATGTTTATCGTGTGGTTCATTTATTTTGTTTATAAGACTGTTTGTCTTTTATGGAAACAGCTCAGATGAGTCCCTTGGACTCAACTTACATGGCCAACTAGCCACAGCCTCCGCAGGGAGTCAGCTTGTTAATTCAGTGTTAGCCACTGGAAGCATGCGAGCACGTGCACCTCACAGCAGTGGTTATTTTGAGACTTCTGAGTGAATTTAGTTAAACCTCCTCGAGCCGCCTCAGGGGGATTTTTTTTCAAACTATGGTGAGACTAGAGAAATTGTTTCAATTTTCAACAACAACCCGCTAGAGAAAAGATGTTTCCTACAATCTTGAATTAGATCTGTCAAATCCAGTAAGTCCTGGGAGAAGTGTTCAGTTACACCTATTTGTGAGTTTCTAGGACGCTCTCCAGGATTACAATACGTGTTCTTTAAACTGGATTCTCTAAAGGGAGGTGAGCAGCTCTGTACTTTGAGATGGCCCTTAGAGGAAACGAATGCATATCTAGGTACTTGATTTGTGGGTATGGTTAACTAATCAAGGGTGCACCTACCCTATTCATGAAAAGAAAGGAAAGTTAGGGACTTGCCATTTGTACCCAGATGGTGTTTTGCTCTGTACCTGATGCATTGCTTGGGTGTTCAGGAAAGGAACAGGATAGGCTATTAAAGCCTGCATTTCCTGCCTCAGAGCACGCTAAGCACCTTGGTTTCTACCACCAACCATAGATATTTCTCCTCTACTATAAACATACATTCAACCCTGTGAATAATAAGACTATGCATATAATCTATCCGCCATTTCTGACATAAGGCTCCTAAAACCCTTGTAGATAGAGATATTAGGAGAATCTTTTGTTCTAATATTTGGTTTTTGAAGCCAGTTCCTGGCACAAATCTCCTAAATCCCTTGAAATGTCCTGGGTGACTGGAGGATCTCTTGTTCTTTTTTTTTTCTTTTTTTTTCAGATGGAGTTTTGCTCTTGTTGCCCAGGCTGGAGTGCAATGGCACAATCTCTGCTCACTGCAACCTCCACCTCCTGGGTTCAAGTGATTCTCTTGCCTCAGCCTCCTGAGTAGCTGGAATTACAGGCATGCACCACCATGCCCAGCTAATTTTGTATTTTTAGTAGAGACGGGGTTTCTCCACGTTGGTCAGGCTGGTCTCGAAGTTCAGACCTCAGGAGGTGATCTGCCCACCTTGGCCTCCCAAAGTGCTGGGATTACAGGCGTGAGCCACCGCGCCCGGCCGCATCTCTTGCTCTTAGGCAACTCTTCATGGTTCCTGGATAGGCACTGGTCACCAGAAAGTCCAAGCCGTGATTAGAAGCTTGGAGCTTTCAATTTCCTCCTTCCACCATCCTCAGGGAAAGGGAGAAACACGGAGTTTGAGTTAATAATCTGTCATACCTAGATGATGAAGCCTCCATAAGAATCCCTGAACAATGGGATTCTGGGAGCTTTTGGGATGCTGCAGACATCCACATGTTGTGAGGTGGTCATGCAACCCAAATCCACTGGGACAGAGGCTGCTGTGCTTGGAACCCTTCCAAACCTCACCCTATGTATCTCTTCACCTAGCTGTTGATTTGCATGCTTTATAATAAACCAATAATAGTAATGTTTGCCTAAGTTCAGTGAGCCTCCATTGCTATGGATAATTTGCTATTATCAGACATAAAGTGGGTGCTGTGGGGACCTCCGACTTGTAAGCAAGTCAGACAGAAGTTGCAGGTAGCCTAGGGTCCTGCTGTTTGTGACTGGCGTCTGAAGTGGGGGAAGCTTTGTGAACCTGAGCCCTTAACCTGCAGGATCTGATGCTATCACAAGGAGATAGCACCAGAATTGAGTTAAACTGTAAGATGCCCTGCCGGTGTCCACAGAGAATTGAGGAATTGCTTGGTGTGGCAGATACTTACATAACTGATGTCAGATGTGACGTATGGAGAGTGCAGAGAGTATAGTAAGAGGAGGAAATGATTTGCTTTTTTCCTCTATACACACCCGAAAACATTATCTGTGCTGAAATACACACTGCCTGCTCACGCGTGCTTGGGTGTGGGTGGTCATACTGAATGCCCCAGTGGCATTCAGCAGCCACTGCAGTGCTGGAGATGCAAGCACGTTCTGCTTGTCCTGATTGCTGGAAAGATTGCTCTTCCTCACGTGCTCGCCTTTCTCTCTTACTCTCTAGCAAACTCCCTTCACTCGCCAGCCCACCCCTCACCTCAACTTTACCCTGCTTCCTGCAGGCACATCGGCTTCCCCCTCTACTTTCCTCTCTCTCCACATTCTGGCAACTCTTAACCGGCACCACTCACCTCTCATGGAAAAATACATGGACTTTAGAAGTCCTCAGGCACTTGGCATAATGCAGGTAAGTCTGTTTCTGTTCAGCTTTTGCCCAAGAGAGACAAAGCACCACCTTTCCACACAGTCAGGAAATCCAATGGAAACCAACACAGAGTGATTCTCAAAATATATTCACCCTTGGGTCTGGGCTTGAGCTATGCTCTTTCTCCTTTCCTCCTCTGGCTTAGCACTATCCTGTGTCTTCATCACCCACAACTGCACCGGGGGCACCAGGTTGAGCTGCCCTGATGCTCACCTGACACATGTGCACTGCTTTTAAAGGTGCCCTTGAATACTGCTGAGACCTGAAAATGCTTTAGAGAAAAACAATGCTTTCATACCATCAATTGGATTGGGACTGTGGACAGGTCCCACTGTGTTGTGGGTCTTTGGAGTTCTTTTTTACAGAGAAGCAGCCTCACTGAGGTTTCAACTTTCTTAATCTCAAGATGCCTTTGTTGATTACATTTTCTTGCCACAGTCAGTGATGTTAGCAATATGGTTTCAGTTTCCTTTGGGTAGCTTCTCTGGGCATATGTGGATGATATCTGTGATTATGCTTGACATTAAAAAATCTGGCATCAAATTATGTACGTTTTGACAAGCAGTTGACATTCTAACTCTGACATCAGATTTCGCAAAGAGAGCTTTAAAAATATTCTAATATAAGACAAGCACCATGAGGTTAGCCTGAGCCTGGGCATGAGCCTAAAGCAAAACTCAATGCTGCGTGAATGGAGCTGTCCAAGGTCTCCAAACATGAGGTCTCTCTTCATACACAGCCTTGACAGCAACATCCTCACTAGAATCTCAAGAGATTTGTCCTGCTTCCCTGATTACTTGTACTCTGGGAATTTGCCTCTATCTTTTCTTTGGAAGTTTAAGGGTTCTGTCATTGAATACACATGTGCCTTTGTGAGGGGCATGTAGTTTTTCATGATGATACTCAAAGGCTACTGAAAGGCTTGACTGCATGTTGCTATAATTTTGTCAGATAAGCATATCATTGTCATGCTAAGAAGTGTGAAGCAATACCCTACCAGCCTTTGCCTGCCTTGAGAAGTGCAACAGGCCCAGTGAATATTCAGTAGAGCACCCACTTTTCCTTTTTATTTGGATCTCCTCCCCTCTTCCTTTTTCACTCAAACTTTGGAGTAAAGATATTAGAAAATATCCATGGCAGAGACTGGCTAGTCATTCACTAGAGCCTCTGATGCTGGGTACACAAGACTGGGTTTTAGTGCTTCCCTTGAGATGTGGCTGAGTTCCAACCTGTGAAATGCAGGACAGTGGGATGTGCATCAACTTCAGGAATAGCCTATGAAAATTACCCACTAATTTTCATTCTTTCTCCTAATACAGGTGCAGATTATTCTCCACTTGTCCCGTTAGGTTGATCCTGCACTCTGCTGCGTGTGGGAGGCTGACATTTCGACTGCATCACTGGGTTTCCTTGCATGCTGGCTTCAGGGTGGATTCAGACAATGGGCATCAGCAGGAAACTGTGGGTTGGTATAGAGATAAAGATGTCAGGCTGATCTGATCTTGCCTGACTGTGGGTCTGGCAGTGGTTGTGTTCCTCTATGGCCACAGCTCCTGTTGGATAGGTTTCCATGGCTCCAGCTCTCCCCAGCCTCTGGTGAAAACACTTCCTCCTCTTGTCACTCCAAGCCAAAATTGTCATTGTCCTAACTGTTGCTATGCCTGGGCATCTCTCAGCCTTATCATCCCTTATTGGAGCATTATTTGTACTTATGCCTTATAAACTGCTTTTCCAACCAATGATCTGCACTTGGATGCTTTGTGGGTACCATCTGTTTCTTGCCCAGATCCTGATTTATACAGTAATTGGAACAAGGAGTAGCCCCAGAAATATATCCTCAGTAGGAGACTCCAGAATTAGGTTGTTGACATACCTGGTGAGTGGTCACAGGATATTTTTGCTGGGGGAAAGACATGCTGGGGATTCACCATGTGCAGTGGGGTGCTGGAAGTGGCCAGGCCAGGGCAGCCCAGTGCACAGTAGCTGTTGTGATAATGGAGGGTCTGCAGTCATGGGCCACCTGCTGCAACAGTTCCAGAGAGCTATGACAGTTTAATCCAAGCTTAAGAATTGAACACCTGATTTAAGGCACAAGAGGAATTGTGAAGAAACCCTCACAGAGGTCACAAAGGAATACTGTACCTCCTACAGCCAAAGCAGGTGTGGCTGAAGCGCAGGCCCAAGGCAGACAGTTGGAACCAGTCCCCTTTGTTACAGTAGAGGCCATGATTGAAAAGGAGTAGGCTTAAGATGGGGACAGTTGGACAAACAGATGAAATCTTTGAACCTCTATTCCTGGAATGTCTTTGCTGCAGAACCAGCCTTGCCTCTTTGATCAGGGAAGCCAGCGTTCCCTTCCACACTGCTTGTCACTGCAAACAAGGTGGAGCATGTGATGTGTCAAAGATGGGGAAACGAAAACAAGAGTGGAGATTATGCTCATCTAGCATGAAGGGAAGGAAGGAGGCCAGTGGCAGCTTATGCTTTTTGATCTGAATCAAATGGCAGTGTAGAAAAGAAGACCCAGGAACCAAAGACACATGTTTCTCAGAATTGCCAGTTCAAGCATGGAAATTCTGGGACTATCAACAATGATCATTATTTATCTACAGCCAATATCTCCAAAATTGTGTGTTCTCAATATCACCTTCTGACGCTTAGCTGTATGTGACATCTGCTCTCTGCAGAGCTTCACTACTCATCTTAGGGTTTAAAGGCATTATCTCTGCCCTTAGAGTAGATGGTACTAGTGGAAGAAGTGAGATGCGGAGGTTCAGATGTGCGGTGGAGCCAGTGGAATGGTACCAGTGGTGAGGAAGTCTTTTCTGGCTGCCTCAGCTGGGAGTGGTTTCACTCTTCTCCAGAACTTGTGCTAGTAGCACTCATTTTTCTTCCTAGCATGGAAAGACGGTTTCTGCTGTCAGCAGTCAAATCTCTCCAATGCAAACCTCTGCTTCACATGGAAGGCAATAGTCTGTTAGCAGAATGACATCCACTTATAATTAATGACGTGGAACAAAGGTTGAGCTGTGCTAATATGATGTCCCATGAAGAGTATAAGCTGGAGTCTGAGTGTGAGTGTGTATGTGAATGAGTGTGGGTGTGTGAGTGTGTATGTGAATAAGTGTGTGTGAATGAGTGTGAGAGTGTGTGAGTGTGTGAATAAGTATGTGTGTGAATGTGTGATGGTTTGTGTTTCTATGAGCATGTGAGTGTGAATGTGTGTGAGTGGAGTGTGTATTAGTGTGTGTGATGTGTGTGAGCAGAGTGTGTTTCTGAGTGTATGAGGGTGTGTGTATCTGAATGTCAGTGTGTGTGTAAGAGGGTTTGTGTGTGTGACTGCATGTGTGTGAATGTGAGTGTGAGCATGTGTGTGTGGAGTGTGTGTCTCAGTGTGAGTGTGTGAGTGGGTGCGTGGTTGGGAGTGTGTGGGAGTCTGTATGTGTGCGTGAGTGTGTGTTAGTGCGTGTGTTAGTGTGTGTATGTGTTTGCATCCACAGATAAACAGAATACTCAACAATATGGAAAATGTAGTTACGTCTGACTGATGGTTTTTGAGAGTGAGTTTTACACAATTCCTTAGTTTTCTTAGCAGCAGCATGAATTTGCCACCTGAGATTGTGCTATCTTTATATCACAACAAGCGATTAATGTTACTTTCACTTTGAAAATAAAAAGAAGAAACCTGCGTCTTTCCCATGCTGGGTTTCTGCAGCTGTGTGCCACCTGGCGATGCCTCAGAGGCTGCCGGCCGCAGGAGGCCACCCCAGCTGCTCTGTGCAGAAGGCAGGGACACAAAACAAGACTGCAGACACTCGCTGCTTCTCCAACGAGGAGGTGGTTGGTATTGTGTCCGACGGGTAGACAGTCCTTTTTCACTCACCTAGGAGGCCTTCTGATGCTTGAGGACAACAGGGAGTGTATCTGGCCTCATTCCTTGCACCATCAGGGTTGGCACAGAAGATGGCACAGGGTGCATGTCCAAAAAATGCCTCGATGCAACCCCTGCCGCCTTGTCACAGAGCCCTGATATTGTTGAGGGATGGGTGAGCAGTGGGGGGAGCTGGAAAGATACAGGAAATAGAAGTTATTGAACGACCAAAGATAAAAATGAGGAAGGAAATTAAGAAAAAGATGAACAGGACCAAAGTTTGCTCTCCAAACACTTCATCAAGTGCTTCCTTTGATGCCCTCACATTTAAATATGCTCTAATAGCTTCGTTGAAAAGCAAAATAACTAGAATACATGTCGGTGCTTTCACTTGTTGGCTAACAGGGAATTTTGCTAACATGAAAGGAAAGTAACAGTTCAATTTATGTTTCCCTGGACAGTCAATCTCCACACTCTTCCCTCATCTATGGCTATCCTTTCTGAGTATAAAATAGAGGGATGATACAGTATAAAACATATAGAATTTAATAAGGAAAATGAAAATTTTTGTATTTCCAGAACTCACACATAGTTACAATATGTAGATATAATATTTTCTATATTTTACATACATAGTCTACATTCTCTTTCTAATTTTGCATCTATCTTTTTTTGAAACAACATAAAAGGATTTTTGTTACTGAGCATTATAAAAGAAGAGTAAACATTATCATAAATTTTAAACAAAACTTTCCTAACTATATTATATTTTAATTCTGTGACTATAATTTATTAAAGCATTTTCCTGTTGGGAGGATTTTAAATAGTTATTTGCATTTTAAAATAATGCAACAAACATTAAAACATTTTGCTTTTTTTTAAACAGATTCTCAGAAGTAAAATTATGGCTCTCAAAATCATATAAATATTTATATGATTAGGAAAGTTATATTATTTATATTACAATAGTTGATACAAATTGCCAAATTGCTTTCCAACAGTTTGCAGCATTCATTCAGAATACTACCAACAAATATTTGAGTATCTCCTTTGTGTTAGACACTGAGCTAAGTAGCAGAAATACAATTGTGAACAAACACAGAAATAGTACCTGCTTTAAAAGTGCTGACAAGCTAATGAGAAAGACTGAAATTGAACAAATAGCCCTGCAAAAATGAGTATCACTGCCCGAGCTGTCTTGCAAGAGATGAGAGTGTGGTCCCGCCTCTCCTAACCCCAAGACTTTCTCGGTGGAAGTTAAAAGGATTACCTAAGATCTGAGCCATTGCAGCAGTCCCACCCCCTGAGGAGGTGTGGTCCCTACTGGCCTCGGGTAGGAGGGGACGATTCCGGGCTGCCTCTCATCCTCGCGGGCGTGGTCTCACAGGGAAGCCCAGGCCAGCCTTCCCACTCCTTTTCACCATATGGCTCTAGGTATCCTTTCCGAATCCCAACCCTCCGCCCTCTCCGAATCCTGAAGCCCTTCCACTGTACCTTCTGGAGTTCCTGGTCCGCCGGTAACTTTGTTTTATCCACCCAAACTGTTTCTCTGAATATTCTCTTCACCTTTTTGTGAGAATGAACACTCCCCCGCCCTGACCCTACCCTCATGAGAATCTGCTTCTCCTATGGCAGTCACTAATCCAGTGGTGGCTGTTGCTTTTCCCTCACCTGGGGTGCGCGCGTCACAGATGTTCTTGTTGCCATTCGTGGCCAGTTTTCTCCCCCCAGGAGCCTCCACTCTGCAACTCTTGCTCCCAGGCGAGGAAACCCACTGCTTCATTTCTGCAACAAGGAGTCTCAGTCCTTGTAAACTTTATCTCTGGCTCACTGTCATTCACTTCAAAACTATTCTTGCCATTATTTTATTTGCTTCCAAACATATCTATTATTCTATATTTAACTAGCTGGACAAAAGCCGTACCAAGAAAACAAAAGCATAAGAAAGCTGGGAAGGCTATTTAAAAATCAAATAAAAGAGACCTCAAGACAAGGAGTATTCCCAAAGATAGTGACATTTTATAGTTAGGAAAGGGTCAATTTTTTCAAGAAGACGTTGCGAATATTGATATGCATGCACTTAACCACAGAGTTTCAAAATGTGTAGAGCAAAAGCTAACAGAAATGAAAGGAGAAATTCACAAACCCAATTAATAGTAAAGATTTTAACATCTTCTGTCAGACACCTACAGAATCAATAGACCAATGTGTTCGTAAAAACGTGGATACGAAGAGCAGTCAGCCCGCTTGATGGATTGGATACTCGTAAAAAATACTGACCCCTCAAATTGCGGCTCAAGCACTTTCTTCCCAAGTGCACGTGGTTCACCAAGATAAACTTGGTAAAGTTAGAAAGACTGAAACCATACAGTGTGTCTTTTCTGCTCACAGTGAAATTAAATTAGAAATCAGTCATAAGATATCTAGAAGAGCACCAAAAATTACAAAAGAAATGAGACTGTATTTTGAACTGAGTGATAATGAAAATATATAAAAATCTGTTGATATGATAAAGCAATGTTGACAGAGAAATTTACAGCTTTAAACACTTGTATTAGAGCATGAATCTGCGAGTTAGAAAAGAGATAAGCAATAGTGAAAACAAAGCTAAAGCTGATTAATTTAAAATAGCAGCAAAACTGATTGGTACTTTCCTAGGTGGATAAATAGGAAGAGAAACACGGATTGTCTATCAGGAATGAAAGAGAGCCTAAAGACACAGCAAACATAATAAGCAAATATTAAGAAAAACTTTATAGCAACATTGTGAAAACATAGATGATATAGACAAATTCCTTTATAAATACAGCTGAGCAAAGCTAATACAAGATATTAGAGAAAATACGAATATCTCTGTGTTAATTAAAGGATTTGAAATCATTATGAAAATTCTCCCCACAAGCACATTCTGGGCCTAGAGAGTTTCGCTGGTAAATTTTACCACACATTAAAAGAAGGAATAGAACCGATTTTACACAGATACGTTCAGCGATAGCAAAACATTTCCTAACTCATTTTATGAAGCCAAAACAACCCTATTACCAAAAACTGAGACAGACATTGTAAAAATTAAAATTTTGGAAAAAAATCCCTCATAAACCTAGACACAAAAATATTTAACAAAGCAATAGCATATTGAATCTAGAAACATGTAAATGGGTATTGCCTCACGATCAACCAAGTAGGGTGGTTCCCAGGAGTACAGGTTTAACACTGAAAAATTTGTCAGTCTAGTTTGCCATAATAAAAAAATGGGAAAAACCCTTCTATGACCAATTTTAATGGAGCATAAAAGCATTTACAAGGAATTCAACAACCCAGCCAGGCGCAGTGGCTCATGCCTGTAATCCCAGCACTTTGGGAGGTTGAGGCAGGTGGATCACTTGAGGTCAGGAGTTTGAGACCAGCCTGGCCAACATGGTGAGACCCTGTCTCTACTAAAAATATAAAAATTAGCTGGGCGTGGTGGCACATGCCCGGAGTCCCAGCTACTCAGTAGGCTGAGGCAGGAGAATTGCTTAAACCCAGGAGGCGGAGGTTGCAGTGAGCCAAGATTGTGCCACTGCACTCCAGCCTAGCCTGGGCAACAGAGCCAGATTTCATCTAAAAAAAAATTTAACAACCCATTCATGACAAAAACACTTAGCAAACTAGGAATAGATGGGCACTTCATCATTAAGATGTAGGGCATCTACAAAAGTCCTACTGGCGACATCCCACTTTATGTTGAAATAACACTTTCCATCTGAAGGATGGAAGAAAAAGAAAGAACACTTCACATCATCACTTCCGTGTTGTACTGGAGCACTCGCCTTTGAAACAGAGTGAGCAATCAAAGGCATAAAGCTTGGACAGAAAGAAGAAGACTGTTTCTGTTTGCTAAAGGCATGATTATTTTGTAGTAAAATATAATAACATGAAGTTTCGATCATATTTAAGTTTACAATTCAGTGGCATTAAGTCCATTTATAATGTTGTGTAACCATTGCCAGTATCTATTTCCAGAAAAATGTCCATCACCCAACACAGAAACTCTGTAGCCATTAAAAATAACTCCAAAATTCTCCCACCCTCCCGCCCCTGGCAACTTCTATTCTTTCTGTCTCTGAATGTGCTTATCCTGACGTCTTCTATAAGTGGAATCATATGATGTTTGGCCTTCTGTGTTTGGCTTATTTCACTTAGTATAATGTCTTCAAGGTTCATCATGTTGTAGCATGTGTCAGAATTGCCTTCTTTATATACATAAATAATATTCCATTGTGAGAAATATATATATATATATCTGGCTATTTTTCTCCCCGTCAGGAGCCTCCACTCTGCAACGCTTGCTCTCAAGCAAGGAAACCCACTGCTTCATTTCTGCAACAATGACTCTCAGTCCTTGTAAACTTTATCTCATATATATGTGTGATATAGGTAATGTATATAATGGATAAGCAAAATGTGATATATATTATATATCACCTGCTGATGGGCATTTTGGTTGTTGATACCTTTTGGCTATGGTGAATAATGCTGCTATGAAGATGAACATAAAAATATGTTTTCAATTATTTGAGTATGCTTCTGGGTTTTATGATAATTCTAAGTTGAACATTTAAAGGAACCATCAAACCATTTTCCACAGTGGCTGCACCACTTCACACACCTGTCAGCAAAGGACAGGGGTTCGAATTTCTCCACATCCTTGCCAACACTTGTTTCCCATTTTTTGTTTGTATTTTTTGATAATAGTCATCCTACTGGGTGCAAAGTGATTTCTCATTATGGTTTTAATTGCATTTCCCTAATGACTAATGATGCTAAGCGTATTTCCATGTGTTTATTGGTCATTTGTATAACTTTGGAGAAATGTCCATTCAAGTCCTTTGTTCACTTTAAAATTTTCTTTTTATTGTTGTTGTTGCTCAGTTGTAGGAGTTCTTTGTATATTCTAGATATTAATCTCTTACTGGATATATGATTTGAAAATATTTTCTTTCATTCTGTGGGTTGTATTTTCACTCACCTGATAGTGTCCTTTGATGCACGAAAGTTCTTAATTTGAATGAAATCCAGTTTATTTTGGTCGTTTTTGTCTGTGTTTTTGGTGTCATTTTGAGGAAATCATCACCAAAACCAATGTTGTAAATATCTGTCTGTGTGTTTTCTACTAAAAGTTAGTTTTAGCTTTTCTATTTAGGTCTTTGATCCATTTTGAGTTAATTTTTGTATGTGGTACAAAGTAAGGCCCCAACTTCTTTTGTAGGTCGACATTGTTTTTCCTGCACCATTGTTGAACAGACTGTCCTTTCCCTGTTAAATGTTCTTGTGGCCTTGCCAAAAATCAAATGTGAAGGTTTACTTCTGAGCTCTCTATTTTATTCTGTTGCTACTGTATGTATCTGTCCTAATGTCAATAATCACACCATTTTGATTACTCTAGCTTTGTAGTAAATTTTGAAATCAGGAAGTGTGAGTCTGAACTTTGTTGTTCTTTTTCAAGATTGTTTTGGCAATTCTGGGCCCCTTGAGATTCCATATGAATTTTAGGATGGATTTTCCTATTTCTGCAAAACATACCACTGGGATTTTGCTAAGGAATGCACTTAGTATGTAAATATCTTTTGGCAATATGGTCATTTTGATAATGTTAAGTCTTCCAGTCCGTGAACAAGGAATGTGTTTCTATTTATTTAGATTGTCTTTAATTTCTTCCAGCAATGTTTTGTAGTTTTTGGTGTACAAAACTGCATTTCTTGGGTTTCACTTCCTTGGTTAAATTTATTCCTATTTTATTCTTGTTTGATGCTA
The DNA here is from genome assembly GCF_000001405.40 of Homo sapiens. Classification (NCBI taxonomy): domain Eukaryota; kingdom Metazoa; phylum Chordata; class Mammalia; order Primates; family Hominidae; genus Homo; species Homo sapiens. Next base: position 27,583,555 of record NC_000015.10, on the reverse strand, counting down.
TTGTAAATGAAATTGTTTTCTTGATTTCTTTTTCATATTGTTCATTGCTAGTATATGAAATACAACTAATTTTGGCATGTTGATTTGTATCCTGCGACTTTGCTGAATTTATCAGCTGTACATACTTCCTTATGTGCAAGATAAGGGCTTTGGATCTGATAGTTACTGATGTCCTTCTAAGCATGAAAATTCTGTGATCTATGCTTAATTTATAGAAATTAGACATTTCTACCTTTTTAAAATTTAAAACTCATGGCTGTGCTTTACTTATAATTTGATTTTAAGTCTGTGATCTGGGATGCAATTCCAACAGCAACATTGTTTGCCAGGGAGGAAGTGGTCCAGATTCCAGCAGGCGTAATAAACACTCAGCTCGCAGGAATTCGAAAACACCAGTGTCGTGTTCTAGCAGCTAACATTTGTCATATAATATGTACAATATATGTTACATATAATAAATCCTACATCTTAACTAGATTTATAACTTTTTTGTTCTAAAACTTTGTGTCATAACAGCTAACATTGCTTTATATATACACCCGATTTTGAAAACATACTTGTTTTTGACTAATTGAATAAAATTTAATGTATTCTTAGCTAAATCCAGCTGACATCAGCAACTCATTTGAGACAGAATCCAAATGAGGTGAGATGTAACTTCATGAATAGAATGAGAGGGCTACTCTGCAGAGGAAATGGAATGGGTAACACACCAGCAGACTGGAGGAATTGCTGCCAACACTTTACAGGCAAGACCATCAAAGATGGAAAATGAATTCTCTAATTCTTCCCATTAACATTCAAACTGCAACCTTTAGAGGTGAGAAAAAGGCAATCGTTTACTTTGATGGGATTTAAAACGTCGGTGGCCACTTTAAACCATATTAGTAGGCCTGCTTTTTAAAGATTGGTTTATATTGATGTTAACAATTTTGTTTTATAATTTGTTATATGCTTCACTGCCTTCTTTTGAAGTGGGAAGATGAAATTTTCTCTTATAGATGACAAAAGCATCAGGAATAATTCAAATAAAGATGAGTCTGCTGCAAATCAGTGAAACATGACGATTGATCTTACCATTGTAGGCTTCAGGACTACTTATGGTGTAGAATTAGAGGCACTGCTGTAATTATTCGGGAATAAAATAGGGTCCATTGGCAGAGGGCTATGAGAAGAAGGGAGGAAGGGAGATTGCAGATGGCAGGTGGCTGGGCATGCTCTATGCCCTGCTAATTTTTATCCTTGTCTTTGGCAGAAGGGTCATTTTAGGTTTTACTCCTCCTTTATTAAGTGTGTGTGTGTGTGTGTGTGTGTGTACACATGCACGTGCATGCACATGAGTATATTTTATTGTTTTGTAAATTTCAAGTTCTATAAGTGGAAAGTGGCATGCTTGTTTTTGATTAGGCTTTCATATTTTGGTAAGTATGCCCACCTGATGCAACTGACCTCCTGATTGTTCTTAAGAAAATAACTTTTACTGAGATCTAATTATATCGTATCTTCAAAGAGAGGTTTTTTGTTGCCTTTCTTATTTTTCTTTTTTTGTCCAGCCTATTTCTTGGGTTCACTTCAATCCTACACAGAATAAAATACCCAGAGACACTGGAGAGACGTACTCAATGGTGGTGAAGAGCGTCTGCCTATGTATGCACGTTCCCAGCCAGGACAGCACACCCCAGCTGCAGGTGCCTTGCCCCGAGCATCCTCATCTCTCCGTCAGAACAATCCTCATCTCTCCATCAGAACACCGTGTTGACTGGGTGTTCCCACATGGAAGTGCTCGGCCTTTTTATGTCTTAGGCGATGCACCCAATGTATTTTTCTTACCGCACACAAAAATAGTTTGTACATCTGTTCCTAATGGTTCTTTTCCCTGTGCCTAAAACAATATATTGTTTTTACGCAGTGAACCTCTAGAAACCTGAGCCAGCTTTTTTGTCTTGATTTTTTGTCTATGCAGTTAAGAAAAAAGAAGACTTAGAAGATGGGAGAAAATTATCCTTTTTCTAGATAAAAATTACCCTAAAATGTCAATTTTTCCAAATAATCACCAAAGCAAGTTGCTGAAATAATTGACACTCTTGACTAGAACAGAGCAGCTATCTGCACTGATTAGTCCTGTGTCACTAATACATGCATGGACCCACACAATTTGAGACATTGACCATCTTTTTTTTCACTTAATGATTGCCAGCTTTCATCTGAGTCTGGAGTCATGGAGTTGCTATTAACCCCAGAGGATACCAGGGTAGAAGAACTTTCAAAGTTTATGATCAAGAACACATGGTTTGGATGAAAGCAATAGCTAATTTATTATTAAAAATATCTAGATGTATATTTGGAATCATTTTTACAATCTAGCATAACCTATTTTTGCATCAATTAGAAAAATAATTCACCTTCAAAAGGGGAACATTTTTTTTTTTAAAAAATGAGTCTTGAAGGGTGTGATGGTTAATTTCATGTGACTAGTTGATGAGACTAAGGGATGCCCAGATAGTTGGTAAAATATTCTTTCAAGGAGTGTCTATGAGGCTGTTTCTGCAGGAGGTTAGCAACTGAATTGGTGGACTGAGTAAAGAAAAAATCACCCTCACCAGTGTGGGCGGGCATCATGCAGTCCACTGAGGGCTCCAGTAGAACAAAAAGGCAGAGGAAGAGTGAATTTGCTCTTTCTGTCTTGAGCTAGGACATCCATCTTCTGCCTTTGGCCCTCAGCACCCCTGATTCTCAGGCCTTTGGACTTAAAACTGAATTACACTACCAGCTCTCCTCGTTCTCCAGCCTGCAGATGGCAGAGTGTGGGACTTCTCAGCTTTCCTAACTGTGTGAACCCACTCTCATAATAAGTCTCCTTTTGTATATTTATATACAGTTGACCCTCGAACAACGTGGGGTTTGAACTGCACTTATACAAAGATTGCTTTCAATGAATGTAGTCAGCCCTCTGTATCCACAGGCTCTGCATTTACAAGCAAATGTGGATTGAAAATACCGCACTTCTTGGGATGCAAACTTGAGTATATGGAGGGCTGATTTTATGTATGTGGGTTCTCCAGGGCTGACCATGGGACTAGAGTATGCATAGATTTTTGTATCTATGAGGTGGGTCCTGGAACCAATCCCCTGCAGATACCAAGAGAAGACTGTATATCCTATTGATTCTGTTCTCTGGAGAAATCTAACTAAGATAGGAAAGGGGAACTTTGGAACCCAAGAGAGGGTTGGAATTGCCCCTTTTCTACTTTGAATTTCAGAAGGCATTAGTGGCCTATGTCCCATCACTACAGAGTCTGGAGGACATAAATATGGCTGCGTGAAAGGTCATGACCTCAGCTCCCCTTTGGTTTATAGAGTCAAGAAGGGCCCCAGGTAAGATCTGGACTTCAGTGGGACACAAAGAGAGCTGGGGCACTGAGGCCATGATGAAGGGCTTCTGTTACAAAAACATGCGATGAAAGGTCTGCACTGGGAGGGGTGAGGATGAGCTCCAGGTTCCTGCACCCCCAATGCTGGAGGTGAGTGCGGACCACTGTGCACTGGCTGCTGCTGGTGTGAAGAGGGCCCCACATAGTCTGGCCATGACCAGACAAGATAACATCAGTAAAACTGTGCATGAGTCACCTTGGAACCAAGGAGAAGAGTCCCACATGTGGCCACAGTTACATAAGGACAAGAAGTGTAGAATCGACGTCGGGGTAATGTGGGTGGGAGAACATCCAGAGGGCCAAGGGTCACTTTGAGACTGTGCTTAAACTGAAATTAACCAGTACATCCTTACATTGTTACTGAGTTCACCTGGCAATCATGAGGGTTATACTCCCGCCCTAGGCGGCTGCAGGCCTGGAGTCATGCAATCATCACAGTTTTGCCAAACTGAAGTTCCATTTCTGTATCCTTGCTTCTGTGACTATGTTAGTTGTTACGTGCTGTGCCACCACTACTGCTTCTAAGAATGCTTACTTGGAGTATGTGTGGCTGATCCTAATGCGAGGCATAGTCTGCTTTCCCTTATGAAGATGCTTGATTCTAGTCTTGAGATTTAAAGCTGCCATTTAGTCCTGAGAATAATTGTCAGATTGATGCAAACAGCAAAGACATCACATTCTGTGTGCTTCTAGGATCAATATAAGATTTAAAAACAGATGAATTCTGAGAGAACCAGCTCTGTCCCCATCTTAACCTTCCATTTACCTTATCCCTAGACCAATGAGGTTACCCCCAAGCTTGAGAGGAAAAACAGAGTTGGGAAGATGTTGGGGAGGGTCTCGCTGTGGACCATATCCTGGTAAGCAGAGTAAAACCCTAGTATGACTTAGTAATGCTAACAACTCTAGTAGATAAAGCCCTTGGCCTCAATGACCTGACATGACTGGGCTTATTTCTTGCTTAAATGCTGCATTCAGTGTGGACTATTACAGGGTAGTTTTTGGCACTCAGCTTCCTTGTCTGAGGCTCTGTCCTCTCCTGTTACCTGATGTTGCCTGCATGTGGGAAGGGAATGAAATATGGCACACGAGAAGTGTCTATGGGCCTGGATGGACAGCAATTCTGTTCGTGTTCCTGTGGCCACATAACCACCCCTCTTACAAGCTCTGTGCCTAGAATAATGAGACGGGTATGGAGAACACTTGGCAAGTCCCTGCTAGACCTCATCACATGTCTGGAAATCTGACAAAAGAGGAGCTTCCTGTATTATGGGGTCATGGAGAGGAAGTGGCAGCTCAGGTTCTGAGTTCACTCTAGTCGTCTGGGTTTGTTTCTGGGTTTTGTATTCTGTTCCATTTGTCTATGTGTTTGTTTTTTATGCCAGTACCGTGCTCTTTTGGTTACTATAACTCTAGTATAATTTGAAGTCAGGTAATGTGATTCCTCCAGTTTTGTTCCTTTTGCTCAGGATAGCTTTGGCTATTCTGGGTCTTTTATCGGTCCATATAAATTTAAGGATTGTTTTTTCCATTTCTGTGAAGAATGTCATTGGTATTTTGATAGGGATTGTATTGAATCTGTAGATTGGTTTGTGCAGAAGGGACATTTTAACAAAATTGATTCTCCTAATCCATGAACATGGAATACCTTTCCATTCTTTGTATCCTCTGCAATTTCTTTCATCAGTGTTTTATAGTTTTCATTGTGGAGAACTTTCACTTCTTTAGTTAAGTTAATTTTTAGGTATTTAATTTTATTTTTGGCTACTATAAATGGGATTACTTTTTTATTTCTTTTTCCTATTGTTCATTGTAGCATATAGAAATGCTACTACCGATTTTTGTATGTTGATTTTGTATCTTGCAACTTTACTGAATTTGTTTATTAGTTCTAATAGCTTTTTGGTGGAATCTTTAGGTTTTTTCAAATATAAGATTATATCATCTGTAAACATGGATAATTTGACTTCTTTCCAATTTGAATGGTCTTTCTTTCTCTTGTCTGATTGCTCTAAGACTTCCAGTACTATGTTGAATAACATCAGTGAAAGCTGGCATCTTTCTCATGTTCCAGATCTAAGAGGAAAAAGGCTTTTAGTTTTCCCCCACTCTGTATGATACTAGCTGTGGGTCTGTCATATATGGCTTTTATTATGTTGAGGTATGTTTCTTCTATACCCAGTTTTTTGAGGGTTTTTGTCATGAAGGGATGTTGAACTTTATCAAATGCTTTTTCAGCATCAATTGAAATAAATGATCTTTTGGTATTTGTCTTTCATTCTGTTGATATCATGTATCACATAGACTGATCTGAGTGGTTGATTGTATTTATTACACTAATAGTGGATTGCATCTTACACGTGAATTATGATCAAAATAATCCTGTGAAGTAAAAGTCATATTCAAATTTTTCTTTAATAATTCTTTATATCACGATTAAATCACCAAAACACAAATCAAATCTCAGATGCTTAAAAGTCAATGTATTTATAAAAACTGAAATTGACAAAACTAATATTAAGCACAGGATAACAAATAATGAATTTGCTCATTGGCTTATTACTTCATTTGAAAGTTGTATGACAGCCAGGCGCAGGGGCTCATGCCTGTTATCCCAGCAGTTTGGGAGGCTGAGGTGAGGCGCCTCAAGTGAGGCAGATCACTTGAGGTCAGGTGTTCAAGAGCAGCCTGGGCAACGTGGTGAGACCCCGTCTCTACTAAAAATACAAAATTAGCTAGGCGTGGTGGTGCATGCCTGTAATCCCAGCTACTCAGGAGGCAAGGCTGGAGAATCGCTTGACCCTGGGAGGCAGAGGTTGCAGTGACCTGAGATTGTGCCATTGCATTCCAGCCTGGGTGACAAGAGTCAAAACTCCGTTTCAAAACAAAAAACAAACAAACAAACAAACAAAAACAAAAAAGAAAGTTGTATGACATATGACTACATACACTAACTGTGTGATTAAGAAACATAATTCAACCATAATTAAATCTTGCAAGTTCCTAACAATCGGCAGGCATTTTGTGAGTTATTAGCTTGAGACAGACATATAGACATATGAGATAAACATGTGACATACTTTTTATTCTAAGGTCTATAACCCATTTATTATTAATGATCAGCAAATCATTAATTGAATCACTAATTAAAACTTTCGGTCAAATATTTTAATCAAGTTTTTTTTGTTGTTAAGGGATCTATAGAGTGTCAAAAAGATGTTTATAATCACAGTGTGGCTTGGAGGAAAATAAGCCCAGCAGTGAGGTTCTATTTTGTTAGTCTCTCAGCAATCATGTCAACATGCCAGTAGGCCCAGCTAATTGAACTTTGGTTAAATAAACAGAGCATTAGTTTGAGAGGAAGTGTCCTCTGAGTACATCCTATTCATTTTTGCTAACTACAGATTGACACAGCCTTTGGAGGTCACATTGTTGGTTGAGAGACAGTGGGAACAAACAACCATTCTGAGTGGCTTTTCTTTGGTCCTCAGGCAAATTCTGAGGGCTTCATATCAGAGCCTTTGCTTCTTGCAGTGACTCCTCTCACCACCTTCCATCCATTGTGCGTGTCTCTGATGCCTTCAGTACCATCTCCATGATCTTCTCCTTTCCAGAAAGATGGTGGGACTGGAAACTTCAGTAACCCAAACTTTAATGGAGGTAACAGGCACTTAACATCAGTGACTTAGGCCTGGAATATGATGGTAATCTGGAAAACAGAGTGCTAAACGATTGTGTGAGACCACCCAGAGAAATGCTCCATGGACATAAAGAAGACGGAGAGCTCAGGTCAGGCCTGGCAAGTACACAAGAGATGGTCTGTGCTGGGGCAGCCCCTCGTCCACCCTTTTCCTTATGTGTCCTGCAGGCAGCCCCCACCGAACTCTCTCAGGACTGTGCTGGGGCCACTGCTCCAGGTTGACCATGAGTGGACAGAAGGACCTTCAAAACTTTGCTCCCATTGCTCTGGTCGTAGCTTCAAAAGTCTCTCGGCTCACCTGGCCTTCCAAATGTAACAAGGCAAGAGGGAGGTGACTTGAATCATGGACGAAGGTATTTTGGTCACTAAAGTACAATAATCTCACTGGAAATCAATGTATTAGTGGTCTAGTGTTTTTCATTTAGACCCTTAGGAGGTTGGTTATAGTGAAATAATTTTTCTGGACCCAATAAACTCTGGGATACTGAGGGGCTGAAAAACAGATCCTGAATGAGGCTGAGTGCCCAAAGCAACTTCTTTTAGCATAAAAAACAGGTTGCTTTATTTTCATTACCCAGACAATTCCCTCAACCCTCTTCTGTAAGCATTGCCTTTATTAATAAGGGCCAATTATTCTACAAGTATAACAGATGAGGATGTGGGAAAGTTCCCTAGAGTCACTGTAGTTGGTGTCAAATAACATTTCAACAAATTGACTTTGAAGATCTAATTGGCTTTTATGAGTGGTTTCATGGACCAGGCAGCAACTCCTGTATGAAACAGAAAGGGGTTCTCGAAGCTGAGCACAGCGGGTGGGCTTCATAGACAGAAAAGATCGAAGAAAGCAGAAACAAGGAAGAAAAAGCAGATTTTTCATTTTAAAGTGGCTTTCCTGGTATGGGTTAAAGCAGAGGAAATTCCTTGTCAGGCTTGCTCCTGTTGACTGGGAGTCTTTTGATGGGTTGCTGGGACTCTCCTGTTTTTTGGAAAACTGGCCCATTTCTAAATTCAGTTTAATTGTGTGGCGCTTAGCATGAGTGGACTCCATTCTGGTTTGGTCTGGTCTGCAGGGGGCCTAATGCAGGAGGATAGTCAAAACAATGGCCTCTCACAAACTTTATTTGTTACCTCATTTACCTCGCTCCCTAAATGTGCCATTTCTTCTAATTTCAAATGTGTTCCTATAATTCCTACAAAGTGATCAGTTAATCTTTAAAAATGTCTATACACTTGAGGGACTGAAAATAATCCTCACTGTGTTTTCAAGCCTTTGACCTGTGACTCCCGTCCCAGTGGAAGGTTGTTCTTCATATATGTTCCAGATATTTGGGAAATGAGTTCTAGCAAACAAAACCTCATCTGGGAATTACTGAAATAATAACGTAAGATCTAGAAAATCATTAGGATTTGCAATCAGATGAACCAAACATATCAGAAGGAAGAGATTCATAGGGGCAAGCCACAGGGCCCGGTTTCTGAGTCCTGAAGGAACTATTTGATTTGGCAAACAGGGCTGTGACCACAGAGTCAGGTGGGTGCATGCCAGGGACCCAGGTGCGGGTGAGATCTGAGGCGCTCCGCGGCTCCCAGCCTGGGGCCCGGGCTTCAGCTACCGCCTAAGGAGCACCGCTTAAGGAGCGACCACCGTGTGCCCGCTGCACCTGGCATCCTTCTAGGCACTGGGCACACTAAGAGTGTGGTGGAGACAGATAAGCGGTTGCAATTTTGAATGAAGCGGTTTGGGAAGACCTCAGAGAAAGGGGACTCCTGAGCAGAGACCAAGGAGGGGAAGGAGGGGCAGGAGGGGCTCGGCATGATCGGAGTGGAGTGGGGGTTGTGGGGAAGTGCACGTGAGCCCCAGGGAGGAAGCGGGTACGAGGGGCGGTGGGGCCCTGCCAGGAAAGGTACGGGCCTGTGCCGAAGTGCCTGCACTGTGTTGCAGAAAGCTCTTTGGGGGCTTTGCAATAACAAGACTGCCGGGAGGAAGGGACGGGAGCTTGTTTACAGGGTGGGGTGAGGCAGCCAGGGCTTTCTTAAATAAAAAATAATACCAGGAGGAAATGGAGCCAGAAAAGTAAGTCCCTGGGTGACAAGGTGGAGCAGCAGGTGCCTGGCACCCCACACACGCTGGGGCCTCCGAAAAGCCCCGACCCGCCGCAGCGCCACCTGCGACCCGGAGGCCACCAGCTCCCAGAATAGGCTGTTTCACTCATCCCTGCCTCTGTTTTCGTATCAGTGAAACGGACTAAAGTAAAGCCTAGCTCGGGAGATTATTCTGAGGACCCCACGGGGATCGCTATGCCGACGGCTTAGAGCCATTGCTCTAATTCAATGATTAAGCCCGACGGGACAACTTAATCATTGAAAGACCTTACCGTGACTTTTATTGACATAAGGAATCATTTACCTCCGTGTTGCAACCAAACGGCCTGCAGCTTTAGGCTGGCTGCGTCCCAGGACCTTAATGGCCCTGCCGAGTGGAATAGGGCAAGGGGGAGCTACTGCCAGGAGAGCTGGTCCCCTGCACACACATCCTGTGTCGGAGCTCTCTTGCAAAGCAGAACAGCAGTGCAGCATGGCGCTCAAAGCACAAGCCCTCCCAGAGAAGGCTGAGACCTTTCCATGCTTTTCCCACACATACACCTTCAGGCTGCCGTTCACAAGAGCCAAGAAGTCCCACCTGAGTTGGTGGGACCAAGAAGAACCAAAGCTGAGGTCACATTTGATGAAAACACCTATCGCACAGTCTCCTGGGTTTACTGAGCAGTGATAACAAGAACGGGTTTATAAGACAAGATCTCAAAGGAGAACTGAAGAGTAGGTTAGTGGGAAATGTAACGTACACGCCAGGATTTTCATTCATTTTTGTTTGATTTCCTGAGGAATTTAAATCAGTGTCACTACATGCTAAAGTGTGTTTGCGGTGTGTCCAAAGCATCCAGGATGTTAGATTTGTTAAACCAAGTGAATGTCCATTGATGTTTTGACTGAAGTGACTGAATTCCCTAAATATTAATCTTAAAGGTTGCGTATTTGCTTCAGACAGGGCTTGACCTTCTCTTAGCTTATGGATATGTAGATCACTAAAAAGCATATAGAACCAAGGCAGATCTATTTGCAGAATAAAATATGGAATAAGTAATTTTTCTATCTCCATAATAATCTCTACAATAACGTCAGATAAAGTGAATTTCAGAGCTAGGAAAATTACCAGGGATAAAGGTGGTCATTGCATAATGATAAAAAGGTAAATTTACCAGGAAGACACAAAAATTCTAGAAGTGTATGCACCTAACAACAGGTCAGAAACATGAAGGTAGAGCTGAAAGGTGAAATAGACAAATCCACAATTATAATCGGGACACTTCACCTCTCCTCAATCAGTAATTACAAAATCAGTAAGCTTGTAGAGAAACTAAATGATACCATCAATCAACTGGGTCCCATGAACATGGGACCCCATCCAACTGCAGCACACATATTCCTTTCAAAACATGGGAAAACCCCATCCAACTGCAGCACACATATTCCTTTCAAAACATGGGAAAACCCCATCCAACTGCAGCACACATATTCCTTTCAAAACATGGGAAAACCCCATCCAACTGCAGAACACATATTCCTTTCAAAAGTTCAGGGAACACATTTTAGGATACTGCATAACCCATATCATAAAACAAACAATTTTAAAATAATTGAAATCCTACAAAGTATGTTTTCTGACCATAGCGGAATTAAATAGCTATGGATAACAGTAAGAAATTTGGAAAATTTCCCTATACTCTAAAATTAAACAACATACTTTAAAAAATTTACAAGTCAAAGGAAGTTAGTAATTATTTTGATCCAAATGAAAGTGAAAATATAACATATCAACATTTGTAGAATGCACCTATTACAGTGTTTAGAGGGGAGTTTATAGCGTTAAATGCTTATTGATAAAGAAGAAAAAACTCAAATCAACAAAATTTTCACCATAAGAAATAAGGAGGAAAAAAGAACAAAAGAAACCCAATGTAAGCAGAAGGAGTACTAGAGATAAAACAGAAATCTATGAACCTAGAATAAAATAAATATAAAAATTATTAAAAGCAATTTCTTTAAAAAGATCAAAACAATTGATAAACCTCAAAAAGAGAAAAAAATTACCAGTATCAGCAAGGATATCACTCTAATCTCCATAGATAACAAGAAATATTATTAGTATCCCTTACTATTGTCTTCATTGTTTATTAAACAATTTGCCACTGCACTCCAGCCAGGATGACAGAGTGACATCCTGTCTCAACAAACAAAGACAAACAAACAACACAAACAACAGAAAATAAAAAGAAAAAAGAAATAACAAAAATTCTATATCTGTTTTCAGTAAATGAAAAACACTTCCCAATTCATTTTATGTCTGATATCAAAATTAAAGAAGGATGATTATTTATTAATGCAGACAATAGGGAAATACAAAAGCACTGTGTACATATATTTGATAATTATTTAGAAGCTGAAAACTATCAAAACTCATTCATAAAAAGACCAACAAACTGTCTAGTTTTATATCTGCTCAATAAATTGAATTCATAATTAAAGACCTTAAGAAAAAAATCCCGGGTCTGTGCATTTTTATTAGTGAATTACATCAAACATTTAAAAAAGAAATAATAGGCCAGGTGTGGTGCTCACATCTATTAACCTAGCATTTTGGGAGGCTGAGGCAGGCGATTGCTTGAGCCTACGAGTGCAAGTCCAGCCTGGACATCATGGTGAAATCCTGTCTCTGCATAAAGTACAAAAATTAGCCAGGCCTGGTGGTGCGTGCCTGTGGTCCCAGCTGCTCGGGAAGCTGAGGTGAAAGGCTCACTTGAGCCCAGGAGGTGGAGGTTGCGGTGAGCCAAGATCATGACACTACACTCCAGCCTTGATGACAGAGTGAGTCCCTGTCTCAACAAACAAACAACCAAACACACACACACACACACACAAAATAAAAAATCAAAAAGAACAGAAAATCTATATTTATTTTCCAGTAAGTGGAAAAGGAAACACTTCCCAATTCTTTTTATGTCTGATATCAAACTTAAAGAAAGATGATTAAAGAGAACTATACTCGACTATCCCCCATAAACACAGGCACAAAAATACACAAGAAAATAGCATATCAAGTACAGCAATGTATTAAAAAAATTAATACATTATGACCAACTGGGGTTAATTTCAGGAACACAAGGCCAATTTGATATCTAGAAATCGATCAGTAAAAGCCATCATATTAACAGATCAAAGAAGCAAAACCACTTGATCATATTAGTTGACACAGAACAGGCATTGACAATTTCAACATCCACCCAATGGTAAAAACTGTCAGCAGCAAACTGGAAGTAGAAGGGAAAGAACATCTTTAACCCGACAAAGGGCATCTATGGGAAAAAAACAACAGTAGAGCAGATGTTATACTTAATGGTAAGGAAATGAATGTTTACTCCCTATGATCAGGAACAAGGCAAGGACGTCTGCTCTGACCGTTTCTATTTAATATTGTACTGAAAATCCTCGTTGTGCAATACAATAAGGAAAAAGAAAAGACAGATTGGAAAGGACAAAAGAAATCCCTATTTGTAGGTGACATAATTCTTTACATAGAGAATGACAAAGAATCTGCCAAAAAGATCCTGGAACAACCAAAAAAAGTGAGTTTAACAAGGTAATTGAAAACTGAAATTTTTTTAAAATGTCATGTATGGGCCCCTATAATCCCTGCTACTCCGGAGGCTGAGGCAGGAGAATCGCTTGAACCTGGGAGGTGGAGGTTGCAGTGAGCCGAGGTTGTGCCACTGCACTGCAGCCTGGGTGACAAAGCAAGACTCTATCTCCAAAAAAAACAAAAACAAAAACAAAAAAAAGCCATGTTTAAAAACTTCAAAAATACTTATGTATAAATCTAATAGAGCATGTATATGCTGAAACTACACCATGCTAATGAAAGAAATCAAATTGCTAAATAAATGAATAGGTGTATTGTGCTCATGATTTGGAAGACTCATACCTACATCAGTGGAATGGAATACAGTCCAGAAGGAGAGTCATACAATCATGGTCAATTGATATTTTTTATAAATATTGAAAACAATCAAAGGCAATAAAACATTGCTTTCAGCAAATGTTGGAACAACTGGACATCCATATTCCAAAAAAAAAAAGAACCTCAACTACTTCACATTCTCTATAAAAACTAAAAATGGAGCACATCTAAATGCAAAATGTAGAAGCATAAACCCTTTTTTTTTTTTTTAAAGAGAATGGGATACCATTTACCTTACCTTGGGTTAGTTAGGTAAAGAGTTCTTAGGCATGTTACCAAAAGCATAATTCATAAAAGTAAAAATGATAAATGAGACTTAATATACATAAAAATGTTTGTTTTTCAAAATGCAGTTGAGGGAATAAAAAGCTGTAGCTTGGGAGAAAATGTTTGCCCAGCATGTATTTAATAAAGTAGCTGTATCCAGAATATAGAAAGACCCTTCAAAACTTAATAATAGGAAAACAAATACCCAATTAAAACATGGGCAAAAGACTGGAAAAGGCACTTCACCAAAGAAGATAACCTGAGTAACAAAGAAGCAATGCTCAATATTATTAGTCAGGAGAGAAATGCAAATTAAAACCAAGATGAGATAACACTGTGAAATTAGAATGGATAAAATGTAAAAGATTGGTGATACCAAGTGTTGTCAAAGATGTAAATGTAAACGTAAAATGGTTTAATTCTTCGGGATGTTTGGCAGTCTCTTTAAGATTTAAACATATACCTACCATATGATCCATTTCACTCTTATATATCCAAGGGAACAAAAAACGTATATTTGTGCAAAGACTGTATACACAGATATTCATAGCAGCTTTATTTGTAATAGCCTCAAACTGGAAACAACCTAAATTTCCATCAACAGAAAAATGGATAAACAAATTTTGCTATGTTCATTCACTAAAAGAGAAAGAACTGTTGATACAACAAGAATGAATATTTATCTGAGTGAAAGAAGTTAAACAAAAAGCAGTACATTCTATATGATTTTATTTGCCTCAAACTCTAGAAAATGCAAACTAATTTATAGTGACAAAAAGGAGATCAGTGCTTGCTTGTGGACAAGTGGTTTGGGGATAGGTAGGAGGAAACTTCTAGAAATAATAGATTCATTTTCCATCTCGATTGTGGTGATAGTGTGTGATTACAAAAATGAAAATATTAAAGTATACATTTTAAATATATGCCAGGTAATGCATGTCAGTTAGACTGTGATATAACTGTTATTTTAAAAAAATGTGGATTTCTAGTAAGACAAGGTCCTGAAATTTCTGGAATCTGCCTAGGCTATCTTTAAGGAATGGAAGAGGAAGTTCATCAAAGCATGGTGCCTTCCCTCCTCGGGAGCCCTCCGGGCTGAACACATATGAAGGTGTGCAGTTCTGAGCTCGAAGCTGCCCCATCCTCAGGACCCCAGGGGTGAGATGTAAACAATGGGCCAGGCTCACCTAACTGCAGTGAACATGAAAACAACAAAACAGCCCAGACTAACCTGAGTAATCCATTCTGGGTTTTGAAGGATTTGTCTCTATACTGTTAATAGTAGCTAGAGCACTGCCATCTCTTGGATGTAGCAAAAATCAATCAATCAATTTATTTTAAATGGATTTGGATTTGCTTCTTTCAGAACAGGAAATTTAGTTTTATTTAAACAAAACTATCTAACATTTAAGTACTCATTCTGTTAATCAGAGAATTTGAATGTTACAATTCTGGCTGTATGTCACAAAGCAGTTGAAAATCCAGCCAGAGACAATGCAGGTGTTAGATCAGTGCCAAGCCCAGGCTTGAGTAGGATCAGCTCTGGACTGGAACCACCTCAGAGCAGTGCCTGGGCTCGTCCTGCCCACTGGCACATTGGCCATGCCTTGACCTTTACGAGGTAAAGGGAAGATGCTGGTTGAAGAAGACTCCACAGAGCACAGTGGACAGGGACTGGGGTGTCATCAGATGATGAGGACATGGTCTTTACTTGCACCCTTCCAATGTCCCCGGCTTGATTTTCATTCTCTTAATGAAAAAAAAAAAGGCAAAGAGCAGAAGTTTTTTATTCTGATGAAATCAAACAAATTATCATTTGTTTCTCTTTATGAACCATACTTTCAGTGTCATTTCTGAGAAATCTTTATCTAAATCAAAGTTAGAAAGGTGTTTCTTCTATGTTTTCCTTGAGAAGTTTTATAATTTTAGGATTTATATCTTGGTCTAAATCTATCTTGCATTCATTTTGTATGTGGTGCAAGAATGTGGATCCAAGTTCATGTTTTTCTGTTCTTTTTTAAAATTCTTGATGACATTTCTTTAAAAGATTATCCTTTGTTTCTGAATTGCCTTTATACCTTTGTCAAAAATTCATTGTCTGACTATATGTACGTCTATTCTCAACTCTCTTCTGTTCCATTGATCTATTTGTGTATCTTGATGCTGGTCTCACTAAGTCTTCATTGCTTAATAGTCTTGAAATTGGGTAATGTGAGTCCTCCAAGATTCTTCTTCTTCATCAGAAGTGTTTTGCCTGTTTCACATTTGCAGCGACCTGGAGGGAATTGAAGACTATTATTCTAAGTGAAGTAACCCAGGAATGGAAAACCAAACATCGTATGTTCTCACTCATAATTGGGAGCTAAGCTATGAGGATGCAAAGGTGTAAGAATGATACAATGGACTTTGGGGACTCCGGGGAAAGGGCGGGAGGAGGGTGAGGGATAAAAGATTACACTTCTTGGGTGATGGGTACACCAAATCTCAGAAATCACCATTAAATAACTTATTTATATAACCAAACACCACCTGTTCCCCAAAAACCTATTGAAATACATACATACATACATAAAAGAAGTGTTTCTGCTTGTAGTTCTAGCCACTTCTGCTTTATATATTTTGAAGCCCTGTTATTAGCTACATAAACATTTAAGACTGTTTTGTCCACTTGATGAACTGATTCCTTTATCAAGATAAAATGACTTTAATTATCCACGGTGATATCATAATCAAGTAGCTTAGTTTCAAAATGCATTTTAGGCTTGGTGTGGTGGCTCACGCCCAGAATCCCAGCACTTTGGGAGGCCAAGGTGGGCTGATAACTGGAGGTTAGGAGTTCTAGACCAGCCTGGGCAACATGGTGAAATCCCATGTCTACTAAAAATACAAAATTAGCTGGGTGTGGTGGTGCATGCCTGTAGTCCCAGCTACTTGGAAGGCTGAGGTATGAGAATTGCCCGAACCGGGGAGGCGGAGGTTGCAGTGAGATGAGATGGTACCACTGCTCTCCAGCCTGGGAGACAGAGTAAGACTCTGTCTCAAAAAAAAAAAAAAAAAAAAAATTTAAAAAGTGTTTTCTTCTCTGTAGTCTTTGTTGTATTTTGGCTTCTGGGCAGCAAGCAGCCAGACTGGCATTCAGTTACAGTATTTCTCGCTCTGAAACCTGCTTCAACTGATGGTAATATAGCCACTCCAACTTTCTCGTGATTAGTTTTAGAATGGAATTTCTCACTTTTTTGCTTTTGTCCTATTTGTGTCTTAATATTTAAAATGTCTTTCTTGCAGCTAGCCTACAGTGTGACTTGCTATTTACCCACACTGACAAACTCTGCCTTGACTGGAGTATCTACACTGCTTGCATCTCTGTGTTCTGTCCTCTGCACTCCAGCTGTCTGGTCTCCTGGACTCAGCAAAGCCTCTTCCACTGCAGGACGAGGCATGGATCCACCCACTGCGGGACCAGGCATGGGTCCCCGCACTTTAACCAGGAAACTCTCTCAAGGTACCAAACTGGAGCAATCACAGGGCTCACCTTGTCTGCTTCTCATCTCTTAGAGATTACTGTCCCTCATTTTCTGATGTGCAAGCTCTTGAAAACTTGTTCAAATATTCTCTCTCTCTCTCTCTCTCTCTTTTTTCTTGAGATGGAGTTTCACTCTTGTCGCCCAGGCTGGAGTGCAGTGGTACAATCTCGGTTCACCACAACCTCCACTTCCTGGGTTCAAGTGATTCTGCCTCAGCCTCCCAAGTAGCTGGAATTACAGGCATGCGCCACATGCCCAGCTAATTTTGTATTTTTAGTAGAGATGGGGTTTCTCCATGTTGGTCAGGCTGGTCTCAAACTCCCAACCTCAGGTGATCCGCTGCCTCGGCCTCCCAAAGTGCTGGGATTACAGGCATGAGCCACTGCACCCGCCGCATCTCATTTTTTTTATGTCAGGTACAAGAGTAAATTTTGTTCCTGTTACTCCATCTTGGCAATGAAGCAGAAGTTCCTCCATGATGATTTAAAATGCTATTCTGCTTTCCACATTGGATCAAGTCCAAGGACTTGAAAGGAAAGAGGGCTTCTCTGCCTTTGAGCTTTTCCTCCCCTCTGTTTCTGGGTTCTTCCCCTTTTGCTTATTGAATCAGTTAGTAGGGAGATCAGGGAGTGTTTTTCTTAGCTGGAGGCAGCTGCACAGGTTCTCCGTGGTCATTCTTGGTGACTCATCCTCTCAGATGCTCTCTTACTTGGGTTTCAGCCTTCCCCAGCCGATAAGAACGCTTCCTGTCTCTCCTTCCCTCTTTTTCCTCCCCTTCTTTTAAGTAAATTGCAGAGGAATGGGGGTAATGGCAGGGATGGCAGGGCCGGTTGAGCAGACTCTTAATAAGAATGGGATGTGTCTGAATTCAGGGTGTGGGAGACGTGGTCTTCTTTGTCCTCGGCTTCAGTTCCCACTTCCCAATCCTGGAACAAGGGTGGCAGTTCTCACTCAGAGTTGTTTCACCCACCCTCCCTTGCCAAGGGACACTGGACAATGTCTGGAGACAACTGTGGCTGGCACACTTGGGAGTGGCTGCTGCTAACATCCAGTGGGAGGAAGCCAGGGGTGCCACTAAACACCCTACAAGGGACAGGGCAGCTCCCCACAAGCCAAGGGTCAGGAGTGCCCAGGTTGAGAGCTCCTGGGTGCAGGGAGTTGTTCCAGACAACATCCCTTCATACGTAGATTTCTTCTCTCTGCTATATTGTGGTTTTTATATTCTTGATGCTTGGCACATAGTAGTGGTTATTTGTTTACTAGATATTTATGTAGTTACTAACATACATCAGAAACCAAGGCTCAACTTGAAAAATAAAGAACTGGTCCAAAACACACCACAACTGAGGCCACTCTGTCAGCTGGTACTGACTACACCACTTGCCCCTAAATCTCAGCAGTAGCTAATAGTCAGGAAGGAGAATACGGGGAGAAGATGTTCTGTGGCGGAGCTTTCCAGTTCACTAGGCCTTGTGCAGGCAGAGGGCTTCTGAATTCAGCACTGAGATAAGTACCAGATCAGGCAGTACCCATATGCCACTTTGAAAACTACAGTTTTATGGAGAAAAATTCAACTTAAAGGCTCAGTGTGGACACATCAGCACCCACACACTGTGTGTGTGTGTCAGCTGTGCTTCCTTCTGTACACATAAGAGGACACAATGGGGTTGTGTCCTCCCTGGCACCTGCACCGCAGGATGGCACCTCGACCTGACACAGTGGCCAGAGGAGAGCACTGAGAGGGGGGTGGGGGGAGGCTGTGGCTCTGTGGGGCTGTGTGTGTGGGTCTTCCCCCTGTGCTCCTAATTCCACTCATCCCATCCTTGCAGGGCTAGTTGGGGCATCTCTGAGACAAAGGGAAGGGACTGATGCCTGATAAAAACAGAAGAGATTAGGGCAATACCAAAAACTTAATATGGATGGCAGCAGCCCTTTTTGCTTTCCCATGCACAATCTCATTAGATCCTTAAATCCCATTAGATCCAGTGTCCTATGGGAAACTGAATTCAGGAGGGGTCAGCAAGAATCCAACATTATCTGTCTGTAAGAAAGAGTCGGGCCAGAACCCGGGACCCGCCTGTGCATACAGATGACATCTGTCCCAGGTTGTGGGGTCCTTTGGCACAGATTTCCTGGCTGCACTCAGAATGAGTCAGGGTCTGTCATCTCTGTATTGTTAGATACCGTAAAACCAGTTCTGTAGGCAAGAAATTTACTGCAGGATTCTCAATTTTGTCTGTAACCCTGAACTGCCAATCTTTTCTTCCCATGAGAAATTAACAGAAAATAAGAAGACTGTGCAGCAGATCAAAAGGTATTTTTACAAATGATGTGAAAGCTGAGGCACAAAATGAGTCTTTATTACGATTTTCAGACACAGTCTCCTTGGGTGAGATTCCTTTCATTTATCCCTCTCTTGCTCTCATAACTTTAATGAAAGGAAGGAGGAATGGGAAAGGAGTGCAGTGCCACTAATCAGGGCTTTGAACTTCAGGATCCCTTGGCTGCTAAAATGAACCAAGGAATAAGATGTTCCCTGCCTGTGCTAATGCAATCGCAGCTCAAGAACATCATTCCAACCACAGCTTATGTCCCAGGAGGCTTGGAAAATTAGACTTAGCAATGAAGGAATATTGCAAGCCAGGGTAGAGTACACAAAGGGATGAGAGGAAGAGGAAATATAGCTTACGATTTACTGCCAACACAGTAAGCAGCAAGCATTTTGTTCTGCATAGTGTTTGGCATCTCATGACTTCTAAACTTATTGGCAGGGATTAATATTTTAAACATTTTCTTGTATTGTGAATGGACATAGGGTTCATTTTTTGCATGTTTATTGAACACAGGTAGCACTGCACCAGGTGATTTTGGATACACAAAAATGAATCAATGTGGGCTCTTCATTCCTGGAATGTCCAGCCCTGTAAATGACATTTGATGAGTCCTATGTTGCTCATCTCCCCATCACAGACGCCTACCAACAGAAGCCCCACTCCCTGCAGGGACCCATCCTTTTGGTCAAAATTTCCTCACCAGTAAGGTGAGGGAAATGGGTTTAGGAGGTGGCTATTATGGCATGTGTAGCAGATCACTTGCCTGACCCCTCTCTGGCCTGGAGGGTGAATATGAGTTTGAGTCCCAGATGGACTGGAGCCATTGCTGATAACCCCAAAGTGGGTTTTTGGATGCTGCTCCTAACATATGTTCCTGCCTTAGAAAACAAACCAGATACTATGTTTGATTTATTTCTGAAATATCTGGTAGGTAGCAGCAGTGGTGCTGGTGATGAACTTGGAAAAGTTTATGGTAGGAAGATCTTGAGCTCTCCAGGCCACCAGGGTAGTTCACTCACCAAACTTTGGAAATGCCCTAACAGGACATGGCTAGGTAACTAAAATGTAAAGCAGAAAGTGTTAATTGACACAGGACAGATACTCATAAATTGTTGTAGGAATTAAGCTTGGGAGATTATTCATGCTGAAGAAATTCCACACTGGTTGTGACCTCCAAGTAGAGCCTTAAAGTGGGGATAGGAATTGAACATGTCCTGATTGACAGTAAGGAAGTGCTCTCTAAGCCAGAGAAACAATATCAACAGAGACATTCATGTTGGGAAATGAAAACCATGTAAAAAATGGCTAATGTTAATTTGATTGGAATATAGATAACAGAACAAGGGATTACATGGGAATTGAAACAAGATTGGTGTCAGATTATGGGAAACCTTAAATACCAAAGTAAGAAAATAGAGGTCATCCTTTAGTCAAAGAGAATTAATAAAAACAGAGCAATGACAATATGTGATATGTTTTTACATGTTTTCTTTTTGATGGTGAACTTTCAAAGGAATCTTCAATGAAGGTTCTATAAGTAGCTGTTGTGGTAAAACAAATAAACACACACAGACCATCCCCCAGTTCCTGTAAAACAGATATCATCTTATAGTGAATCATAATTCTAGTGTCAATTCTAGCCTGACACCTACCCTACCTGAGGCACTAGGTATCCTGCTGAAGAGAACCCTAAGATATAACTTACTACTATGAAAATTAATGTCAAGTCACCCTTGGTTCTGGCCTTGCAATAAAGGCTTGATGAATGTACCAAAACAATATATAGATACCATAATAAAGTAGTAATATCTGTTGTAAAAATAGATGCAAAAAATCCTAAACAAAATATTAGTCAATTCAATCCAACAATATATCCACAGGGAAAGAACTTCACTTGGACTAATTAGAGAGATGTAGAGGCAATTGGAATTGAAGTTCCAAGAATGTGGAGAGAAGAAAAGCTTATTGAAATGACACAAACCTTATATGCACTATTTCTCTCCTTGGAACATGAGCAGAGGGCAGGAATCTGAAAAGAGAGGGTAGAGGATAGATTCCAGAAGCCAGGAAGCCACAATACTCTTTGGCAGTTACTTGGGGCTAAGGGGACAAACCTTATAGTTTATGTTTGCCAAGATAGCCAGATCATGAGTAGCTAAGGTCTCATAGAGAAGGGTATTTCAGAGAAATAAGCACTACATTTTGCTCTAAGATTTTCTTAAAAGCATCTGCTGATTCATAGGCTTCACAGGGTGAGAAGCCCAAAAACAACAACAACAAAAAATGAGTAATGAGATTAAAAGCTGAGTGGAGCTTTCAGCAATCATTGTGGGGGAGAGAAAAAACTGAAGTTTAGTGTCCTCTACATAGAAGTCTCCCTGGTAAACATCTCAGACTCTCATGTGAATCCCTTGAAGGCTTCATATTAGAATTGAGAATAAAATAAATGTAGACCAGGCATTAAAAAGTCTGAAAGAGATCTGAGGTCAGGTTATGCCTGTTTAAGTTGAGGAGATCAATCTGTCCTACACCAGCAATTTGTGGAAGATAGGATGAATCCTTTCTTAAAACGTAATGATATCTGGAGCCTCTATAGTCCTCCATGAAGAATTTCTGTCTTACAATCTGGTATCTAGTATGTATGCCAAGAAGTTGACAAAGATGACAAAACAGACAATAAAAACAGGCCCACAGATGATATTAACTTGATTTTTAAAGTAATTTTAATTATAAATACCAAAAAACTAGTGAGCAAGAAGGAAAATATCAATAGAGAACTATAATCTGCCAAAAAGAATAAAAGAGAATTTCTAGAACTGAAATTAAGAACATATGTTTTAAACAGGAGATTAAAAATACCAGAAGAAATAATTAGAGAAATGGAATGATGTGTCAAGAGAAAATGTTTATACTGAAGCATAAAGAACATTTTAAACTGTGGGAAATAGGAGAAAAAACAAAAGAAGCATATTCAACATAGGGTAGAGATCTAAATTATGTGTAATTAAAGGCCTAGCAGACAGTAGCAAAAAATGGGGTAGGTAAAATAATTGAAGAGATACTGGTTGAGAGTTTTCAAAACTGATGAATGACATCAAATCTCAGATTCAAGAATTTCTAAGAAAGCCAGCTTGGGTAAATACAAATAATCACTCCTGAACACATCAAAGTTAAACTAATGAAAACTAAACCACAAAGAACGAAGTTAAAACAGCCCAAAGAAAAAGACCAAAAAAAATTTGCCTTTAAAGGAGCAACAGTAAGCCTGACTACAGACATCTCCAGAAAACAATAGAAACCACAATACAATGGAATCAATAGGGGGTATTGAGACAATTACATGTACATACGCAAAAATGTAAACATCAATCCCTACCTTGCACTACATAGAAAATTAACTAAAAATAGTTCAAAAGTGAAAATGTAAAACCTAAATCTATAAAACTTCTAAAGAAAACATAAGAGAAAGTCACTTACACAACTATTTCTTAGACTCAACACTAAAAGCATGGTCCATAAGAGAAAAAAATATATAAATTGAATTGTATCAGAGCTATGAACCTCTGCTCTTTGTAAAGCATTGCTAAAATAATGAAAATCTGGCTAGGCATGGTGGCTTATGCCTGTAATCCCAGTGCTTTGGGAGGCCAAGCCAGGAGAGCACTTAAAACCAGGAGTTTGAGATCAGGTTAGGCAACATAGTGAGACCACCATCTCTACACAAAAAAGTTTAAAGAATTTGCCTGTAGTCCAAGCTACTTAGGAGGCAGAGGCAGGAGGATTGTTTAAGCCCAGAAATTAGAGGTTACAGTGAGCTGTGATTGTGCCACTGTAGTTCAGCCTGGGTGACAAAGTAAGATCCTGCCTCAGAAAAAAAAAGAGAAGAAAAAAGGAAATGAATGAAAATCTGAGGCATACACAGAAAATGTTTACATATTATATATTCAACAAAGGTTTGTATCCAAAATACATAAAGAACTGTCAATTTTCAACCACATAAAAACAAACAACCCAATTTTAAAAATGGGCAAAGAACTTGAACAGACTTTTTACCAAAGAGGATATAATTGTGGCAAATAAGCATACAAATAGCTGTTAAATAACATTAGCCATTATGGAAATGCAAATTAAAAACATAATGAGACACCACCACACATCAATTCGAGTGGCTAGAATAAAAAAGACTGAAATATGAAGGACTGGCGTGGATGTGATGTATGGAATGTTCATAAGTTTCTGGTGGGAATGAAAACTGCTACAGTGACTGTGAAAAATAGTTTTTCAGTATTTTATAAATTCAAACATAAACTTAAAATTCTGCTCCTGGATAGAGAAATGAAAATTTATGTTTCACACAAAGCCTGCACATGAATATTCACAGCAGCTTTATTTGTAATAGTTGAAAACTGGAAATGATCCAAATGTCTATCAATGGATGGTTGGGTAAACAGACTGAGATATATTTATACAAGGCACTATTACTCATAAATAAAAGGAATAGACTGTTGATACATGCAATAACCTAGAGGAAGGCATTATGCTGAGTGAAAGACACTAATTTTAAAAGGTTACATAGTGTATAATTGCATTTAGATGACATTCTTGAAAAGATAAACCTATGGGAATAGAGAACTGATCAGATACATTAACTACAGAGGAACGTGGGAAATAATTTAGGAGACTTTTAATACAAATTATGCAAACCAAAAGGCAATGGAGTGAGAATTTCAAAGTGCTGAAAGTAAAAAAGCTGTCAACCCAGAATTCTATATGCCACAAAAATATTTTCCCCAAATAAAGGAGAAATAAAGACTTTCTTGGAGAAACAAAAACGGAAAGAATTCATAGCTGGCATACTCACTTGCCAGGAAATTACAGGGCATTTTTCAGGCAGAAAGAATTGGTATCAGACTAAAAATTAGATCTACACACATAAATAAACAGCACTGAGAATAGAATAATTAAAGTTGATTTTTTAAACTTTTAATTGGTCCAAAAGATAGTGAACTCTAAAACAAAAATAGGAGAAATGTATTGTGTATTCATACTACATGTAAGAGCACAATATATGACAGAAAGGATAAGAGGGTAGAATTTGGAATATTTTGCTGTAAGTTTCTTAAAATATATGGGAAGTAGCATAATATTATTTAAAGTTAGACTCTGATTAAAGATGTATATTGTAAATCTGAGGGCAAACACTAAAAGTAAAAGTTTTTAAATAGCAATTCAATAGAGTATATAAAATGAAATCATAAAAAGGTGTTAAACACCACATGGCAGAAAGTTTGTTTAAATAAAGAAAATATGAAACTAGTATACAATTACTAGCAAGATGGTAGTTTTAAATTTAACCATTTCAAGAATCATATTAAATATGAATGTTCTAAACACAGCATTTAAAAGACAGAAATCATCATATTAGATACAAAAGTATGACCCAACTATATGCTTTCTACAAAAAAAAACCCACTTTGAATATAAAGGCATAAATAAGTTAAAAATAAAAGGAGAGATAAATATATAAAATGGAAACATGAACCTAAAGAAGGCTGGAGTATCAACGCTAATTTAAGCAAAGCAGATTTTAGAACAGAAACCATTAAGGAAAGTGGAGGACATTAACTAAAGATAAAGGTATCAATTCTACAGACTAGCATTACCCATATACTGTAATGAACAAAGACATCACTATAAAAGAATAGTCCAATATCCCTTGTCAGCATAGATGCAAGCCTCAATAAAATATTAGAAAATAGTGTCCAGCAATACACAAAAATAGAATACACTATGACCAACTGGGCTTCTTCTCAGGAATGCAAGACTGGTTCAACATTCTACATTAAAATGTAATGTGCCATTACATTACTAAAGAAAAAAAATCTGATCACTTCAAAAGACGCAGAAAAAGCAAACAAGAAAATTTAATATACATTCATGATAAAAACTCTCAACAAACTGGAAACAGAAAGCAACTTTCTTAACCTCATAAACACAGTTGACCAAAGAAAAACAACAATCCTACAGCTAGCATAATACTAAAATTATGAGAGACTAAATTCTTTCCCTCTGATAATTAGAACAAAGCAAGATTGTCCTTTCTTACCACTCCTACTCAACATCCCAAGATAAGTTCTAACCAGTTCAATAAGGTACCCAAGAGATGTAAAAGGAATACACATGGAAAAATCAAGAAATAAAACTGTTTATACACTGTATACAGAACTCTAAGGTAGCCACACAAAAAGCTCCTAGAACTAATAAGTGAAATTATCAAGGTTATTATACAAGGAATTTGAAATTTAAAATACAATACAATTAACAATAGCACCAAAATAAAAATACTTCTTAAAAATCTCATCAAGTATTAACAAAAACTGAATAGATAACTAAAATCCTCCTCCCAAAGTGAGCTTTAGGTTCAGATGGCTTCTCCAATGAAATCTTACAAAGTGTTACGATAGAAATAATTCCAATTACTCTCAACTCCTAGAGGATAGAAAAAAGGAACATTTACTAATTCACTTTATGAAGTCAACATAATTTTGCCATCATAATATGACAAGAACATTATAAGAAAGGAAAAAGCAATACGATGAGGGTGGGGAAGTATTGTAGAGGAAAAAATAAAGTTACAATTTTTCACCACAGACATCTGGTTTCTGCAGAAGTCCAAGGAGTCTAAGCCAAGTATCAGAAAAATTAAATTAACTCAGCCATGTCATTGGATTTAAGATCAATAAAAAAGTCAACTTTATTTCCGTGTACTGGCAACAAATGCTTATAAAATAAAATGCAATCACATTTACCATAACAACAAAAGTCTTAACTAGCTAGGAATATATCCAATAAAATGTGCATGAGATTCTACACAGAAAACTACAAAAGATTGTTGAGAGATATTAAATTTCATGGGAAACCCTATTTATTGACTATAAGATTCAATATTGTAAAGATATCAGTTCTCCTTAAGATCATAATAGTCAATACAATTGCAATAAAAATCTCAGCATTTTTTTTTGTAGAAATTGACTAAATTACATTTGAAAATATGAAGGTCCAAGAATGCCCAAGATGATCCTGAGGAGTCTTGCACATGTCTGTTCTTTTCATCTTCTAAGGGACAACACTCCCAACTTTGTTTTGGGTGATGGTGTCCCTAGGTAGAGGCGACCACCAGACATGATTCTCATGGATGAGTTGTAAACATGTCACTAGTTAGGCTGCTGGGAAAATTTTCAATGTGGCAGATTTGGCTGGGAGCAGTGGGTCATGCCTGCAATCTCAACACTTTGGGAGGCAGAGGCAGGAGGATCACTTGAGGCCAAGAGTTTGAGACCAGACTGGGCAACATAGTGAGACTCCCTCTCTAAAAAAACTTAAAAAAATAGTTGGGTGTGGTGGCACATGCCTGTTGTCACAGCTACTCAGGAGGCTGAGGCAGAAAGATGGCTTGAGACCTTGAGGTAAAGGATGCAGTCAACTGTGATCATGCCACTGCACTGCAGCCTGGGTGACAGAGGGAGAATCTATTTCCAAAAAAAAAAAAAAAAAAAGAAAAGAATAAAAGAAAAGAAAAGAAAGGAAAAAAAGGTGGCAGATTTTGTTGATAAGAGGTTTTTTCCTTTTTTTCTTGTCTGAAATGTGAAGGTGAAGTGAATGAGAATGAGGTGAAACACAGTGGATAAAAGTCACATACAGAGCATGACTGAGTGGAATAGGAAAAGAAGCCCCAGTCTCCAAAAGCATTTTGCAGCTGCTGCAGCTACCCTGGAGTCCCAAACTCCAGACTTCGTGTCCTGTGTGAAGAATATTACATCCATTTGCTTTATCCACCACAGTTAGTTCCCTGTTACTGACAGCTGAGGGCAATTCCTATCAGATAAGAAGTTCAATTTTAAAAATTAGATGTATTATAGTTATTTATAATTCCACATGAAGTGATGATTTGTCAGGAGAACAGACAAGAAACACTTTTATGGTGAGAAAATGACTCTGTAACTCTCCTTCCCTACCCAGGTGGCCTTGGGCAAATCTAACCAGTTTGTGGCTCTCTCTCATCATCTTAGACTTAGGAGCGCAACAGATATTATTTCACAGGTTTGAGGTAAGGATTAAGTAAGTTAATGCCACAAGTGCTTGGAGCACTGATTTATCCTCTGTCTGCCCCTTTAAGGTTACATAAAGGCAGAGATTTTTGTTTTGTTCATTGTAGTTCAGTACGCAGTAAGTACTCCTTAAACGTGCATAATATTGAGCAGATGAATGAATAAATGTTATTTCTAGACTAAAAATAGAACTACCATTAGATCCAGCAATCCTACTACGGAGTATGTAACCCCCCAAAAAAAGAAATCATTGTATCAAAAAGACAACTGCACTCATATATTCATTGCACACTCTTCTCAATAGCAAAGTCATGAGTCGTGAACTAATATAATTACCCACCAGTGGTTGACTGCATAAAGAAAATGTGGCATATATACATCATGGAATACTATGCAGCCATGAAAATGAATGAAATCATGTCCCTTTCAGCAACATGGATGGAGCTGGAGGCTAATTTCCTAAGTGAACTAGTGCAGGAACAGAAGAACAAATACTGCATATTCTCACATATAAGTGAGAGCAAACACTGGGTACACATGGACATAAAGATGGAAAGAATAGACACTGGGGACTCCAGAAGCAGGGAGGCGGGAGGAGGTCAGAGGCTGAGAAATTACCTATCAGGTACAATGTTTACTAGTTAGATAATGGCTACACTCAAAGGCTAATCCCCGCCACTTCACAGTATATCCATGTAACAAACATGCACATGTACTCCACTGCATCTAAAATACACTAAAACATTTAGAAAATGAATACTTTTGGGTACAAATAAAGCTTCATGCATACTTCTTCTTTGTTATATTAGTAGTAAGAGCCAGAGTGTATGCAGTATACTTAACACTAGTGTGCAGTGCCATTTACTCCCTTCCCTGTGAAGTATTTTGGGAAGGCTTTGGGAGTGTGGATGTCATGTATTTTGTGGTAGGATGGTGTTCAGGCCCAGCAGCTAGGATAGAAATGTCTTGACACATTGGATGTGGCATCTTCTACTTTCAGAAGACTCAGAAGTAATAGCCATTTTTCATCCTGTGTCATTTACTGAGCCTCCCTATTTACCTAAGTTTTCTGAGAAAGGTTGAGGCTAAGGGCAAGAGGCGAGTGATACCTGTGACTATTCCTAGGGTCCTCCAGGCAGCTCTGGTGACATTCAGGGTTTCAGGGGACCCAATAAGAGATCTTGAGGGGGGATTGTTAGTCACAAGTCTTAGACGAAGTATTTCCAAAATACAAATTATGCTTAGTGGCTTAAGCTGAATTTTGAGGTCTCCATCCTTCAGAATCAGTCAGAAGAGGCCGCCAATGGCTGCTCTGTGAGTAGAGTTATCATAGTGGAAGACAAGGGGGTGCACGTTGTCCACTCACACCTGCTCTGCTTTGCACACCTGCCTCCAGGTCAGGGCAAGAGCAAACGGGGAGAGCTGGCAGATGTGTCATTCCCCCATTTCCGGGGTATGTGAAACTGCCAGTACACTAGGAAAATAACCGGACTCCCCAGATCCTTTTCTCCTTCTGCAAATAAGACCCACAAAATCAGTTTTATGTCCACTTTGCCTTTCTCCTAAGCCTTCTTCATAAAGACCCCATTCTCTTAAGTAGCATCCGTCTAGGACTGCTGTGCATGTATTTATGGGATGTACCCAAGGGACACCTTTGAAAAAGAACATTCACCATTTCCACAGAAAACAGTGCTCTCCACCTTTGAGTCTTGCTTCCAAAAGTGTATAGGTGCAGTTGTTGGGAAGAAGCAGGACGTCCAGATCAGAGGCTTTGATCTTGATGGACTCATCCACTCAAGCTTCTACTCACTCAAGGTATTGGGTGCTGCGGTTGTGCCAGGTGCTGTTCCTGGGATCCTGCCACAAGGAGGATGCACTGTGGTCTCAGGGCCCCTGGTGCAGTGAACTGTCTTCCTTCTCATCCCTGAAGCATCTCTCTAAGTGCATTCTCTCAGACCTGCGGTCAGGCTGGACAGCTCTGGCACGCAGAGCTGTCCCACCTCCTCGGTGTGCTCACAGAAGAGAGCTGCACATGTTTTCTAAGGGAGCTCCTGCCAGTCTTCTGCGTTCTAGGTGGTCTCTGTGAATTGAGTCTTGGAGGTTAAAGCAGTGCACCTCATGTAAGGTTGCTGCAGTGCTGGCGTGATTCACACACAGCTGCTGGAGGGCCTTGGCTTTATGAGTCTTGAGGGTGATTTCAGGGGACCAGCTGCCTGGGGTTGTTCCCATCACTGTCTGAGGGATGACAGTCTGATCTCTCAGAATCAGAACTGAGAGATATTAAAGAATGATATAAATAATACAGGGGTACTACCTTTTCATACCTCAAACTAGGTAGGAATATGAATTTTCATTCTCATTTTTCTTGAATTAGATGATGTATTTTTAATACACTCCTGAAGCTTGTGTAAAAAACTTGGACAAGTGTTAGAAAGTGCCATGAGCTCCATCTGTACGAACATAATTTTTTCTCCTTGATTTATCTAGTTTATATTTTGGAGGCAAAGGAAAGAAGTGTGAGCTCTGACCCTCTGACTAGCTGAGCAGGCTCAGGTAAGCCACTGAGCTTTAAAGCCACATGGTCTTTAAAAAATCAAGCAACTCCTTGGCTGAGTTGCCCCATGCATAACATTGGGATCCATCACTTATTCAGCACACATTTATGCAGAGCCAGACCTGTACCTATACTGTGAGAGGTCCTGAGGAGTCAGTGATGTCTACGAAACAACCCTGCTTTTCCTTGATCCCAGCACTGGAGCAGTGTGGCCGGTGGTGGCAGAGGTGTTCCCACGTGTGGACATGTACAGAGGCCGTGGTGGGCCTGACTGGGAGAGCTGCCTGAGTAGGAGAGAGGATCTTCTGTTGCTGCTTCCTAACCTATCCAAGTTGGTGCATGGTACAAATCAGCTAATGCAGGGAAACATTTTATTTACTTATTTATTTTGGTCTTTAAAAAATCATGGTAAAATATACAAAGCCTAAAATGTACCATCTTCACCATTTGTAAGTGTACAGTTCAGTAGTGTTGACATTGTTGTGCAGCCGATCTCCGTAACTCTTTTCATCTTGCAAAACGAAAACTCTGTACCACTAACTCCCCAGCCCCTGGTAATCTGAATGTTACTTTCTCTGTCTATGAATTGGGCCACTCTAGGGACCTCACATAAGTGGAATCATACAGGAATAGCCCTTTCATAACTGGATTCTTTCACTTAGCATCATGTTTTCAAGTTTCATCCATGTAGTAGCACATGTCAGAATTTCCTTCCTCTTGGCAGCTGAATCCGATTCCACTGTATATATATATACCACATCTTGTTCAACCATTCATTCACTGATTGACACTTGGATTGTTCTACCTTTTGGTTATTGTGAATATCGCCACTATGACCATGGTGTATAGGGAAGCATTTTAAAAAGTAAAGACTACAAATAGGTTGCTTATTATTATCTCACAGTCTTATAAAAACTGACTTTCTCAAAGGTAGGGTTCACCCATATGTTGCTTCAATTTTTTTCCTGGAACTATTGAACTATTCTCTGGCCTGCACACATATTTTTAAGTCAGGGAACAGCACCAACAGTCTTATGGGGGAAATAAACAACAACATATAATCATGAATGAATGGCTTCCATGGAAGGGGAATGGTGGTGTGGAGGACTTGTAATAAGAACTTAGCCCAGCCTGGGCACCTGTGATGAGAAAAAGTCAAGGGACCTTCCCTATAAATGTGAGGTTTCACTTCAGGCCTGCTGGCTTGGATCTGGGGCAATGAGCAATGCTGATTGACATATGTATTAGTCCATTCTTGCATTGCTATAAAGAAATGCCTGAGACTGGGTAATTTATAAGGAAAAGGGGTTTAATTGGCTCACGGTTCTGCAGGCTATGCAGGAAGCATCGTGGCTTCTGCTTCTGGGGAAGCCTCAGGAAACTTACAGTCTTGGTGAAAGATGAAGAGGGAGCCAGCACTTCACATGGCTGGAGTAGGAGGAAGAGAGAGAGAGGCGGCTGGTGCCGCACACCTTTAAACAAGCAGATCTCATGAAAACTCACTCAGTCACGGTCACGAGAACAGCACCTAGGAGATGGTGCTAGCCCTCTCATGAGAACTCTGCCCCCATGATCCAATCACCTCCCACCTGTCTCACCTCCAACCCTGGGGATTACAATGTGACATGAGATTTGATGGGGACACAGATCCAAACCATATCGCTACATTCATTCATCCATCAGCAGCTACTTGCTAGTCCCAGGTCCTGCCTTCCCACAACTGGCATTATCTACATAAAGGCTGTACTCAGGGAAAGGCACTGAGGGTGTTAAGGAGGGTTGGTCCATGTGTCTAGGCCACCTGGGCATGCTAATTGGGGCTCATCTGGAGGAGAAGCAAACTCCTCCTGTCTTCCTGACAGGAGGCAGTGAGGCAGGTTAGAGGGAGGGCTGTCCTCTCCCCCACTCAGCCATCAGGCCGTCCTTTCCCCCGGTGACTGGGAGCAAAGCCAGGGCAAAGGGATTACCTTGGAAGTTGCCATTTCAAAGAGATGTCTTCCAGGTCCTTGTAGAGACAGTTCTGGGTGATAGAAGATTTACATTCTCAAGGGCAGATGAAGAATGTATAATTGCAAGCTTTCTAAAGTAACTGCCCTATGGTGAGGTTTAGTGGCCTCTTGCCTATCACTAGGTTTTGGTTGGAACAAATACTAAACTTTGTTGGGACAAGTAAATGCTGGAAGCATTGAGTTTTCACTTGCAGGTATTTTAAGGCCGGGGGGTTGTGAACATCCCAGGGACATAGCCTCATGCTGCTGAAAGCCATGCCGGTGTTTGGTGAAATGGTTTCGTGCAGAGGTTTGGATGGAGTCACTATGTGTCCACAGTTCTTTTGCAGTTCTCAGGTGTCCTCAGTGTTTAAATTCCACCACTCAGTCATCAAGTGAAAAGCAAAAAGAAGGGAAAATTCTTCTTAAGGTGTATGTGTGTGTAAACGTGTGTGTGCACCCATATGTATGTGTGTGCATGTGTGTTTTTTCATGAGACAACTCCATAGAATATTTCATGAGTGAAGGAATTTAGTATTTCTAAACTCTGTGCCTAGTATATTTTACCTAGTGTCTGAGTTTGCTACAGCCAACCTTTACATTTGGAGAGAAAAGTGAAAAGAACCAAGAAAAGTACCAAAGGTGTCAGGTACATGCCCTGGAGTCACACTCCCGGGGAAGGTGTGTTTCCTCTGGAACACCGCCAAGCCCTGTCAATCAACAATGGTGGGGCAGTAACAGTGGTGTCCAACGTGCATGG
The DNA here is from genome assembly GCF_000001405.40 of Homo sapiens. Classification (NCBI taxonomy): domain Eukaryota; kingdom Metazoa; phylum Chordata; class Mammalia; order Primates; family Hominidae; genus Homo; species Homo sapiens. The sequence goes on along the minus strand of NC_000015.10, from coordinate 27,550,817 downwards.
TGTGCTTTCTGTGTGTGAGGCCCTGTCCTGTTGACCCAACATGCGTTACCTCTTGTCATCCAGGGTTTCTCCGTTACCATGCCCATTCATCACATTGACAGAAGGACAGAGAGGCCAACTTAAATAGCATTCACGGTTCCCAACCCTTCTCTGTTCAGTTTTCCAATCCTATAAAGGAGCATATCCATTAAATCCTTAGCAAAGCTCCTCAGGCGGAGGCAGCTACTGGTGCAAATTCCCTGATGCTCCCCACACAGTTTGAAAAGTATGGAACTCTCAGCTCTCAGCATCTTTCTCTTCTCTTATATATGTCTAAATATATTATTTATTTATGTTTTAGAGACGGAGCCTTGCTTTGTGGCCCAGGCTAGAGAGCAGTGGTACCTTCTTAGCTCACTACAGCCTCAAACTTCTGTGCTCAAGTGAGCCTCCTGCCTCACCCTCCTGAGCAGCTGGGACTATAGGTGTGCACCACCACATCAGGCTGACTTTTTTATTTTTATTTTTGTAGAGACAGGTTCTCCCTATGTTGCCCAGGCTGGTCTTGAACTCCTGGCCTCAAACAATTCTCCCCTCTTGACCTCCCAAAGTGCTGAGATTGTAGCCATAAGCCACCACGCCCAGGCTAAATATCTGTATGCCTCTTCATTTATTAGAGAAATCCTAATCTCATTTGTACAGAGTGAAGCCAAAATTTCACCAATGTATAATATCCATTATAAAAGTATTCTACGGGAACTTCCCCCAACAAATGAAAAACACTAAATGATGTTTCTAGGTGAAACATCATTTAGATATTTCACCTAGTTAATATTTACATGCCTCTTTGCATCTAGCTTGCAGGAGGTTTGGAATGAGATCAGCTAGTCTGTTTCTCATTACCCATGGAGCACCCGTGAACCAGTGACAAGTTTGGGCTCATAACAGTGCAGGTCAGATGTGTTCTAAATGCAATATGATTTTTGCTCAAGATTTCTGAGAGCTCAGCGACATACCTGGCATCCCCACATCGAAGACATTAGCTTTATTGAGGCCCTGAGCACCCTTGTCCTGGGGTCATGGTGTGTGTTATTAGCCCTAGCTGGGTTGAGTTTTAATATGAATTTCCATTTTTTTTCCTCCTCGTGTTTACTTTCCTGATGGTTCACAAATAAAACAAGTAGGAAAGGAGGCACTGAGAATCATAAAACTGATTCCATTGATACGGATCTTAAGCCCGGAAGAGTTTATTATCTGTTGCAACTACTTGTGCTCCGGCCGTGTGGGACTTCTTTCTGTCCCATTTGTTTTTAAGGGAGAATTACAATAACCAAGGTATGAAATTTTGTTTTTTCTAGAGAATATGTTTGGTGGATAATTTAGAAATAAGGCAAAAAGCAACCTGCTCTGGGGAAATTATTTGAAGTTCCAGAACACCCTTCTGTTATCTTCTGGGATAATTTCCCCCCGTGCCTCCCGTGTGGAGCACAAGATGTTCTGTGTCTTGTGGATCCGGTGGTAGTGAGTTTGTCAGTGAGCTCGTTGTTTGACAGATGGAAAGGTTTTCCCTAGAGAAATAATGTGGATCCTCAGTCCTGCCAATGCTGCCTAACAGAGCTTGGTTTGTGAATGAAAATCAGATTAGGCCCACACTCACAGGTGCTCAGATCTCTTAGTAACCCTGGACTTTTACCCAATCAATCATCAATGTAAGTTACTGCCTGGGCTTCCTAATGTATTGGTGCAGGTGATGCAAGTGCTGAGTTTGATCTGAATTTCATCTCAAACAGCCTCAATTATCTGTAAACAGGGCTGTTTTATATGCATTCTGAGGTTTATGTATTCCTTGTGTGCTTACAGAATTTTCAGGATAGTTCTTAGGACTTGGAACTTAAGATATATACAGGAACCAGGGGATCTGAATTTGAAATGTGTCATCGTGCTACGAAATCATTATTTTAATCACTGTTAAATTTGAGGTGACATGCATGGAAATGTCTGTCAAATGTTAATCAAATTGGAGTCTTTTTATTTCCACTGACCTTGAAAGTTACCCTAAGACTAAAACTATTTGAAGACAATTTTAAATTGGCACAAGCAGTGCCTCTCACATTTTAATGTAACTGCAAATGTCAATCGACTTCAGTGCATCTGGATGAGCCCAGTCTGCATTTCCAATGTCAGGCACTGTGATGCTGCGGGTCCCCCAGAGACCAGGCAGTGTGCATATGATCTACAGCGATTTCTGATATGGCCTTCTGACATTTGAATTGCAGAGGTTCACCCTTTAATTCTGTGCACCTGCATGGCAGGGGCCTTCGCTCACCAAAATCCATGTTCTCTTCTTCCTGGGGATGCTGTTTTCCAGCCTCCTCTGCAGTGAGCCAGGAGTGACTGTGGACACAGCCTCCTCGGTTCTGGCTGATGAAAAGTTGCCTTTTCAGGCCTAGCCCACACACTGCTTCCACAAGGAACCCTCTTGTCCTCCCTTCCCCAATGGCTGGACACAGCAAAGAAAGGGAAACGTGAGTCTCTGCATGGTGGGTGGGGCTGGGGCTGTCTGCTGAGAAGTTCTGGACTGTGAGGTGAGAAAACTGGTTGATGTGAAACCCCTGAGATTTCAGAGTTTATTTGTTGTATCAGCCTACCCTGGCCAATACAGCATGCAAGGCTAGACTGCTGAATTTCGGGATTATATTGCTTACCGAGAACACTTCTTATTTCAATCTAATTTCAAGATGCTTTCTCAATTACCTATCTAGTTGATTGATGTGTACCCTCATTTCAAGGGGAGGAGCTTGGAGATTCACTCAGATTCACACCTCCCTTGGGCTTCCTCTTCACTTCCTCCCAGTCCAGTTAGGCCCATGGTTCCCAAGTGCATGTTCCTGGGTCCTGCTCCAGACCTAACAAATCAGACTGTCTTCTGAGAAGTGCTTAGGAACCTAACTTTAGCTGCAGGTGTCATGCTTTTCAGCAACCACGTTTTGGAAATGAGGGATTAGGCACAATGGCTGTGTAACGGAAGGAAAAAATGGATTGGAAATGACTAACTTTTTAAACTTTTCGTTTTTAAAAGGGCTTTTCTTTTATGGAAAAATTATTCCCCTCAGGTTTGAATTTTCTCTCTTGTTTGGTTTATTCAATTATTTTTCCCCTTTGGAAAAAAATCTGTAGGAGTAAAGTTTTTTTTTTAAATTAAATTTTATTTTTATTTTTTGAGACAGAGTCTTGCTCTGTCGCCCAGGCTGGAGTGCAGTAGCGTGATCTTGGCTCATTGCAACCTCTGCCTCCTGTGTTCAAGCGATTCTCCTGTCTCAGCCTCCCAAGTAGGTGGGATTACAGGTACGCACCACCATGCCCAGCTAATTTTTGCCTTTTTGGTAGAGTCGAGGTTTCACCATGTTACTCAGGCTGGTCTTGAACTCCTGACCTCGTGATCTGCCCACCTCGGCCTCCCAAAGTGCTGGGATTACAGGCGTGAGCCACTGCTCTGCCAGAGTTAAACTCTTAAAATTTAACTTTCCATCACCAAGTAATTTGAACATTTTTGCATTTTGCTTTAAAAATGCCTAATACTGCTTCTTGTTGGGCCTGGTGCGTTGGAGTAAAATAAAATGAAAACCAGACCTGAAAAATCCTTGAGCAAACAAATTAGGTCAGGCCTCATACGTGACCCTAACCCTGCTTGATTTCAAAAACACAAGGAAAACTTAACTTGGGCTAATTCTTGTAAATGCCTGTATTAAAGAAAAAAAGAAATCGGCCGAGTGTAGTGGTTTGTCTCTGTAATCCCAGCAGTTTTGGAGGCTGAGGCTGGGAGGCCAGGAACTCAAGACCAGCCTGGGCAACACAGAGAGACCTCATATCTACAAACATAAAAACAAAAAAAAATCAGCCGGCTGTGCTAATTTTACAGGTGCACACCTGTAGCCCCAGCAACTCATGAGGCTGATGCAGGAGGATGGCTTGAGCCCAGGATCTCGAGGCTGCAGTGAGCTAAGAAGGTGCCACTGCACTCCAGTCTGGGTGACAGAGTGAGACCCTGTTTCTTTTTTTTTTTTGAGACGGGGTCTCGCACTGTCGCCCGGGCTGGAGTGCAGTGGCGCCATCTCGGCTCACTGCAAGCTCCACCTCCTGGGTTCAGGCCATTCTCCTGCCTCAGTCTCCCGAGTAGCTGGAACTACAGGCGCCCGCCACCACGCCTGGCTAATTTTTTGTATTTTTAGTAGAGATGGGGTTTCACCCAGGATGGTCTCGATCTCCTCACCTTGTGATCCGCCCGCCTTGGCCTGAGATTCTGTTTCTAAAATAAATGTTAAAAAAAAAAAACACTTAAGCTTAAACCTTAACAAGGAGCAAACTCACTTAAATTATATAACTAGGAACTTTCCAGTGGGATAGACTAAGTAAGGCAACCTTGTAACTGTAGTTAATCAAACATTTCCTTTCTTTTACCTCCCTGTTGGTCTCACAAAAGCCTCTCACTTGGGTTCCTCAGTGGGGCTCCCAAACTACTTCTGGTTCGAAGTTGTCTGATTCATGAAACACTACCCACTCAAATAAACTCTAAAATTCTTGTGCCTCAGTTTACCTTTTTAACAGGTATATGCAGTTGGCTGCTGATACCCATGTTTGCTACTTCACCCGCCTGCAGTGGTTTTCTGCTCCCTTTTGGGTATATATGGTGAGGAGACTTATGCTTTATTCAAATTTGTATGGCGTGGTTGAAGGTGGTGGGTGTGACAGGTCAGATTCAAGTGAGTGTCCAGAAACCTTGGCAGCTCTCTTTTTGATGAGTCACCCTTTGTTAACACCAGAACTCCTCTGACACTTACGTCTTTGGCCTTTTGTTTCCATTCTATTGGTCCTCAGTGGATTACAGCCATCACTATTAGAAAATATGACTTACCTGACTGGAGAGTTGTGGGTGTATTTTTGTGTTGATTGTACATTGCTATTTAAACATTCACCTCCAGTAAAAGCACGTGTTTCTAGGCCATTAAGAAATCTATGAGAACACCTGAAATTCTGGTTTAATTGGCAATGTGATGTGGTCTGCCATGGCAATGAAGAGGCCCTCTGTAAACATACATGTGCTGTGTGGACAGGAAAGGCAAATTTATACGTGGAATACTTATCTGTTCTGAAGAGGAAGAACCACTTAACCGCCAGAGCAAGGATGCAAAGTGCTCAATGCAGTGAAACTGCAGCCAGGCAGATAGCTAGTGTCCTAGAGAATGGGGCTGCATCAGAGCCACAGCGTTCATGCCTCTGGGTAAACAGGCTCTGAGCTCTCCTCGGTCCCTAGGGCTTATTATAGTCATTGAAGGTCAGGTCATACCACCTGGCCCTGCGACTCTCAGATTTGATGATTCCTGCTGGAACCACAGATCCCAGGTTCACGGTGGCACCTCCCATGGTGGCATCATCTGCAACCTGCTCCAGAGCTTTGGTGGTTGCTCATGAATGCCTTTCTCAGACTCTAGGTGGTTGGGGGGATACTCCTGAGTCCCCCACCTATGTTCAAGTGAGTTGCACTTGGGAAACCCACCCTGACATCCCCGTTTTCCACAGACTTAGCCTTTCCCCCTTACAGTGTATCTGAGGGGCTGGCACCTCATTTTCTTTGGCTGTAGGCAACTGGAAATCAGAGTTTCAGCAGTCACTTTACCTGAACAAACAGTTCATCAACCTTGAAAACAAAGGTTTAGTTTTCTTTTTTCTTTTTTTAAATTTTTTCTTTTTTTTATTATACTTTAAATTCTAGGGTACATGTGCACAACATGCAGGTTTGTTACGTATGTATACATGTGCCATGTTGGTGTGCTGCACCCATTAACTCATCATTTACATTAGGCATATCTCCTAATGCTATCCCTCCCCCTCCCCCCACCCCACGACAGGCCCTGGTGTGTGATGTTCCCCTTCCTGCGTCCAAGTGTTCTCATTGTTCAATTCCCACCTATGAGTGAGAACATGAGGTGTTTGGTTTTCTGTCCTTGTGATAGTTTGCTTTAGTTTTCAAGGTTCCAGTGTTGTTTAATCCCTTTATATATAAATGCAGTCACACCAGCTTTAAAGTTGGTCCTTTCTGGTTCTAACACCCTTAAAATAAATTCCCATGCATGCCCCCAGGCTCTTGCCAATACAGATATTACAGATCCTGCAGCTTCTTCAGTGCACCTCCTGGGAACAGATCTTGGGGTGCTCCTTCCAGGCTGTGTGTGAATGTGACCTTGTTTAGGGCCTGAGGTAATGGGTGGATGATGCCGTTCTTGGAAATAGTGTACCTTGGAAATCAAGCTCAAATCTATCTCCCTGTGCTGGCTTCAAGGCAGTATTTTTACTAGGAATGTTTCAGGAGCTGGTTTCTGAGGTTAGGAGGTGACTGGTAGAAGGAAAGGGGAGGTCTGGGAAGTCCCTGGACATGGGCATTTATCTCTTCATGTTACCCCGTGGGTCACATGTGCACACTGGGGGGAGCTAGTATGAAACCTGTGATGGAATGAGGCTGTTGTGTTGCCAGCCTCATTCTGTGCAGACTCTAGTTGGCCATATTGGTTCCAATGGACTTCAGCAAGTTTTATCTCATGAGCGTTTCAGCAGGCTGTTTCTTTTCTTACCTGCCACCCTGCAAGCTCAAGAATTTCTGTTAGTTACTGGTTTCTTTAACTCTTTGGGGTACAGTTTCAGTTCCAACCTGGCAATGAGTACAGTCAGGCCCTTGGCATGATTTGCAGTCTCCACTGCTCTACTTCTGTGCAAGAGATCACCCCATCCCTCACTTACAAATCAAGCAGCCCAGCCAGAGAGTCTTCTGTGTGTGACTTTTCCTTGAAAGGAGCTTGCTGATTTCTGTGGGTCCTGAACAAACACAGCTGACCTCATTGTGCCATTTGTGCACATTTGTAAGATACCACTTTGAAAGTGATATCCTCTGGCTGGGCGTGGTGGCTCACGCCTGTAATCCCAGCACTTTGGGAGGCAGAGGCGGGCGGATCACGAGGTCAGGAGATCGAGACCATCCTGGCTAACATGGTGAAACCCCGTCTCTACTAAAGATACAAAAAATTAGCCGGGTGTGGTGGTGGGCATCTGTAGTCCCAGCTACTCCGGAGGCTGAGGCAGGAGAATGGCGTAAACCCGGGAGGCGGAGCTTGCAGTGAGCCGAGATTGCGTCATTGCACTCCAGCCTGGGCGACAGAGCGAGACACCGTTTCAAAAAAAAAAAAGAAAAAAAGAAAAAGAAAGAAAGTGATATCTTCCCCCCCACCAAAAAAGTGGGTTTAAATTAACTAAAAAGTGAATGTCTGCCCTATTAATTTTCTCCGAAGTTCACTCCACAGTCCCAAGGTTTTGGAGACATGCACTGGCAGAGTGTAGCAGCTCGAGGTGTTTGAAGTTACATTTCCAGAGTTTCAGTTCTTTTTCTGCTTTTTTCTAGGTTTAGAATATTGGGCAAGTCTCCATTTTCTCATCAATAAAATTGTGGTAAGACGAATACCCTCTTTATATGGTACTCTCAGGACTGAATGATTCAGTGTGTGCCAAGTTCTTAGCACGAGCTCAGCCCTCAATAAGCATCAGCTGTTGTTTTAATGTACCTCTGGAGGGGCCTGCAGCTTTGGTCACAAAGCAGGGCGAAGGTGGCAGTTCTAGCAAGGGAGGGAATGAATGCACATAAAATGTTCACTGTTGTTCAAGCCTAGATTACAGCAATCCAAGAAGGAATTGCTGCGAGCGCCAAAACAGATACTTCCCAGGGGCCGGATGTCAGAAAACCCTCTTTTAGGGCTGAGGGTTCCCACAGAATCAGCCAGAGGCTGCAAAAAATGTCTCATAGTCCCCCCACCCCCACCCCCTTGTGTAAGTGCAGCCCCCATCCGGGAGGGGTGATTGTGTTGAAGTCATGGGTGAGCTAGGGGACCTGGAATTGTTTGTTTTTATTAAAATGTGTTTCGGCCGGGTGCGGTGGTTCACGCCTGTAATCCCAGCACTTTGGGAGGCTGGGGCTGGTGGATCACGAGGTCAGGAGTTCAAGAGCAGCCTGGCCAAGATGGTGAAACCCCGTCTCTACTAAAAATACAAAAATTAGCTGGGCGTGGTGGCGGGCGCCTGTAATCCCAGCTACTCGTGAGGCTGAGGCAGAGAATTGCTTGAACCCGGGAGGCGGAGGGTACAGTGAGCCGAGATCGGGCCATTGCACTCCAGCCTGGGCGACAAAGGGAGACTCCATCTAAAAAAAAAAAAGAAAGAAAGAAAAAAAAAATAGACCAAAGAACAGTACCTAAAATCCTCTAATGTGTGTTGTCTGCGGTGGTCGCGGTCACCGTCGGTTTTCCGTTTGTCTGTGATGGTGTGCCCTAACTTTAACATGAGCCTGCGGCATCTTCTCCAGGAGCCACTGTTAGGACTTTAGGGTGTCCAGCCTGGCTTCCAGATGTGTTGAGGGCGGGTCCCAGAACCCTTCCCCCCACGATTTAATCCACTCCCCAGCTGCAGGTGTGGCCTGGAGGCGGGCACCTGCCACCTGGCTTGGCTGGAGCAGAGTGTCCGGCTCTCCAAGGGTGGCTTGGGGGTCTCTGTTCATGGAGTTTTGCAAGAGTGGAGGAGGACGTTTCCCTTAGAAAAGCCACTTGTACCCTTCCTGCCAGAGAAAAGTCACTCCCCGAACCCCATTTGCAGAGTCTGCCCCTGGGCTGGGCTCCCCAGAAGTAAGCATCTGAGAGGGGCAGTTGGGTCACACCCCTGCGGGCATCAGGGCTCCGTGCAACACAGTGCCCTTGACCCCATCCCGCACGCTCCCAGTCGGCCACCCAAACCAGAAAGACGTCCACTTCCAGCTCAGGTATTTCTGACAACATGTGCATTTATTTGTATTAGAAGTACAAACGTAGGAATCCAAATACAAATACAGAGGGCGGCCCAGCCACGAGGCCCAGCTGAGGGCACGGCGGGGACGGGACGCACGAAGCGGGGCGCGGCGCCGCCCGTGTCGCCAAGGCACGTCGGGCGCCAGTGCGCCCTCATTTCACTAGGACACCACGAGCCGCACGGATAGCGGGGAGCCACGTCCTCTGCGCAGGGGAGGAGGGCGGCGGGACCTCGGGACCGCCCGGAGCCAGGGCCTCCAATCCCTCGCGGGACGACAGGGACACAGGGGCTACTGGAGGCCACTTGGTGAGGGCGGGTCCCTGCTGGGGCAGGAGGCGCACGCACTGGGGCAGGGCGCGGCCCCCTCGGGGCCAAGCGCATCCACACCGGTGCTCTAAGATGATTCCAAAATGTTTTCGGATTCTGGAATCTCCCGGCCTACCTCCCATCTGGAGGACAATGGCTTCACAGGCAGGAAGGATTCCATGGGAACAGAGAGCAGTCCGCGCCTCTCTCCTTCCCTTCCTGCCTGGGCCATCTCCCAGGACCCCTGACAGTTTCACCTCCCACACAGGCTTCACAGAGAGAGGACCCTGCCCACACCCCGGCTGCTTCAAGCCTGACCTGACGCCTTCCTGTGACCTGCGAATACGACTTCCTAGACAAGGGTGGGGATGGCTGTTTGCCATCTAAATCTTGAAAAGTACTTTTGGCTTATCGGGTCAACTTGACCAGAATGCACGAATGATCAAGGAGTCGCCCAGGTGTGCACCCCGGTCACAACAGTGATGCTCAAGGGCTCTCCAAAGGAGGCAGGCTTGTGTGGACCCCAGAGGGACTCCTGATCAGGTAGTGAAGCTGGATTTCTTTTCCTTTTCTTGGAAAGAACATGATCCCACTTTGTCAGGAAATGTACAGATTGCCACTTTCTCTCTCTCCCTCTGTCCTCTCTTTCTCCCTCTCCCTTGCTCCTTTTTATCCTAACCAGAGGCTTAGTGCTAATACGCTATCGCTAGAAAACTGCGCTCCTTTCTACTTGTTTCAGCTAAATTTGGGGTGATGGGTAGAGTGACACACATTATTAATAAGTTGTTTCAGTTTTACCACTGTACGTACAGACACAAATACACAGACCACTGCATGTAAACACAAGATGGCCTCTTGCTCCTAACAACACATAGGTCTGATCCCTGAAAATAATTACTCTCCCAAAACTTTCACAGAAAATTTCACTCCTAAACAACGAACCTTTTGCTCAGTACCGGAGCTGCACGTAAAGGAAAACACATTGTGTAGTTGTACAAACGTGTGAGCAGGTAAACTTGGTTCACTAGCACAAAATTAGACATATCAAATGTCAAGAATGATGGACAGTGTCTTTTAGACTGTTTTAATAAAATAGTTATTCTAAACAGAGATCATATAATAGTAAGCACTGTACATTTCATGAATATATTTTGCCTGTGACTATTTCTATTCAAAGTAAAAATGCCAGGATAAGTTAGGGGGAAACAAAGCCTAGACTCAAATTAGATGATAAGAAGCACAGTGATTGTCTTTTTGAGCTCACAAAATTTGCAGTTTCCAAAGATGCATGTATTTTAGTGAAAAAAGATAGTTGTTAGACAATTCAAACGTTATCTTTACGAAAAGGAATAAAATAGCCAACTAAGGTAAAAACGGAAAAAAAAAGAGAGAAAGCAATCAACAAACAACAATTGAATGGAATGTTCTTCTAAATAGTAATTTGAAATTCTGATTGAGGCAGGGCAGGCAGGACTGCTGGGGAACACAGCAGTTCTGGAAATGTTTTAGGCGAGCAAAATTTTGGAGTAGGATCTGTATACTTAATGTTTAAACTCTAATGAAACTTTTTCGCTTTTTCCACGATGTAAGTTCTGATTTCGTTATAGTTCAGAAAAGGCTCTAAGCCTTTGTGTTGAATCAATAGCTGAGTACTAGTAGAAACATGGAAGAGGACAATGAGGGTGATGATGGTTATGATGTAGATGTACTTCATCTAAAAACCTTTCATATTTGGTGACAATTTAGAACTTGAGGGAGCAAGTTATGTGCATCTTTTGCCACATTACTTATTTTTTAATTACATTGGAAGGAGTCTTTAATTGCTTAAGAATGCAACATTTTTTCTTTTTTTCCTCTCTGTAGCTCCCAAGGCCACCCTGGAGGTGCATGGACTAGCGGATGTGGCAGGCTGGCTCAGGGTGGTCTGGGTCTGCCAAGCTACGTAGAGGAGTGGGTACCCTGATCTCCCCATGAGAGTGACAGAAGTGCTGCTCTGTGCAGTGGGGGGTCTTCACTCATGGATGAAATTGACATTGAAAATCCTTCCTGTTACAAATATAAACAATATTTTATAAAAACCTGTTGTAAGAAAGCCTAACCAAATCAAAGCAGTCATCATTTGCTCCTGAAAATTGGAAGCTGACAGTGGGTTAGGACTACTTAAGGTGTTTCCAATAATCTTTTATAAATTGAAAGTCAAGCACTATCCTTTCGAATAGACCTCCTTAGATTAGAGAAGCAGCTTAGAGTTCCAAGGAAGTGCTGTGGGTGGGCACAGGCACATGTTCCCACACGTGTGCTAATGAATCCAGTTGTAAAACTCCAATCCACCCAAAAGGAAAATCATGTCAGCCTGTGCACGGTCATGCCCTTGCCAGGAGCGATTCCACCTGCCCTTCCAGAGGCTTCAGACTTCCGGGTGAAAATTCAGCCCATCTCAGGTGGAAAGGGGATGCTGGCACCTTCCCACTGCCTTGCCGTAATGAACTTCCCACTTACTGGCATCAGTCCTGATTATCACCATGTCCCTAAAATGACAACTTAGCTCCAGGGTCCACAGGTTCCTTTCCCAAAGGAGATTTGGGAGTCTATTTTACACATTGCTATGTATTGGAAAAACGTTTAACAAAAAATGGGAATTTCAGTTCTTTTTTAAAAAGTGGTTAGTGACAATGTTGTCATTTTGAGAAGACTGACATCTTGGGGACTGCAATAATTGTGCTGTGGGCTCGCTCATGTATCCTTAGATACCTAAGAAACACATATTTAAGAAAATACAAATTGGATGTGTTGGGTACATACACATCATTCACTGGGATCGAACTTCAGTAAGTGAGGCAACTGGGAGAAATCGGAGTCTAAGCCCCTCACAGGAAGTGTAAATGTTCCTTTCTCATGAAAATCAAAGAAGGAACCCTGAATAACTAGAAAAGAGAAGAGAAAATGTAGCAGCTACCTGCTCAGTCTGGGGCATTTAATTATTGGCAATCAATGTTCTTTCCAACCTGTTCAATTTAAACTGTTCGGCAGACATAGAGGCTCTGGCTTCCCTGCAGGAACCATTATCATCCTCACATTGTGTAGCCTGCTCACTGGGCTGGAAAAACCCTGTGTGTGTTTACAAATGTGAAAAGTGAAGTGGCGAAAGTAGGTGATTATCTCAATTGTTCAAGCAAAGCAATTTACGTTCACCTCAATAACCTGAATGCTACATTCAAATCATGTCTGTTTTGGAAGTGGTGTGTGTGTGAGAACATATGTTTTGTCTGCCTAATTATTTTCTAGCTCATGCTCTTGAATAACCTAATCTGAAAAGCCCACTTGGTTAACTCAAAACATTGAAAACTTGTCAGTGACTGATTGTTCAACTAGTTTTTCAGCACTGATTTATTTAAGTTCGCCTAAAATTTGGCTTTTATAAGTAAGCAGGACAATAAAAGGTATAAGGGGTTTTATTGACAACAGTAAAACCCAAAGCATTATTCAGCTAGGTGGCATTAAAAAAGTAAATACAGGTTGGGCGCGGTGGCTCACGCCTGTAATCCCAGTACTTTGGGAGGCCAAGGCGGGTGGATCACCTGAAGGTCAGGAGTTCGAGACCAGCCTGGCCAACATGGTGAAAGCCCATCTCTACTAAAAATATAAAAAATTAGCCAGACATGGTGGTGGGTGCCTGTAATCCCAGCTACTCGGGAAGCTGAGGCAAGAGAATTGCTTGAACCCGGGAGGTGGAGGTTGCAGTGAGCCGAGATGGCGCCACTGCACTCCAGCCTGGGCAACAAGAGTAAAACTTCATCTCAAAATAAATAAATAAATAAATAAATAAATAAATAAATAAATAATAAAAATAAATATAAAGAAAGTCTGCCTTTTGGCCTTAATACAACTAGATCAAGCTGATATCCTGAAATTGCTAGCTTGTAATCAGTAGAAATTTTAAAAGGAGGAAAGAAAATGCCCTAATATCTAGTCTTCAAAACTATTAGACATTAAGAAAAAGAAAGCCAAGTTTTTAATTCTTCCAGAAATACTGAATGGCTGAGTTCTTACCAAATCATCTCAAAACATACACGTTTTATCCCTATAATGATAGAGATCTATTTTTATAATAAAACATAAGTCAACAAGGGATCAGCGATGCAGGTGTCATTTATCCTGAAGAGTTATTTGTTGGTTCTTTCATGTGATTACACAGAGAACACAAACATAGAGGCACTGCTAAACTCTCTGAACCTGAATGTTTCCTCCAGGCCAATTTGAGAAAAAAAATAGGTACAGATTACACACTTTCTCAATTTTGGGAAATTGGAAGGGGGCTCAGGAGAATATTGTAAATTTAACATTTCCAATGTATTCGTAGTCTGGTTCTTTCCCCCGTATTTCCGGAACCTTTCTGAATATCTGTTAAATGATAGTGTTCTAAAGTCTAAGGTGGACAGTGTTTCAGTACAAATAGAACTTAACGTTTCAATGTATATTTACATCAGATTATGTGGAGCTTAAGCCATTCTTTTTTTTTTTTTTTTTTTTTACAGAAATTGCAGATGAAATTTCTTACGGGTAGAGTTTAAAATCGCTCAGGAAAAGCACTCAAAAAGAGTTGCAAGATCATGGAGTGAATTCCAAGTGCTTTGTGCCTTGAGAGCACTGAACCGATACGGTGATAAGAATAATGGTTGGAGACCAGGTGTAATTCTTCAAGTCTCAAAGGAAATCACAGAAAATTTCCATTTTGGCAGCTGAGATAAAAATGATCAAGGAAGAAGAGGTTTTGTCTGTTTTGTGTTCTAGCCCTTTAGATAGAGTGGCTCATTGCTTCCTAGTCATAGGGAGCTGGAGTCAATGCAGAATGGGTTACCGGCCCCTCTCCTGTTGCTTCGAGTGTGGTTATATTGCAGAACAACGAAGCAACATGCCTGCAAACTTACTGCAGCAAGCTATCACCAGGTAAAATGATTTGGTGCGGAGTTTCTATTAGAGACACTCATCCCCATCAGGACTGTGTTGCTGACATTTTAGATTGGCCCCAATTTCCCTTATGTAGAGTGAAAATGCTTTGCTCTTGAGAACACGCATTTTCTCAGTCAAAGAGCCTGCAAAATCTTTGTACTTAATTGGTTTGATGTAAAATTAAGGGTAAGACTGTTTGGCATATAAAGAAATGAAATCCTATTTCCATCCATTCATAAAAGATAAATAAAACTTGGCATGAAATATAGCTAACTGCAGGAAATGGAAAATCTTAAAAGATGTGTATTATTTGAGCTTTCTGTTTCATTTTAAGGCATGTTTTGGGTAAATTGGGGGCAGTATTGGCTGGGTCCAGAGTAAATTATACTAACTTTGTCCTTCTCTGTCTGGTATGTAGGGAGTCTCTGTTCTGGTAGGTGGTGTTGGGACTTTGCAGAAGCTGAAGCTTTCTAGGCTCTGAAGAGACATTTTTCTCCAATTCCATTAATGTGAAATGCCTTTTCTTTGCTTTCCCCCCACCCAGTATGCAGCTTAAAAGACAGACAGTCACAGTTTTAAGTGTGATCCACAGTGGTCAGAAATTTGGATTCCATGTCAAAATACAGAACTGTCATCTCCTCAACTTAGAGTATTTCTGAAAGTGAGGAACACAGTAGCACCTTTGGAATGCAGATCACTCAGACAACTTCCACCCCAAATATTTCCCAATTCTGCATGCAAAGCAAGCTGGGGCTTAGCTGTGTGGAACAGCCTTGCACCTCGTGCCCACACACGTCCCTCCTGATCAGGCATCCTGGCAAAGAGAGTCTTTAGTGAAAGAAAGCGTACTTCCTTCCCACTCTCCCCACACTGCTCCTCTCCTTCCTCTAGAAAGTAAACATGTACATGATTAAAAATCCCCTGAGCTCTGCACCTCACCAAGGCACACCCATCTCTTCCTCATTGTGGACTGAAAAGGCTCATCTCAGGAGTTGAGACTGATATGGAGAACTTGAATTATGCAAGCCTGCGGAGAACCCGGCATGGACATGCTCTTAGGGGGTGCTTTAGCTCTTTTTATTGAGACCCCCTAGTGGGGAGCCTGCTGTATATGCAGGAATCCACACTATGATGCTCAGTTAGTGAAATCCATTGGACTTTCTTGAGATGAAGGTTCTCCTTCCTAGAAAAGGAGCGCTGAACTCATCTGTTTTGATCAGGAGGGCTGCTGAGGTTGGGAAGAAGAGAATGGCTGGATTCAGAAAACTGAGGTTATTGGTGTATTTATCCTACATGTAAAATTTCAGGAGGGTTGCTAACAATATCCAAATGTTGAGTGGTTTTGAAACACAAGGCATCAGTAAAATTCTTTTAAGGTAAAATCAAACAAATCCATGTTATAAAAAGTTGTTTTAGGTTATTTTCCTCCCAATAAGAATTTTTCTAGAAAATTCAGTTCTCTCCAGAACTTCGTTTACAATGTAGCAGGTTGCAGTTCTTCAGCTTGTTAGAAATTACCCATTCATAACGTTTGACATTGTGTCTTAAGACTGCCCTTGGGCCACCTTCCCTTGGCGCTCAGTGCTGTGGTGTGACTTGGATTCCTTTGGTCAGGGTCCTTGCAGAATACTTCTGCCAAGGCGGGGGTTGCTTATGCATGAGAGACAGAACTAGAGTACCAGAGTGTGAAATTCTCCAATAGAGGAGACATTGCATCTAAGACAATATTTTCAACCTGTTTCTCCACAAATACTCTTTTATTTTTAAAACTGAATTTGCTAAACTGAAGCCAATTGGCTTGTGGATTATGTAGCAACTACCAAACCAAAAGACAGAGAGTTGACAGGGAGAGAAACAATGGGTTTGAATGTCTCACGCTGTATAGACTCCATCTTTGGAAATTCAGACATATCTATATCTTTGCATCCGTTTAATATGCAACAATCTTAATAGGAATAAGCAGATGAATCTAATTTCACTTTTTCTGGCCTCTTCTGCTCCCATCCTCTTCTGTGTCTGGTATACATCCAGGACATTGTGTGAAATTGATACTTTTCTATACTTTCTCTGCAAAATATTTTACGTTTCTGGGTAATTATGGTATGCACAATAGATAATTTTAAAAATTACGGTTTCTAGGTCAAATTAATTCAGTTTTCTATGTGAGAAAGATGAGAAGCACAGAGATTCTGGTTTCAAATTTTAACAATGCCAAAGCATTATTAACTAACTGGTAGGACTTGTGTTTTGCCTATTGGTGAGGAGAAGTTTCAAAACAGTCTTCTGCAGTTCACATTGGCATCCAGTTATAACAAAGAACTAACAGCAAGCAGCAAGTTGGTTTTGTATTATAAAAATATCAAAAGAGTATTGATTTGGGGGGATATTTTTTCTTTGGGATTTTGCTATGTATCCATATTTCAAAGTATAAAATAATCTTGTTCATCAAAATATGTACTTGATGATCACCATTGCCCATTTTTTTGCATCTAAAGTTGGTTTGAGTTGAAAATTAATATTCACTAATTTTTTTTTTTTAATTTTGGCCGGGCATGGTGGCTCATGCCTGTAATCCTAGCACTTTGGGAGGCTGAGGCGGGCAGATCACCTGAGGTCAGGAGTTCGAGACCAGCCAGGCCAACATGGTGAAACCCCGTCTCTACTAAAAAAACCCAAAAAACAAAAAACAAAAATACAAAAATTAGCCGGGTGTGGTAGCGCACACCTGTAGTCCCAGCCACTTGGGAAACTGAGGCAGGAAAATCGCTTGAACATGGGAGGCAGAGGTTGCAGTGAGCTAAGATTGTGCCACTGCACTCCAGCCTGGCCAGGTGACAGAGCATGACTCTGTCTCAAAAAAATAAAATAAAAATAAAATTTTATCTACATGTCTTTCACATTCCGGTGTATGTCTTCAAGATAACAGGTTGTGTTCACTGTATACCTTTCTTTGCAAAATGACAATTACCGAACCCATAATAATATAACATAAGCTGGACACATACTCGAGGGTTGAGCGTTGGTCTAGTGAAAAACAGCTCTTAAGGTGAAATGCTGTTGAACTAGTCCAAGAACCCAAAGTTCAAATATTGTTGACTCTCAGTAAGTTGGAATAAAGTAATAACCTTCTGATGTTCAGAGATAATCATCTTTGACCCCAACAACATGAGCATTTTGAAAATCTTATTTTCTCCTCCAATGGAAACCGTAGACAATGCGAGTGTACTCTCCCCAGGCCTAGAACGAGGTTATTAGGTAAAGGAGTGCCAGCTAACGATGATGGTGCTGGAGCCAGAGAGGCCACAGAGAAAGGAGACTGGGGTTGGAACCCACTGCTGTTCACACTGGAGCACACACATGCCCAGGCTGAGCCAGCAGGAGTGGGTCTCGGCCAGGGGTGATTCAACACTCCTGAGTGCTACTACACCCAGGGCTGCAAAGGAAAGATACAGAAGGACTAGAGGCCTGAGAGAGCATCTCAGACATTCACGTGCACATTTTACAGATTTCTTTGCAAGGGTAATCAGCGGCTGCTTCCAATATCCAAAAACCATTCAGAAACAACACCAAGCTACAATTCAGTAGGGATTAGCAAGAATATTACTTTAAAACTCAATTAGCTGTGTGTGTGTATGTATGTGTGTGTGTAAAATACATAATAGAAACCTTTGCTGGGTACTTCCTGTGTTGCTGAAAGGTCATTTATAACAAGATACACTGGGCAGTGTCCTTCCTTGCTACTCCCGATTGGTCACTACTGGTCTGGGGACGACAGAAGGTCAAGTGTGTACCAAATGCTCTTCACTCTTCACTCTGAGCAACACTTAGAGATACAGGTATCCAACCCAGTAGACCAGGTTAAAGAGCAGGAAGGACGTGGGGAAAAAGACCCGGGAGTACGAGTCCAGCTCCAAGATGTCTATGTGAATACGCCCTTTCCTCCAGGATCCTGATTTACATTCTTCATAGCAGCAGAAGAAGCTCTGACAGTCTTTGCCATCCAGACACTCATAGACACAGGTATCTTCAAATTCCTGCCAGTAAACGGAATTGTTTAAAGTGATCATCGCAGTTGGTGGTGGCCTCATGTCCAGGAGGGAATAGTTCTGCAAGCAACAAAAATGACACAACAACCATTGTAAAATGCAATAAAAACACCCTGAGGTGTATGAAGCAGTAGGTCCATATTACATCTGTCTCCTATAGATAAAGAGGATGCGTGGGTGTGCCCTTCCCCCCATGCTGGAGAGAGTTGGTCTTTTTTTTTTTTTTTTTTTTGGTTTTAAGGAGCAGAGAGTTTAATAGGCAAGAAGGAAGGAAGAAGAGAAGAAAGAAGGAAGAAAGGAGGAAGCTTCCCTGTATAGAGGCAGAGGGAGGGGGACTCCAAAGCTGAGAGAGGAGACCCCTGGTCTTTTCAATCCTTGCAATTCTAATGCAAGGAAAATTGCATTGCAGTTTCAAATCTTGTATTTCCCGGATTATTAATGAAGAAGGTTAAGCATATTTTCAAATGTGTATTAGTCATTTGAAGTCCCTATTCTGCCTACTTTTCTGTGGTTTTGTAGTAAGTATGGACATATATTTATCCCTTAAATGTGAAACAGTATGTATATTGAAGTGGGGAGAGACAAATATGTTACTTTTTTCTAATTAGTGAAGAGTAAAAGCTATGACTTGCAGGAATGATGAGAGGATCCTCATGTCCCATGTGATTCTGGTGACAGTGAGCTTTCAGTGTGAGGTGGCTGGACACCGCTTACCATCTCAAGAAGCATAACCAAAAATGTGCCCACCTACAATGCTTGCTTTTCTACCTCCCAAGCCCTCCTCCTGCAGTGGAAAAGTCCAAGTGGGGCAGATAAAGGAGAGAGAACAACATACTATTCACTCCTAAATGAGAAGAATCATTCCTAACCCTGAGACATGGCTGCAAATAGACTTGTCAATTCTTCAGACAGAGGCTGAGCTCTTCTAAAAAACTATGAAGTGTGCACTACATTGAATTCTGTTAAGGGGATACGTTTCTAAATTGGACTGAATAATGGAAGGGAACTAAAAAGCATGTTTGCCTTTCTGCTTTGGTTTCATCTGTGCTGGTTGATCTGAGATGGGATGCCAATGGCAGCCATGGAGGGTGACACCAAGGAGGAGGTGGAGAGGGAACCCTTCTCAGTGGGCTTCCTGGCAAGGGCCTTTGCCTGGGTGTGGCACACTGCTGGGACAGAGGCCATTCAGAATTCATTAGAAAGCATCGTAACAACCTCTTATACTTTCATCCAAAAATACGATTCCAAGAAGACATGGCACTGCTTTCCCTCCTACTTTTGGGCCTCAATTTGATTGGACATGCTCATAGTCATGGGGTCATAAATCGGGGAGGGGTGGAAGTGTTGATCAGGCACTCAGATTCAGGACTTGCAGCCTTTGGTGCGTTCTTGTAAATGCGAAGCATCTGTGTGTGAGGACAGACCTAAATTAGCAGGATGGCCTGGACCACATGTTCACAGGGTGTTGCTTGCTCCTCACACGTGTGGCCATCTCCCTCTGCTACCATTGGGGCCTCACGGTGCGGCTGCCCACCCTCCTCCTCCTCCACAATCCTGATGAGTAGGCAGAAATAAAAGTCCCGCTGTGTCTATGGGCCTAATGTGGACACATCTCTTCTAGGTTAATGTTCTTTGTCCCGAGTGGGTGTAAACATCGCCAAGCATTTGCTAAAACATAGCAGTTCCCTTCCTCTACCCCACTGCATTGAAGGGATCTGCCTCCTTTTGACAACCTCCGGTTGAAAGATCTGCCTTTATTAACAAACAATTGCAATAAAGGTTTCCTACACGTGTGCTTTGACAGTGATCAGCCAGACATTCATCCACTCGTTGCTTCATGCCTCTGTGTAGTCCCTTGCTATGTGGATGGAACTGGGAGCTACCGGAGACACAGAGGAGAAGTCTGGCCATTTGCAAGGTAAGGCAGCCACACAGGAAGATTCTGACTTAGACGGGGAGGCAGAAGGCTCTGCTGATGCGGGGATGGCTCACCAGAGATCTAAAGGGCAACCCTTGGAGGCCACAGGCAGGGCAGCAGGATGGCTTCTGGAGCAAGAGAAACCTCCATTTCACTTCATTTAGGGAGCCAAAAAACACCTGGATATCATATTTACAATATTGAAAATAGCTCTTATTATGTCTTCATAGTTCACTGCTTCGAAATGAAACAAATTCCATTTTATAAGACTGAAGCAAAACGTAAGATGTTAAGAGCCCTAAACAGCTTAAGAACTTCTTTACTTGCCTCCTTTTCATTTGTCATGAAAATTTCAAACTGTACCCAAGATAGAGATTTTAATTAACGATTCCCAAAGTCCTCTTTGGCCCAGCTGGGTCCCTGACTCCCTCCTCTTTTGTGTGTGTGTATAGCGCAGCCCCGTGAGTGTCCCAGAGCACCGTGCTTCCTGGGCACATGTGAAGTTCCTCAGCCTTGCATTTGACATGTTAGGAAAGGGGCACAGAGCAATTGGAACAGCTTGCCCCAGGCCACACATGTGACAGTTCACGGAGTCTGGCCCCTGTCCCTCATTACTCAGAGGCTGCCAATTTCTGCTTCTTTCTATTGGTAACGGTGGCTCCTTCACTAGCATAAGGCTGCAGACCGGAGGACAGACTTCCTTTTTCTTTGGCTTAGCATTATTCTTGCTACAGGTCTCTCTGGTTGTGTCTTCTCACCAGGCCTGGCACCCTTTCTGTCTGTGAATTATTTTTCTTTGTACTTCCTTTAAGGTCATTAAACTTTCCCACTTTCTCTTTTTTTTTTTTTTTTAATTTTCTGCTCATTTTGTGATAATATCTTTTTCTGTCTGTGTTAAAGGATTTTTTTTCTTCTTTTGGCAGCATCATTTCTGTACTAAAGAGGTCAATGTTTCTCTCCTTCTTTCAACACCCAGGTGCTGGCTATGTGTGATGATGTGCACCCTTCCCCTCTCCCCTCTGTTTTGGTCCCACGCCACTTGGAAGCATTTGTTGGCAAAATCTGTTATGTTCTCTGTAGCTCCCCGCAGCTGTAACAGTGATTTGCCCACTAACGTTCTGGAAGAACTATCACGATCCACACTTGCAGAGTGCAGATAACTATGTAGTCTCCTGACAATGGGCTGGAAGTGCGCTGCATATGAGGTCCCGATTAACAAGTAGCAAACCACCTGGCACTGCATATGAGGTCCTGATTAGCAAGTAGGAAACCACCTGCGGCTTATGGGGGGGCTTGAAACATTCGATTTAATTAGTAAATTGTAATTAGTATACATATGTATAAAGGAATAAAAGTCATTATTGTAAATAAAAGTTGTTATATGATAAAAGTTGTTCACATCATTAATTTAAAAATATGTTTCTCGATTTTTCAGTAAAGCTACACTCTACCCTCTA
Organism: Homo sapiens; assembly: GCF_000001405.40. NCBI lineage: Eukaryota > Metazoa > Chordata > Mammalia > Primates > Hominidae > Homo > Homo sapiens. The sequence goes on along the minus strand of NC_000015.10, from coordinate 27,529,284 downwards.
GCCAAAAGAAATTCGGACTTGTTAATAGTTAAATGTAACAAATTTGTTTTTAAATTGTCAAACCTTGGTCAATATTTATAGGGCTTAATTTATCCACACTTTAATTTCCTCATTTGTAGAAAGGTTTGTTGTGAGAATAAAGTGAGTTGATACATGAAAACACAGAGAACATAATGTCAAGCATAGTGCTCAAAAGAAAGTGAGGGTGGTCATGTCATTTTGAGGGTAGGAAGGACCTTCCAAAGCAGAACACAAGAAGCAGAAACTACAAAAGAAAACACTAACAGATTTGACCACATGAAACAAAATAATACACATAGAGAAAGGCACAAAATAGGATAGTGGCAATGTTGCCAATTCAAGTTGGAATAAAAACCACATGACAAACATTAATATCATGAATATATCCTATATGTGACTATATAAATTATATATTTTATAAAATACAATTTATATAATATGTAACATATACACCACTGTCAGATTGCTACCTTAAAATACTAATGAAAGTTAAAAAATATTTAAAAGCAATTCCCAAAAATGGAAATGCAAATCAAAAATAAACGAGTGACAATATTGTCAATAGTCAAAGAAATGCCAATGGGAAAAGTTTGCAGAGCTCATTTTCCTGCGTGACTACCAAACTGAATGCAGGGAAAGTTCGGGATGAGGTGTCTGGCATTGCTGATGGAGCTGGTGGAGTGCTATTTGGCAAAGACCATGCAACGCCTCTGCCCAAACATTCTGCTCCTAGGAATTTATAACCAAATAAATAGTCACAGGTATATACAAATTGGTAGTGAAAAGAATGTAAATGCAAGTGAAAAATGTGGATAAGCCCAGTGTCCTGCCAAGATTGCTTGTGCATCAATCATGAGCATATGATATGGTCATTAAAATGATCCTATAAAATAATATTTGTGGCACAAAACTTAAGTACATATAAGTACATATTTTTGAGTTATAAAAGAGGCTATAAAACAATATAAAGATCATAATTCAGTTTTGCTAAAATGCATGAACCTATATTATTTGAATGGCTAAAAGAGTCAGAACTATATATGCCATACACTAATCCCCATGTAGAAGGATTATGATTACTTTTCTCCTCTAATTTCCAAATTGTCAAAGTTGGATTTTTAACCTAATACTAAACACATTTTTGAAGTCAGCATGTGCATCACTCATTGGTCTTCAATACATGCATGCATCAACAGCAATCTATCTTTCAAATGCAATCTTAGTTTAGTGAAAGTTCTCAGAAATATTGGCACCTGCAATGCTATACGTACGGAAGGGGCTTGTAGGCTTATTCGCTCAGGAATCCATCTTGAGGAATCTGGATGTAGTAACTACAAGAAAAGAAGAAAAAATAACTAGGAAACTGTCATGAACATTTGCATCCAAGATCACTCTTAAGAGCAATCTTTAGGGTATGACTAAACCAAGCCACGTCACCGGTAGGTGACACCAGAGATGTCTTAGAGTCACATTCACATCTTCAGAATCCCTGTCTGGTTTTGAAAAGTCTTGTTGAACTGGGTATTTGTATCATGCTTTGTACGATCCTTAGGAATACAACTGCATTTAAGTACACACTCATCTCAAACAGCGCCCCCATTACCTCCCGGAGAACCTTTGCTACTGCAGCTCACCGATGTTGTCTTCTTCGTGGTGGTTGGTTTTCTACAGCTGGAATAGTAGTTGAGGGTGGCATACTCCATCAGCGCGGCGAAGACAAACAGGAAGCACACGGTCACAAAAAGGTCCATGGCGGTCACGTAGGACACGCGTGGCAAGGACTTCCTGGCGATGGTGCTCAGGGTGGTCATGGTCAGCACCGTGGTGATGCCTGAACAGGGGACGGGTAGCATGTTGTAAAAGGGTGCAACACGCAACAGGAATCCCAGACGGTCACCCACATCCCTCCACCCCAGCACGGCTGCCTTACAGGAATCCCTGATGCTGCATACCTCATGTAATGTTACTTTGAATTTTAATGTCCATACAATTTTATAAGCAATGTTTCAATGAAATTTCTTATTATAGTCTTCACAATAACATTAAAGTGCCTGAATCAAATCAACACCTTTCAATTCATTCAGTAATTCGCTCATTGTTGGTAATTTTTAACGTAGACGCTCTTTTTGGCAGTCCTATATGTTCCGTGCTGTTCCACACCTCACATTTCTGCCCAGCTAAATCCTTTTATTTCTGACTTCTCCTCACCTCCCCAGTTTGAAAACCCTCACTATTCTTGAAGACCCGGCTCCAGCACCACTCTTGCCTTCCACGCAGAGCTGACAACATGCACATCTGCAGTATCCCTGTACCTTCTACTATCTCAGCTTTTTTTGTTTTCATTATCACAGGGAATCGCATATGTCTTTACATACCTGTCTCCTAGATAGATTGTGTGGTCTTTAAGACAAAAACAGTCCCTTACTTGTCTTTGTTTGCTTGTCCCCCAGCACAGACGCTAGCACATTTGAGGCATTTAAATGAATGATTTGCATCGAATGAATCAATTAATTGGTAATACTCAATGTTGGTTTGACTTAGACTATTTTATATGCATGGGTCAACACTGGATGTTTAAGCAAATATTGTGGAAAACATTCAGAAAAGAGACACAGACACACACGAGATGGATAGCTTAGAAGGGAAAACATGAAAAAAGACATGGAGACTATTGAACATAAGAATAAAATGAAGAAGAGTGATTATCATGTGAAACAGGCTAAGACTGACTCTCCCGAGTCTTCCCAAGAAATCAGGACCTGTCAGGACTACTAGACAGGGAAGGTTAGTGACCCCAGATTCATGGGCCCCAGAATCACAGGAATCTGAATTTTAACAGTCACCACCTCTGTAGCTCAATGGGACTACAGTAAAATATCTGCATCGCAGTACTAGTCAGAGAGTAGGTACACAGGACAGATGAGGACACATTACTTTCCACCTTTGCTGCAGCATCACGGCCTCTGTTTAATTCCTCCCTGCATCTACTCAAGGCAGTTCTGCCAGGGCCAGGTGGAGAATGGGTCTCAAAGCATGGGGTGGACAGCTTGTAGAGGTGTAAAGAGTATCACCTGAAAATCCAAGCCCTCCACCTTGCTCTGGGCCTTCTCAGCATTTGGCCATGAGGAGTCACTTACCATCTTTGAATCAGTTTCCTTAACTTGTGCAGTGAAAATAGAATGCCAGGCACTCTTTAATATAGGTGGTAAAATTTCATGTAAAAACGCTATGTAAACTGGAAAAGTCTATACTTATGTCAGATGTAGTTTTATGGAAAAAGCTCTTTAGAAAAAAATTATTTTATTTACTTTTTTAAGTTCTATGGAACATGTGCAGAATGTACATGTTTATTACATAAACATGTGCCATGGTGGTTTGCTGCACCTATCAACCCATCACCTAGGTATTAAGCCCAGCATGCATTAGCTCTTTTCCCTAATGTTCTCCCCCAGGGAATACTATGCAGCCAAAAAAAGAATGAGATCATGTCCTTTGCAGGGACATGGATGAAGCTGGAAGCCATTATCCTCTTTTAATAAACATCCAATTCAGCTTTTAAAAATGTGACCACATCATGTCTAAGAAGAAGTTCAAAATCTTAGCTTCTATTTCAATAGAAATACAAACTGTTTGTGTCTGTAATTTCCATAGACCTTGTCCATCAGTTGTCATGAGTGGCCTGTATTCCAGATGTAGGCAATGGCCGTGTGCTTTATCCTCCCCACTTCCACCCCCACCCTGAAACTTCACCCTGCTGAAGAAAAATAAACCTTAGGCATTTCTATTTAGTTCAGGGATCTAAGCTACCTAGTAAAGAAGAGTGCTCTGCAAAAACACCTGTTGGCATGACTTCCTCTTTGGGGAAAGCACAAAGGACTTCAGGAAGGTTATCTCAGCTGAGTCTAGTACATATAGGATGCTTTGGGGATGATTCTGGTCTCACAGAATCCTAGAACAACTTTCTTCTTGACTTTGGAGGGATGAGTGAATATAAATCCTGGCATCTTACTGCAGTCAGAAGTAAACCTCCTAATTTAAACACAAACTAAAATAACACATTTTGATATTGGCTTTGTTTTTTTTTCATTCAGCACAATGCCCTTGACACATTTAAACTGCTGCTTCATCGATAGTTTGTTCTTTCCTACTGCTGAGTAGTATTTCATGGTTTGGGTGTTCCATAGTTTCGTTAGCCTTTCACTTGTTGCGGGATATTTTGGTTCTTTCCAGTTCCTGGTGATTACATGAACATTCATGTCAGTGTAATAATGTCATCCTATTTCAAGTGACTTTCTTGGAGACACATTGTAGTTGGATCATGCTTTATTTTTTTAATCCTCTCTGCTAATTTCTGCTTTTTTACTGGTACGTTCCAGCAATTTACATTGAATGTAGTTATTAATATTTAAGATGTAACTATCCCATTTTATATTGTGTTTCCTGTTTGTTTGTTCCTTTATAATATATTGTTTTCTTTTTCCTGCCTTCCCATGGGTTATCTCAACATATTTTAGAACTTGATTTTGCTTTACCTACAGTGTTTTTGAGGCGTGTCACTCTTTGTAGCCTTTTTAGTGGTTCCTCCAGTATTATAAATACATAATTTAGCATATTTAACATTTTACCAATGTGACTGAAATGTAGAAACTTTATTTCCCCTTACTCTTCCTTGATTTTAATATAATTGTCTTAAATATTTCCTTTAATTAGTTTAGTAATTACATCAAGTAGCATTATGATTTTTTGCTTCAACCATTATAAGTAATTTAGAAAACTCAAAAGGCAAAGGAAAGTCCATTTTACTTGCCCATATTTTCACTTTTTGTATTTTTTCTTTATTTCTTTTGTTAAAAATTTCTTCTCATCATTTTCTATTTCAAGAAATTCCATTAGCCATCATTTTAGGGGACATCTGCTAGTGACAAATTCTCTTTGTTCTTCTTTGTCCGAGAATGGATTTCTCCTTTATTCTTAAATGATACTCTCATTGGGTATAGAATTCTGGGTTGACTATTATTTCCATTCAGCATTAAAAAATGCTGTGCTACTTCCTCCTTGCCTCCATGGTTTGGATGAGAAATCCATTGTCATTCAATTTGTTTTTTCTATATAGGCAAGGTGACATTTCTTTGCTACTCTTAATAATTTTTCTTCAGTTTTTAAGAGTTTGATTATGATGTGTCTTTACCTAACATTCTTTGGATTTAACCTATTTGGGATTAATTCAGCTTCTTGGATCTCTAGATTTATGCCTTTTGGCAAATTTGAGTATTTTTTATCCATTGTTTCTTTGAATATTTTTTTTAGCCCCATTCTATTTCTCTTTTTCTGGAACTCCAGTGACACAAATGTTGGATCATTTCCCTCTCCAATATTTGTGTCAACATTTGAAGATATCCCTAAACTCAGTTGATTATTATTTTTTTCAATATATTCCCTCTCTGTTGCTCAGATTGGTAAATTTTTGTTGTTCTATCTCATGGTTCACTGATTCTTTCCTCTGTCTTATCTTCTTTTGTTAAGCACATCCAGTGAGTTTTTCATTTTGGCATTGTATTTTTCAGTTCTAAAAATTTCATTGAGTTCTTCTTTATATCCTCTATTTCTTTGTGGAGCTTTTCTATTTTTTCATTTAGTTGAAGCATGTGTGCATTCGCTCATTGAAGCACATTTATGACTGATTATTTTAAAATCCTAGTCAGATAATTCTAACAACTGTGTCATCTTGATTTTGGCATTTTCTTTTTGATATGATGAGTGATATTTTATTGTATCCTGGACATTTCTGGTATAATTTTATCAGACTAAAATATTATATAGAAAATCTTTAAAGTAGTCATATTTACAACATATTTAGAACAAAAATATTAATATAAAGACTAATAAATTAAATTAAAATTTCTGCATATCAAATGCATAAAAAGAGGAGAAAGATGCTATTCATTGTAAAAATGTATTTATTTTATATAAATACAAAACCACAAATCTTCATGATGTTTCTTTTTATCTAATAACATGAAATATCTATTCAAGTGTGTTTTCATGTCAGAAATGTTTTAAAGTTTTCCTCACCTAAGATTCACTTTCTGGTCTGAGAAATCTTTATCTAATCTAATATAATCCTAACATTTTTCTAGAAATTTAACATTTCTAGTTTTACCATTTGAGTATAATCCATTTTAAGTAATTTTTTGTGTATGGCAGGAGGTGGATATTGAAATTCACTTTCATGATGTAATTATTAGGTGCAGAGTTCTGTAATATCCAATAGCTCAAGGACATTGATATTGGTGTTCAGATCCTCCATTCCTTTACTGGCTTTTTGGTTGTTGACTGGTTTAATCACTTAAATAAGTGGACAAATGTGCTTGTTTGTGTACACTGCTGATAGAAGTATATTTAAATATCAAACTGTGATTGATTTTAAAAATTTATCCTCTTCTCAGTTTTTGTTGCTTTTAATATGAAGCTCTAATACTAGGCACAGGCACATTTATGAATGTTTTGTCTTTCTGTTGAATTTACCCTTTTATTATTATTATATGCTCCTATTTATTTCTACATTGAATTCTTAGCTATGCTTTTTACTATATTTTCATACATTTTTAACAGATTACAATAAGATTTCTTAATATATCTACTTAGAATTTTTTTAGAATTACTTCACCCATTTTTATACCACATAGGAACATAGTTCCATATGTCCCCCAACCTCATTGCTATTTATGGCTTACATTTTATTTTTTCTGATGTCATAAGTCCCATCTTGCAATATTATTATTTTCACTTTAATTGAAAGAATAAAAATAGAAAACTAGTTTTTTTTAAACTTCACCGCACACTTACCATTTCTGATGTTTTTCATTACTTCTTGTAAATCCATTTTTCTATTGATTATTTCTATTAACCTAATTAGCTTGCTTTAGAATTTTCACTATGGTTTTAGATTTTCTGTGATAAATTAGCACAGATTTTGTTTATCTAAAAAAATCTTCATTCTGATGAAATTTTTGAAGTATATTTTCTCTGGATATAGAATTTCAGTACTTTAAAGATGGCAACTGACTATCTTCTGGTCTCCATTATTGCACATGAAGAATCAGTCAGTCATATTTTTGCTCATCCACATGACAGGACATTTTTATTTATCTACTTTCAAGTATTCTCTTTATTTTTGATTGTCATCATTTGGACTATGATGGTTTTCTTCGTATTTATCTTACTTGTATCTCACTAAGCTATTTGAATTTGTAGGCTGATGTTTTTCACCAAACATTGGAATTTCTTAACCACTTGTTTTCAAAAATATTTGTCCTCATTCTTTTTCTCTTCTTATTCTGCTTTTAACTATCACCTCAGTTATAGTCAGTTATAGTTATGTTATGCATATTCATATTGTATCACAGGTCACTGGGACTTCTTTCTTTTTAATCTTTTATTCCTTTGATCTTCAGATTAGATAAATTTCATCTGGTGGTCTTCAATTTTATATAAACTTTTATTTCTGCCATCTTCAATCTGCTCTTAAGTCTAGTTAGTGAATTTTTCAATCAAGATATTATACATTTCACTCTAGAATTTCTTTTTATATACTTTCTGTGATGAGATAACCCATCTATTCATTAATTAAAATCATATTATCCTTTAAGTCTTCATTGTTATAATAGCTGTTGTTAAAGTCCATGCCTACTGAGTCAGCAATAGACTTCTCTTTGCTTTTTATTAATCCTTCTTTCTTTGTAATCATGGGTAACATTTTTCTACATCTTAGAATGTCTAATAAGTTCTTATTATAACTCCTTACAATGTAAAGAGTCTGCACTATATTATCTTTTTAAGAAGCTCTTTGAATTCTTCTGACAAACAGTTAATTTACTGATGGTTCTCCTTGATCTTGTTATTGCTTGGTTCAAGCTTCATTAAAGGACGTCTAGGGTACCCCCTTTATTTCTAGGCACAGACTTTTTGGTGTCTAAACTAAACATCTTATTGTTAATAAAGTTCCTCAATTCTTCTGGCTATAAATTTATTATCTGACTGCACCGTGAAATTCTAGCTTCTGTGTCTTGAGCCCAGAACAACTATTCTCTGTAGGATTTTCATAGTCTCAATTTGTACAAACATAGTTATATATTATATCACTTTGAAGCTTATCTTTAGATGTCTTGTGTACAGTGACATCTAATATATGTAACTATGAAGCCATAACCCCAAGGGTTAGTCACGAAATCTGTGTTGATTTGCCTACAATTCTACCACGTATTTTCTATAAGCATGCAAATCTAGTATAGGTAGAGGATATTACAGGCTAATTAATCTCTTGGCATCTGGTCTACCCAGGCCCAGTGCTTTGTTCTTGAACAAACAAATAAAAAAAAAACACAGAGAAATAACAATGCAAATATGAGAGATGTTGCAGAAATTTGAAATTGAGACAGCTTCCTCTTTTCTATAGGATTTTTTTTAGGGGAAAACAATCTCTATATTCAGTCTTATATATTACCTGCCTTCAAAAAATCAAAACATTGAAAGTTAAGCAAAATTCCTGTCAGAAAGGAAACCTGACATAATACACGTTGCACAGTTCTAAAACTACTGAAAGTTAGTGTTTTATTAAGAAGATTTTGGGAACCAGAGAAAAATTCATGAAAAGACTGAGTTTTAGTGTGTGCTCACAGCTGAAAAGAATGATCATTTTCTCGTTTGCTGATAAAGTTGCTATATACAAGCAGAGCTTCAATTATTGATCAACTATTTTTTACCAATACTATGTCTTCAGTCCTCAGAGGTGTGTGGCAAATTCTGTTTCCTGACATTAACGTATGGGGACTTTTGAGTTGACAGGTTCTGGGATGTGCCTGTGTTTTTGTGATCATATCAGCCTGTGATACAGGATACTATCACAATGGATTTACTGTGAATCTCCTACGCCGTCTTGATTTAAGTGGCATACATAGAATCCCATTGTGAGAAAGAACAGCCTTGCTTGGCTTCTTAAGAGAAAATTCTAAGCATGGTTCAAGTCACCCTCAAATGAGATCATTCACATTTAAATAGTCTTTTACATTGAAGGTATTTTTTATGAATGCTTCTATATTACAATTACGCAAATTTGTGGAAGAGATTTTTTGAAACTCACCTAATGCTGTTCTTGCTGGCGTAGCATCTTTTTTGATCCAAAATGACACCCAGGATAAAACCACAGTCAGTATACAGGGAATGTATGTCTGAATGGTGAAGTATCCCATTCTTCTACTCAATTCAAAATATATAGTCATGACAACATAATCACCTGTAATAAAATATTGTCAAAATTAAGACAACTTTGATGGGTCAAAAATAATTCAGGAAAATAATTTACAATTTATTTTGTTAAGTGAATGACTTGGATAAAAATGCACAACTACAACAATATCAAATCAGGAAATGGATCAAAATGCTGGTTTTCTTAAACTTAATTTTCATAGTAACCATGGCTGTACCAGGCATTTAATCGGTCAGTGTAAAGGGCACAAAACGAACATATTCACGGATAGAGTGAGAACACATGCAGATCTCTTCCACGACAGGCCATGAGTTGATGAGCTATTATCACTTGAGTCCTTCCATAGGTTGTACAATTAAATTCAAGAGTAACAGGTAAACTCAACCCTCAAACAGACCCAGGGTCATTTTAAGGGATGCTTTTCCAATGACAACAAAGCTATCATATCTTACATAAACTTGTGTAACCATTTTATATTTTTATTTATTTATATCTTTAAGTTTTGCTTATCAACTTCGCACTTTGTTTTAATTAATGTATGTATATTTATCTGATCCTTTTGTAACCCAGGACTTAAGCTGTGCCAACCCAGAAACAAAAAGGAGTAATCATTTCCTGACATTCCACTCTCTTCTACCAAAGCAGAACCACACCATAAAGAAGTTGGGAGCAATGCAGATGTGACTAGAGATTCCATAAG